>NC_000008.11:12284345-12587375 GCF_000001405.40 Homo sapiens | reverse complement strand
ACCCATTTTACAGATGAGAAAGTTGAGGCTCGGAAACATTATGTAACTTGCTCAGTATTAGATAGTGATGGTTTGTGGTCATCTGGCCAGTCGCTGGGTGCACACTCTTAACCACTTCACTATGGTTTTTCTCTCATGGTAGCTCTCCAACAGCAGGAGTGAGAGACAAGTTTAGGATAGGAGTAACCAGAATCTCAGGGCTTATCCTAGAAGGTGGTGTCAGGAACATACTTGCCTATGGGCCTTCTTACTGTATTGCATAAAATACCCAGTTTTTCTGACTCACCTTTAGTAAAGACCTTAGCAATATTTGAAGCACAGTTGTCAGTAGGAAAGGGTGGATGTTTATACTTTTTTAAAAAGGAGTCTTTATCATATTTATCTTGTGGTCTGCCATGCCCCCCGATCTTCTTCAGCTTCAGTTATGCAAAATTCACACTTCTTCTCTTGACTGCCTCTCTCTTACCTGTTCAGTTTATTTTCTGTGTTCGAGATTGCTTAGAATTTTTCCCCATTACTACAGCCTGCTTCCCAACTGCATCCCCCACCCAGCTTGTTCTGGATTTTGTCAACAACAGTTCCAGCGTTTAGTGAGGGCTGGATTGAAGGAAAGCCTTGGAAAAGGCTATGTGATGAATGGTGAAGACACTTAATGGGCAGGCAGTCATCAGGGTTAATTCAAAGGCTGGAAGAAGGGCTGACCTGGAGGACTGGAAATGTCTTTGAGCTGAAGGTCATGTGCAGGTGGAACGAAGAGGGTGAGCCTTTTGGGGTGAACTGCAAGTATTTGATAATATCCCTGTCTCCATGGTTGGGGAAGTCTTGATAAGCATCCTTAATGTGAAGGAGGGATTAAGGAACCCCTGGTTCTACCTGCCCAGCATGGCAGTAACATGACACAGCCAAGTTATTGATTATTGGTTGCCCAGCTGTCATCAGCTCAACATCTTCTGTTAGTTTTAGCTGCAATTTCCGTTAGTTATCAATGCCAGTTTTGACTTTCCTAGTCAATAAAGTGTTCTGAGAGTGGTGACTAAGGCTGAGGACTACCCATAATCATGAGTATTACAGAGGCAAGCCCCCTTGCCCACCTACCTGCAGGTGATGAGACACCCTAGGGAAATAACTCAATTCTTTGGAGGACCCCGAATAAATGCCCAAGTCTATCTGTTCATCTGTCCATCCATCCATCCACCCTTCCTTCCTTCCATCCGTCCATCCATCCATCCATCCAGACATGCATACATCCAACCACCCACCCATCTATCTACCCACCCACCAATCTATCCATCCAACCCACTCTCTTATACACCCAGCTATCATCCACCTACCCATCCACCACCACCCTCTATCCATCCACTCACCCATGCATCTATCCACCCGTTTACTCATCTAACCATCTATCCACCCACCCATCCATCCATTTATCCCTCCAACCCCTCACCCACTCATCCATTTCTCCACCCACTCAGCCATCCCTTCACTGACTCAACCATCCATTCATTCGTCCACCTGCCCGCCCACCCATTATCCACCCATCCACCTATGTATCCATCCATCTGTTGTCCTTCTGTTCATTTATTCCACAAAGACTCGTTAACCACCTGCTAGATTCTGGGGAGGTACCTGCTCTAGTAATTGAGAACATGATCTCTGGAATATGATTCCCTGGGCTCAAACTGAGCTGCCTCCTAGCTAGCTGCTTGGGTAAGTTATAGAAACCGTGCTTTGACTTTCTTATCTGAAAATTGGCTATTAATAGCTTCTACTCTTGCAGATATAGTGAGGATTAAATAAGATGTCACATTAAAAGTGCATCATCGGCACTCAATAGAGATTAGGTTTTACCATTCATTATTATTCTTGGCAGATGCTGCAGATAACGTGGAGAGCATATGAAAGGCACATGTTTGAACCAATAGTGACATACAGACGCTAAGTTCTGCATTAGGGGAAGGTCAGACAGCCATGGAGAGGGCCTGGCCCAATCCTGGAGCCTCAGAAAAATGTTCCCCATTGAATTCCTGTTTTAGCTGAGACTTGTGGGATGGGTAGTAGTTGGAGATCCCAGACAGGATGTGACCGAGTTAGCCAGGGAAAAATTGGGTCCTGGCACCCATGGCAGAATTGATTGATCAGTTCTTCTGTCTCCTCTGTTTGGAAGTCCACTAGGTCTGGGAATGTCAAGTTGGGGGAGGGCGCTGACAATGATCATGACCTTCACCTGTCCTCACATGTCCTCTGTGTATCTGCAAAGCCTCTGCCTCAGTCTCCTCTTTTGGAAAGTGGGATTGGAAACCACATCTGCTTCTCTCCCAGGACTGCTAGGAAGACAAGATTAGATGGCAGGTGAGAGCTCCTTGAAAACAAAAACATTCTACTATTTGAATGCAAAGTGTTCTTCTTTGCCTGTGATGTTTCCTAATCTGTGAAATCATACTGGACCTCGAAGCTGTCTATTAAAAAAATAGCAAAGTGGCTGGGCATGGTGGCTCATGACTATAGTAGTTCTAGCACTTTGAGAGGCTGAGCGGGGTGGATCATTTGAGGCCAGGAGTTCGATACCAGCCTGGCCAATATGCGAAACCACATCTCTACTAAAAATACAAAAATTAGCCAGGTGTGGTGGCATCTGTCTGTAGTCCCACCTATTCGGGAGGCTGAGGCACAAGAATCATTTGAGCTCAGGAGGCAGAGGTTGCAGTGAGCCAAAATTGCACCACTGCACTCCATCCTGGGCAACAGAGTGAGGCTCTGTCTGAAAAAAGAAAAAAAAAAGCAAAGTTAACACTTCCTCCATCTCTCCCCTGGGGGAGGCAATTTGTCAAAGATTGTTGTTGGATTTTACACACAGGGAAATCTAAGGAAAGTGTGGAAATCAGACCGGGACTCCAGACTCTGGTCTCCCTGTTTGCAGAGTCTTAAAATGGGGAGCCACTTTGGGTTCTTTCTACGAGATTGCTTTTTTAAAAACAAACAAACAAACAAAAAAAAAACTCAAAAAAAAAAAAAAAAAACCCTGACCTAAATATTCACAAGGGACCTTAGGCAATATCTGCAAACAAAAGTGAGTGAGGAGTGGAATCTGTCTTTACAACTAAGACAGCTCCAGAGTTAAAGCAAGTGGAAATATCTCTAGAGACAGAGACTTGGGCGGGTTTTGTTTTGTCACTTACAAGCTATGAGAACCTGGGCAGGTTTACCTCTCTGAGCTTCTGTGACCTTGTAAAATAGGCTGCATTGCGCTAAACTTGCAGGAGGAATCCCAGCATCCTCCTGTGCACAAGGCTGGTTTCTTCCCATCCTTTTCCTTGTTCTGCCTCTCTCCTCCTCTCCAAGAGACGAATACATTTGGAGCCAGTAGGGGCCTATGTTTGCAAAAGCTCGCAGGTGATTCTCATGCAGCCAGCCTGGCTCTGGCACTGAGTTCTTGGACATTTCTGGAGACGCATTTACTAGTGAGGAAGGTCTCTCTGTGCTGAAGGCATGATTCATCTTCCATTCCTTTCTTCCATGAAGGAAGGCGCATGGGTCGACTGAGCTGGGAGAGTCCACGATGTCAGCCTCCCCCACGCTTCCCTCCCTCCTTATTCCTTGTGTGTTGTACTTTGTCTCGATTTCCTGTACTCTGCACCAAGCCAGGAGATGATAAGATCTCAAAAAAATCGTTTTTTGGGAAATGGGATCAAGAGGGTTTTTGTTTGCTTGTTTGTTTGAGACAGGGTCTGTCGCCCAGGCTGAAGTGCAGTGGCGTGACCTTGGCTCACTGCAGCCTTGACCTTCTGGGCTCAGGTGATCCTCCCACCTCAGCCTCCTGAGTAGCTGGGACTGCAGATGCACACCACCATGCCTGACTAATTTGTCTATTTTTTGTAGAGATGAGGTTTCACCATGTTGCCTAGGCTGGTCTCAAACTGCTGGGCTCAAGCAGTCCTCCATCCACCTCGGCCTCCCAAACTGCTGAGATTACAGGCATGAGCTGCTGTGCCTGGCCAAGGTTTTTTTTTTATTATTATTACAAAAACTTTTCAATAAACATAAAAGTAGAGACACCAGTTTAATGAGCTATCATATACCCATCACATAGATTTAAAAACTATTAACATTTGCAATATTTACTTCATTTGTTTTTCTGAAGTATTTACAAAATAGTTGACAGTAGTTATGTAATTGCATCCTGATATTCATCCCTACGTAATTTACTTTCCCTCTAAAAACATGAGGGCACTTTTTATATGATCATTGTCATACCTAATCAAATTACCAGTAATTCCTTAATATCCTCTAAGATCAACTTTACATTCAGATGTCTTGTCCTCAAAATGTCATTTGTGATTATTTTTTTCTTTGACCAAAGATAGTAAGATCTCAAGATTTAATGACAGAGATTCCATGTTAGCCCTGATGTCTAAGCTCTGTGGTCCATTGTGGCTTTACTTGAAAGTCTGAGGCTAGGCGTGGTGGCTCACATCTGTAATCCCAGCACTTTGGGAGGCCAAGGTAGGCGGATCATGAGGTCAAGAGATCAAGACCATCCTGACCAACATGGTGAAACCCTGTCTCTATTAAAAATACGAAAATTAGTCAGGTGTGGTGGCGGGTGCCTATAGTCCCAGCTATTCGGGAGGCTGAGGCAGGAGAATCACTTGAACCCGGGAGGCAGAAGTTGCAGTGAGCTGAGATTGCACCACTGGACGCCAGCCTGGGTGGCAAGAACAAGACTCTGGAAAAAAAAAAAGTCTCTCACTGTGGTCTCATAATAAAAGGACACTCCATTTCCCATCTGGTCCCTGCTCCTTAATGTTAGCCCCCTCCTGTGGGGAGGAAGGGGTGACTTTCAGCGCGGGTTCAAATATTCCCAGGGCTGGCTCTGATCCCAATAAAGCCCATCGTCATGAATGAATGCTTCCCTTGCAGGATATTCTAAGTATTGTAAATAGTGCACGTGGAGTGTCCTCATGATGCCTGGGATTGTAGTGAATATTTATAGGTTTCTTTTAGTGCCTTTTTTTTTTAAGTGTTTTCTATAGTTCCATGTTTCTACAACCCTTAGGAACATCAGAATCATGTGTGTGTGGGTGCTTATTAAATAAAAGAGTTCCTGGAGCTCACTCCCAGTGACTGCCAGTCTGATGATTAGGGGCTTAGCTAGGACCTAGGTTTGCAAAAGCTCCCAGCTGATCTCATGCAGCCAGCCTGGCTCTGGCTCTGGCGCTGGGAGCTGGGTTGGGAACTAGTCTTTGGTGCTATTCTGCTGATACTTCAAGTTGGGCTCTTTGACTCCGTCTTGTATTGTCATCACTTGTATTCAGGTCTGTTCTTCCCCTGGATTGTAAACTCCTTGATGTCTGGGTCATCTCAGCTCATGAGCTGAGCTTTCAGTGGGTGCTCAGTGGAACAGGTGCTGAATGGAGTCCGGCTCTAGGGAGGCCAGGGTGTGTTGGTAAGTGAGAGACTAAAATCCTTTTAAAAAGAATCTTTTTGCCCTTCAGTTGTGTTTGCCATGAGTTAATGTGATTTACTCTAGTGGAAGCCAGTGCAGCTTAAGTGGAGGTCTTGCCCTGAAATGGAGCCAGGTTATGGATCAGCAGAGCTGCCAAAAGCGTTTTGGGGGAAATGTTTCTGTGTCACCCTCAGTTGATTGAACTCAAGTTTTCACTCCCGTTTAACACCATGTGGGGGCCATTCTGACTTCTGCGGAGTGGGTATGATCAGATCTTCTGTAAAAGTGTAAGTGAGGGGGCTGGGCATGGTGGCTCACACCTGTAATCTTAGCACTTGGGAGGCTGAGGTAGGTGGATCACTTGAGGCCAAGAGTTTGAGACAAGCCTGGACGACATGATGAAACCTCATCTCTACTAAAAATACAAAAATTAGCCAGGCGTGATGGTGCATGCCTGTAATGCCAGCTACTCAGAAGCCCGAGGCAGGAGAATCACTTGAACCTGGGAGGTGGAAGTTGCAGTGAGCTGAGGTTGCACCACTGCACAGTATTCCAGCCTGGGTGACAGAGCGAGACTCTGTCTCAAAAAAAAATAAAAAAAAAAAGTGTATGTGAGGAAACTGGAATTGAGCATGGGGATGTTGGGGGATGGAGGTACTTCATTTACTGAACAACAAAAACCATAGGATACCAATCCTGGAGGAAGAAGCATCATCCTCAGATTCTACTAACTCAACCACGCATGAGATGGGGACTTGGTGTCCGAGAGAAAAGCTACTTTTTAGGTCTTCAACCTTGATCAAACCATTTCTGAATTCCTCATACATATATAATCAGGTGCTATGAGTGGTACTGATTGGATAATCTTTCTGTCTTTTCCTGTGCTAGGAAGGAAAATACATGTACAGCCAACTTCCTTGAGGGTTCGTTCTTTTGCATCAGGGTGTCTCAAACTGATGCCCTTAAAACACCTGTAAGAGAATCATCCAGGCGGCTTGCTTGCTCTGCATGCAGGCCCTTTAGAATCAGACTCAGAATCCCTGGGGCTGGAGCCACAAAATGAAATGACATTTCAACGAGTTTGTCATCATGTGAGAGAGAATAGGTGAGTATTTGGATACCTATAATACAAAGTAGATTCAAAAAGAATGACTTGATTATTTTAAATGTTGTGTTTTTAAAAATTTAATACAGAAAAGGCTGGGCACAGTGACCCATGCCTGTAATCTTAGCACTTTGGGAGGCCAAGGCGGGTGGATCATTTGAGGTCAGGAGTTCAAGACCAGCCTGGCCAACAAGGTGAAACCCCATCTCTACTAAAAACATAAAAATTAGCCAGGCAGTAGTGGTGCGTGCCTGTAATCCTAGCTGCGGGGGAGGCTGAGGCAGGAGAATTGCTTAAGCCTGGGAGGCAGAGATTTGGTGAGCTGAGATCGTACCACTGCACTCCAATGTGGGTGACGATTGTTTAACCACCACCAAAATGGGTTCTGAGTCCAACTATTAATATGAAGATGACATCCATTGTGGTCTTGTACATTTTGTTGCCTTTCCGGGGTGAAGGACATTGGTGACCATTTGTTTCCTCTGGAACGGTCGATTGGTCATAAACTTCCTGGTCCAGGTAGTCACTGTGTCATTCATGTTGGTGGTTGATCCTCAGGTAGTTAGGGAGGAAAATAAACAAGAAGTTATATATTTAAAATCACGTTTCAATT
This sequence comes from Homo sapiens, assembly GCF_000001405.40. NCBI lineage: Eukaryota > Metazoa > Chordata > Mammalia > Primates > Hominidae > Homo > Homo sapiens. The sequence continues at coordinate 12,580,214 of NC_000008.11, read as the reverse complement.
TTAGACCTGATTAATTGACTTAATAAAGGGCATTAACATTTCTACTTCCTACAGTCCCTCTCTTTACCTCTGGAAACTAGTTATTTCTAGGTTGTTTTATGTTGTTAAGGTTGACCACCTTCTCTTTCTGTTCTGCAATCATAGTCCTATCACTAGCCTTTTGTCATGGTCATTCAATTCACAAGTTGCTTATTTTTTAATTTCTTGGCTGACTAAATTTTATTATGAAGACTTTTTTTTAAAGAGCTCAGAAATACTGTATTCTTTAAGTTCTTCAGCATGTGTCTTTTGCCTATTTTGATTGGGCAATAATTTAGCTGGCTATAAAATTCTTGGATTATACTCTATTTCCCTTAGAAATTATAGGCACCCATCCACTGACATTTCATTGTGCTTTATTTTATTTTGTTTTATTTTTTGAGATGGAGTCTTGCTCTGTCACCCAGGCTTGAGTGCTGTGGTGCAATCTCGGCTCACTGCAAGCTCTGCCTCCCGGGTTCACACCATTCTCCTTCCTCAGCCTCCCGAGTAGCTGGGACTACAGGCGCCCACCTCCATGCCTGGCTAACTTTTTTGTATTTTTAGTAGAGACGGGGTTTCACCGTGTTAGCCAGGATGGTCTCGATCTGCTGATCTCTTGATCCACCGGCCTTGGGCTCCCAAAGTGCTGGGATTACAGGTGTGAGCCACTGTATGAGCCCAGCCCCATTGTGCTTTGTACTAACCCCCTTTCCCTGGCCTCTTCCAGCTTATCTTCTTCTCTCCCAGTAGTTTCTTCATGAAGAGGCCATGTGCTATATTCCATGAGATATTTCACACTCAAAGAAGACTTCTTTTATACTCTTGTGATAATTTGTCTGGGAATCACTGTCTTGATTTGTAAGGGAGTTTGTAATAAATACAATAAAAGAGAAACACAATATATTTTGAGACATCAGAGAAGGGAGAAACCAATTCTATTAATATTTGGGGTTAGCAGGGAAGGCTTAGTTAAGAGGTAACATTTGAACTAAGCCTTGAAATAAGGGAAAGATTTGGCCATGCAGAAATGGCGAGAGAGTAGAAGCAAGACATGATGGTTAGTGTTATGTATCAATTTGACTGGGTTGTGGGGTGCCCAGATATTTGGCTACACATTATTCTGGGTGTGTCTCTGAGGTATTCTGGATGAGGATAACATTTAATTGGTAGAGTGAATAAAGCAGATTGTCCTCCCCAATGTGGGTGAGCCTCATCCAATCCATTGAAGGCCTGAACAAAACAAAAAGGTAGAATCACAGAGAATTTGCTCTTTTTACCTGATTATATTTGAGCTGGGACATCAATCTTCTCCTGACTTTACATGTGGACTCGAGTTGGAACTATATCATTGGCTGTCCTGGGTCTCCAGCTTGCTGGCTGCAGACTCCAGGACTCCTTAGCTTCCATAACCAGGTGAGCCATCCCTTACAACAAATCAATCTGTCTCTCTCTATGTGTATATCTCTACCTCTATCTCTCTGCTCTTTCTCTGGAGAACCTAGAATAATACACAAGGTTATATTAGAGAAGAGGATGACCCAAGGAAAAGCATGGAGGCAGAAAAGTGCAAAGAGGGTTTGGGAAGACTGGGGTCCTGATGGGGAGTTTGGATTTCTCTGTGTGTAGCATGGAGAATCCTTGAAAATATTCAAGAGGTGAAAATTGTATTTGTGGAAGAACACCAGGAGTATGTGAAAAGAAAAACACTCACTCCATTTTAACTCCACTGAAGGGGGCATCAACGGGATGCACTGGGGACATGGGTTGGAGGGTAGTTGAGGCCATATCTGGAGGATCTTTACTTCTAAGCTGAGTCTGAAGTTATCTTTCTGGGGATTGGGAAATTACAAATCTTTGAGCTCCACTCAAGAGATGGTTTTGCTAACAATGGCAGGACGACGGTGGTGGTGGTGGTGGGAAACTGGTAGCATGAATTCTAATTGGGTTTCTGTTATTCTAGCCGAGAAAATTGGGGAATGGACTTTCAGTAGAATAATACAGATCTGGGAATCAACTGCATGGAGGAGGTAGTTATAGGTGATGAGATGTCTCAGGGACAAAGTTTGGTAGAAGGAGAAAAGATACTAGGCTGCTACAAAAATAATTGCTGTTTTTGCCATTACTTTTAATGGCAAAATCCGCAATTACTTTTGCACCAACCTAATAGGATGCAAACTTCGGAGCCATCTGCATCAGAGGGATTGATGAAGATCAACAAAGTTTGGGAACACAGGAAAGGAGCGGGGAGGGTAATGACTTGAGGGCATAGCAGGGATAATCAAGGTTTTTCTTGTTAGCATGTGGAGACTTAAGCATGATTATATGTTAATCGCCTGGCACATACACGGTGCAAAATATTTATGAGTGAAATGACAAGTGAAGGTGGTGAGTCATGGGAGTTCCAAGGGAACGGGTGATAAAGGCAGGTCTCAAATGAGGCACAAGTGGAGAAGGTAGCTTGGGAAAGGAGAAGGATGCTTCTCCTTATAACATGGGAAAGGCAGAGGAAGAGGATCAAGATACAGTGATCTAGGGGTGAGATGGAAGTGAGTTGAGAGAACTCAACTCTGGGCTCTGAAACCCCTAGGGCTGGGTTTGGGGGGCTTTGAGATATGGAAGAGGTTTACAGTCAATTGTTATAGCAAATATGGTTTGGAATTTATTTGTGATGCTTAAAAATATTGCTGAACAGAAGTGAAGTCTGCCCTAGAGTTGGATGGTGAGATTATTTAGTGGAACTACCAGATCCCTGTTGTGATTCTTTCCAGTATCATTCAGCAGCCCTTGGGCAGTTGCGAGGCAAGTCGTCAATGGGGTATGGAGATTTTCCAGGTGGGTGTGGTTGAAGGAAGGGAAGAAAGAGTTTAGGAGCACATTACAAGAAGAAGGTGACTGTAAGGTCCAGGCTGAGCAGGAAGGTAAAGCAAGAAGGAAACATGAGGTTGTGAAGAGAAGTTTAGAGGGATGAGGAGGCAGGAGAGGTGAACAGTTGCAGGATGTAGCTAGAGTGGCGATGTTAGATCTTGGGGCCAGAGAGCTTTACAATGATTATGAAGATCAAAGGGCATTAGAATCAAGCTATAAAGAGCCACTGTTTGATGTTGGGATGTGAGGATGCTGCAGGTGGATGTCTGCACATTGATGGTGAGAACATGGTCACCCTGGCCCTGCTGGGTCTTTGCTAAAGAGACTGTGCTCTGTTCTTGGGGCCGTTTTCATCACCTGATTACAGCAGTGGTCCCCAAATGGTGTTCTTTGGACCATCTGTATAAAATGTTCATAGGTCAAGGATAAAATGGAAAAACAGAGAAAATGTCACAGAAATGTGCCCATTGTTGAGAGACCACCAGCTGTCCTTTTTGGAGGATTGTTCTTTATTCTAAAAATGTATATATTCTATTCTATTAAAACATTTTTGTGTTGGCATTTTTTTCTCTTTTATGAAATGCCATGGGGTAGAAATTTGTAATGTATCCAATTCTCCTGTCTTCATGTATTGCCCTGTGGTGGGGGAGGGGATGTGGCTAGTACTGGCCAAGAGGCTGGGGGCAGAGGTGCAATGTTAGACTTCTAGCCTGGAGCATTTAATTCTTAGTACAAGACTCTCTAACATTCTTCTCCCTCTGTTCCCTGCTTGGTGATACTCGAGGTATTGCAACCCCCATTAACCTTAGTCTTAGGGCAAGTTTGATGGGAAACAGAGCACCCCACACCTCCCTGCAGATGAAGCATGAGTGAGAAAAACAACTTCTGATGTTTGAAGTTACCAAGATTTGGGAGTTGTTTGTTATTGCAGCAAAACCTCACCTATTCTGACCAATCGTGGTGGAATTTCTGTGTGTGTGTGTGTGTGTGTGTGTGTGTGTGTGTGTGTGTGTGTGTGTGTAACTGGTAGTTTAAAAAAGTTCCTTCTTACCCAAAAGAAAAAAAAGATAGCAACCTTATGTTGGTTCTCAAATTAAAAAAATATTTTTACTCGTTCATAAAATAGAAAAATCTGAGAATCTGTAGCTTAGAGAACTACAGTGTGGGATGTCTATAAAGACCAGGTTATTTTATCAGCTCCTAACACCCCTTAATAGAAGCTTAGCCAAGACTTGCACTATTTCAGTCTTTCCCATTCCACATTCCATGGACTCTTGAAGAGACATTGATGAAACGGTGCAGCCATGAACCACCCTCACTCAATCCTAGTGGCAGAATCCCCCTTTTACTGCAGAATGAGCTTCTTGCTACAGTGATACTTGAACCCCTTAGATATATCCTGTACTAATTATATTAAAACACGACCAATGCTTTTGCTTTGTTGTCCCCCAAATTAAACACCTTAATCATGAGAACCCAGAGAATTGGATTTAGTGTAACTGATTCCAAACTGTCAGCAAGAACATAATTTATATTTTTCTCCAATTCAATTAAAAGAAAATTGACAATAAAAAGCTGATCAATACGTGTAGCTCAGGAGGTAGAGCCTGCTTTGAGATGCAGAAGTGTTTTTTTTTTTTTAGATCTATATTCTTGAGTAAAGAAAAAATCCATCTTTCTTTCCTAGAGGGGAAGAGTTTCAGAGCTGGGCTTGGCAACAGCCTGACTATCAGAGGCTGAATTAAACAAATAGATACCTCCCTGGAGTGAATGGTGTGTTTCTCCTGTTTGGGGAACCGTGCTTTTATGGGGCAGTTTGCGTTCTGTCTTGGTCTCCGGATGTGTGTATCTGTGGGTGGATGTCTGCATGTAAATGGAAGTGTATACCTGTGTGGGTGTGTACAAAATTCCCATGTGAATCTCAGCTTTGTGGGGATCTCCAGTTCTTGAGCCCAGTAGATGCCATTTGAAGAAAAAATCACTTGAAAATGAGACAGAAAGAATAGAAACTAAATCCTAGCTCTAAAGGCACCAGGCTGATTAAAAAAAAAAAAAAACTCAGGTTCTTCTTTGTTTTGGACTCTACCTACCTCTAAATGACATTTCTGTTTCCTATGAGATGATTAGAATGAAAAAGATCCTGAGCCCGAAAGAGCAGATACTGTGTGATAGTGTGTATATCAGGGTGTCAGCTGTGACACTGCTGACATTTTGGCTCAGCAATTTCTCTGTTCTATGTGTGGGGGTTCCCTGTGCATTTCAGGATGTTGAGCGGCATCCCTGGATCCCTGGACTCACTGGATGCAGTAACACAACTCCCCCCAAGTAGACACAACCCTCAGTGTCTCCAGATATTCCCTAATGTCCCCAGGGGGCAAAATAGCCCCATCTGAGAACTGCTGCTTTCATAAAGTACAATGTCAGGTGAAATAGGTGGAGGCTGTTTGTAGTCAGGGGTTAGTAGAGATGGAAGAGACCCCAGGAATATCCTGGAAGGGGCTGTAATATTTTGTTTCTTGAATTGGGTGTCAGTAATATGGAGATGTTCAGTTTTTTTTGTTGTTGTTGTTGATTTTGAGGCAGGATCTTGCTCTGTCACCTAGGCTGGAGCACAGTGACACCGTCATGGCTCACTGCAGCCTCTGCCTCCTGGGCTCCAGCAGTCCTCCCACCTCAGCCCTCCCTAGTAGCTGGGACTACAGGCAGGTGCCACCACTGTTGCCTAATTTTTTATTTATTTATTTTTTGTAGAGAGGAGTGTCTCACTATGCTGCCCAGGCTGGTCTCAAGCTCCTGGGCTCAAACAATCTGCTCACCTCGGCCTCCCAAAGTGCTGGGATGGCAGGCATGAGCCACTGCTTCTGGCCAGTATGTTCAGTTTGTAAGAAAAGTACTGTGTTGACCTCTTCTATGTGCACATTTCTTTAAGTAATAATTCAATAAAGCATTTAGAAAAATTGGTCATAATAGGAGTAATTTGTAGAGTGATTGGCATGAAAGCTGATCACCTTAATTTGAACTACTCTGAAATGAGCACCAGGGGCCACCAAGAGGACCCTTTCAAGGTGTCATAGCCAAGGAGAGGAGTGTGTTGTGTACATCTCTGCATAAAGGATTTGCTGATTACATGGAAGGATGAAGCCTCCTTCTGAGGACAGAGGCAGCAAAGCAAGTGGAAGCCCAAAGCATTGAGCTTTCCAAATGGACTTTGCTAAAATCTTGTGGATGGCTCATGCTCTTAACATACACCCATGTACATATTGTCCATATAAACATTAATTCTGTAACAAGGCCCACACTTAAGGGTTTTTTTTTTTTCTTTTGTGACAGTCTTGCTTTATTGCCTAGGCTAGAGTACAGTGGCATAATCGTGACTCACTGCAACCTCCGCCTCCTGGGTTCAAGCAATGCTTGTGCCTCAGCCACCTGAGTAGCTGAGACTACAGGTGCAGAACACCATGCCTGGGTAATTTTTGTATTTTTAGTAGAGACGGGGTTTCACCATGTTGGCCAGGCTGGTCTCAAACTCCTGGCCTCAAGTGATCTGCGCACCTCAGCCTCCTAAAGTGTTGGGATTACAGGTGTGAGCCACTGCACCTGGGCCCATACATAAGGTTTGAGTTGAGATAGAGAAACTCTGGCAGGACTGAGGAATTGGGCCACAGTCTCTGGGAAATATGCACAATTTCTGGAATCTTCTCTACTTCCAGAATTCCCACTTTCTGTCTCCTGTTTATTCAACAAACTTGTATGGAACCACAGTGTGTCTAGAACTTGCCAGGTGTGGAGGATAAAAAGATGACTGAGATCGGACATGGTGGCTCATGCCTGTAATCCCAGCACTTTGGGAGGCCAAAGCAGGCGCATCACTTGAGGGCAGGAGTTTGAGCACAGCCTGGCCAACATGATGAAACGTCTTTACTAAAAATACAAAAATTAGCCAGGCATGGTGGCATGCACATGTAGTCCCATATACTTGGGAAGCTGAGACAGGAGAATCGCTTGAACCCAGGAGGCAGATGTTTCAGTGAGCTGAGATCACACCGCTGCATTCCAGCCTGGGAGACAGAGCAAGATTCCATGTCAAAAAAAAAGATGACTGAAATACAGACTCCCTCAGAGTTGACTCTAACACAAACTAGGTAAGAGCCCAAGGTCTGGCTGGGCAGACACCTTGATCGGCCTCATCCTGCAGCGTCTACTAGAATGAAGAATACTTTTTTCTTTACCCATGAAAATGTTTTGTGCTTCATACCCACAAGTGCAATTTGTGTTAATTCTGCAAAATTTGCCTCATAACTCTGCCTGTATTCTTAGCATTTTTCCTTTGAGAGATTTCTCAGCACATCATCTTTGGACTATGTGGAATTGGAAATTTACTTAGAGTCAACAACAAGTACAGGAAAGTCAGTTCTTAGTCAAGAGTTAGGTTTTCAAAGACAGTGGATAAAATAAAAAATTAACATTTGATGTACAGTTAAGATTATACGTGCAAATCCCCTCATCATTCATAAAGTTTAGCAGTCAGTCTTACCGTGGCTCACCAGGTCCAATCCATACTTCTTCCTCCACGATTGGAGCAGAGGGTGATTTTTTTTCTGAGCAACTGATGAAGTCATTTAGAGACCATTTGCAGTAGAAACCATGTGTACTAGAGACCAATCAATGTGCTCTCATGGCAGCATTTCTGCCTCTCTCCGTCTTTGTTCTTGCCAAGTACCCACAGTTCATTTTCCATAGATTGAAAGAGCCCAAGTTGGGCCTATATCTAGGAGTACAATTGCTAGGTCATTTGGTAACTCTATGTAGAATTGTTTGGGAAGTTGTTAAACTGTTTCTCACAGTGGCTACACCATTTTAATTCCTACCAGCTGTGTATGAAGGTTCTAGTTTCTCTGCATCCTCACCAAAACTTGTTATTTTCTGGTTTTTTTTTTTTTTTTTTTTTTTTTTTTTTGAGACAAAGTCTTGCTCTGTCGCCCAGGCTGGAGTGCAGTGGCACAATCTCAGCTCACTGCAACCTCTGCCTCCAGATTCAAGTTACTCTCCTGCCTCAGCCTCCCGAGTAGCTGGGATTATAGGAACCTGCCACCATGCCTGGCTAATTTTTGTATTTTTTTAGTACAGACAGGGTTTCACCATGTTGGCCAGGCTGGTCTCACACTCTTGGCCTCAGGTGATCCACCTGCCTCGGTCTCCCAAAGTGCTGGGATTACAGGCATGAGCCACCGCACCAGGCCAATTTTCTCTATCTTCGATTCTAGCCATGCTTATGGGTATGAAGTGGTATCTAATTGTGGTTTTGATTTCTGTTTCCCTGATGATGAATTTCATTGAGCATCTTTTCATGTGCTTATTGACCACTTGTATGTCTTCCTTGGAGATGCGCAGTATTTTCATATTCAAAAATGAAAGCACAGGTCCACACAAAATTTTGTACATGAATAATTACAGTAGCATCACTCCTAATAACCCAAAGAGAGAATTAATCCAAATGCCCATCACCAGATGAAGAGATACACCTATTGTTGTCTACCCACATGGTGGAATATTATTTGATCACAAAAAGGAGGATAGTACATACGCTACAGCGTGGATGAACCTTCAAAACAGATGAAAGATCACATTCTACATGATTTCATTCAGATGGAAATCTACAGAAATAGGAAGTCGATTAGTGGTTGCTTAGGGGTGGTAGGGGCATGGGAGGATGGGGCTGTTAGCTAAAGGGTATGAGGTTTCTTTTTGAGGTCATGAAATGTTCTAAAATTGACTGGTAATGTTTGTGTATATCTCTGAATATATTGAAAACCATTGAAATGTAAAAAATGCAAAGAAAAAACAGCCCAAGTTGCAATTTTATTCAACGCTTGATTGGCTTTAAAAATAGATTCCAGGCTGGGCATGGTGGCTCACACCTGAAATCCCAGTGCTTTGGGAGGCTGTGGTGGGAGGATTGCTTGAAGCCAGGAGTTCCAGGCCAGCCTTGGCAACATGGCAAGACCCTGTCTGTACAAAAAAAGAAAAAATAAATAACAGCTGGGTGCAGTGGTCCACACTTGTAATCCCAGCACTTTGGGAGGCAGAGGCGGGCAGATCACCTGACATCAGGAGTTCAAGAGCAGCTTGGCCAACATCCTGAAATCCCGTCTCTACCAAAAATATAAAATTTAGCCTTTTGGTACTCCAAGCAGCACCATGGCGGTTGTTAAGAACAAGTGCCTTATGAAAGGTGGCAAAAAGGGAGTTAAGAAGAAAGTAGTTGGTCCATTCTCTAAGAAAGATCAGTATGATGTGAAAGCACCTGCTATGTTCAATATAAGAAATACTGGAAAGACTTGGTCGCCAGGACCCAAGGAACCCAAATTGCATCTGATGGTCTCAAGGGTCTTCTGTTTGAAGTGAGTCTTGCTGATTTGCAGAATGATGAAGTTGCATTTAGAAAATTCAAGCTGATTACTGAAGATGTTCAGGACAAAAACTGCCTGACTAATTTCTATGGCATGGGTCTTACCTGTGACAAAATATGTTCCATGGTTGAAAAATGTTCAACGATGGTTGAAGCTCATGTTGATGTCAGGACTACCGATGGTTACTTCTTTCATCTGTTTTGTGTTGGTTTTACTAAAAAACACAACAATCAGATACTGAAGACCTCTTATGCTTAGCACCAACAGTCTGCCAAATCCAGAAGAAGATGATGGAAATCATGACCTGAGAGGTGCAGACAAATGACTTGAAAGAAGTGGTCAATAAATTGATTCCAGACAACATTGGAAAAGATACAGAAAAGGTTTGCCAATTTATCCTCTCCATGATGTCTTCATTAGAAAAGTAAAAATGCTGGAGAACCCTGGGTTTGAAAGGCATGGAGCTTCGTGGTGGAGGTAGTAGTTCTGGAAAACCCACTAGGGACGAGACACATGCTAAAGTTGAATGAGCTGATGGATAGGAACCACCAGTCCAAGAATCTGTTTAAAGTTCAGACTTAAAACAGTACCAAATAAAAAGTCCTATTTGTGAAAAACAAACAAGAAACAACAATGAAAGAGCAAAATTACGCTGATGTGGTGGTGTATGCCTGTAATCCTAGCTACTCAGGAGGCTGAGGCATGAGAATCACTTGAACCCGGGAGACAGAGGTTGCAGTGAGCCAAGATTGCACCATTGCACTCCAGCCTGGGCAACAGAGTGAGACTCTCTCCAAAAGGAAGAAAAAAAAAAAAAGTATCCGGGCTTGGTGGCATGCGCCTGTAGTCTCAGCTACTCTGAAGGCTGAGACGGGAGGATGGATTGAGACCAGGGGTAATTTGAAGCTGCAGTGAACTACGATTGTGACAGTGCACTCCAGCCTGGACTGCAGAGCAGGACCCTGTCTCTTGTACATACACACACACACACACACACACACACACACACACATACATACATACCCAGGTTCTACCTCTGGTGATTCTGACTCAGTAGGGTGGGGTATCCCCTAGGGATCCTGCTGTCCAGCCTGGTCTGGGATCCACTTTTCATTGGGAACTGAGACACTGGCTGTGAGCCTTTCTGTCCTGAGATGTAGAGGTCATGGCGATGCAGGTTCAAGCTTAAGGAGACCTGACTGTGCGTTAGGTATTGTGCTGAACATCATCTCTTACTCTCACAGCAACATCCTTAGAAGGTTAATGATGTATCCGTGCTCTACAGATGAGGAACTGAGCTTTCAGAGGAGATTAGCTTGTTTAAAACTATTCTTCCTATTGGAAACTTTGTACCCTTTGACCAGTGTCTCCTATCCCCTCCCTTTCCTTCACCCCAGCCCCTGATAACCACTGTCCTACTCTCTATTTCTGTGAGTTCAACTTCTTTAGATTCCACATACAATAAAATCATGCAGTATCTGTCTTTCTGTGCCTGGCTTATTTCACTTAACACAATGTCTTTCAAGTTCATCTATGTTGTTGAAAATGACAGGATTTCTTTCTTTTTTAAGGGTTAATAGTATTCCTTTGTGTGTATATAGTACATTTGCTTTATCCTTTCATCCACTCATGGACACTTAGGTTGATTCTATATCTTGGGTATTGTGAATAGAGCTGCAGTGAACATAGGAATTTAGGGATCCCTTCGACATATTGATTTTGATTTTTTTTTGGTCTATATCCAGAAGTTGGGTTGCTGGATTATATGTTTTGAAATCTATAGCACAGCAGCGTGACTATAGTCAATAATAATGTATCTTTCAAAATAACTAAGTGGGTACATTTCAAATGTCGCATCATGAAAATTGTCAGTAAATTAGGGGATGGACGTGTTCATTAGTTTGATCTAATCATCCCACATTGTATACATATATCAAAACATCACATACATGGGTACAATTATGATTTGTCAATTAAAATAACGTTAGTTAAAAAAAATAAGTAACTTCTTCAAAGCCCCAGTTGGGATTGATGGAGCTTGGACATGCACCAAGGCTGTTGCTCTGATGCCCACAGAGTCCTTTGTCGACGAATGTTGAAGCCCTACCTGAGATTTCTACTGAGATCAGTGTAGGGATTCAATGTCTCAGAATCATCCCATCCTCCAGGGCCCACAAGTCCATGACAGCTGCCTCTACCCCTGACCCTACTGACCTGAAATGTGGCCCCTGCTTTCATTTCCAGGAGCATACAACACTTACACCAAGCATTGATGGGTTTTGTTGACTTCATTTGAGATGTGGGGCCGTGGAGAGGGTCCCATGATCCTTGCTTGGTGTTGGCCAACTCATTGACTTCTCTCCTTTGACTTCACCCTTCCCTTTTCAACTCACCTCCTCTGTCATGGATTGCTCTGGGAATTCTGAGCCCTGGTTCCTTTATTTTGCAGATAACCTTCACTCTTCTCTGCAACGAATCCCAAAAGTGTGTAGTTGAGCTGACTGCAAGGTGCTTGACACGCAAGAGAATTTACAAATGGGATTCGGCCTCTGGAAAGTGGTGGTAGTTCCAGATTTATGTGGATGTTACTTTGTTTTTCCCTATAAGATCTATTCTTTAAACTATCAAGCTCTTGGCTCCTGGCTGCAGTCGTTTGCTGGTGGCAGTGGGCTGGGTACTGCCACCGGGGAGAAATGCTGTCCACTTAGAGAAAGGGAAACTGGTTCTCTTTAAGAGGCAGAGGGAGGTTTCCAGTGCCAGTTTGTTTGGAGGCAAAATGGCTGTTGTAGTAAAATTGCCCAAACTTGGGCTGGTGCCTTGTGTGTTTAGAGCTCAAAGCCACGATTGTTTTCTTTTTGTTTTTTTTTTTTTGGTGGTTGGTTTTCCATCCTTTTGCTTGGCAGGTTTCTGCTGATAGCTTCAACCTCAAGAGTCCCATTATACAGACACTAATAGCACCTCCTATGTGTCAGTCTGTAGTGCCTACTATGTGCCAGGCATTGGAGATAATATAATGATGAACAAGATAAACATGACATTTGGAAAAGAGAGTCTACTTCCCACTCTCAGCCCACCCCAAAGAGAGGCCAGAATTGGGCTTCCAAAGATCTCAGATGCCCTTGCATCACCTCCCTGAAGAGGGCGGGTGAAGCTTTGGTGTCTGCAGAGAATTTGTCTGGACAATCCCCCAGGTTTGGAAGAATGGGAAGGAGCTGCCATCTGTGTTTAAGGTGAGAATTGGGGGAGTGGCTGGATATCAGCAGAAGCCAAGATGAAGAGAAGGTTTTTGTGAGTTCCTATGCATAGTGGAGACCTGTTCTAGTGAGGGTCCCTGGGGCTGAGCCTGTGGGTCAGTGGAATGATGCTGTGAGGAGGGTCTTGTTATAGCAGGTGGCCCAAAGAAGGTTGATGGATCATGAGCAGCTGGAAGAATGGAGAGTTCGGGGGATGTAGTTCCTACCTGGCTTTCCAACAGTGTGTAAGCCCAGAATTCTTACATAAGCCCATGGAGAAGGGAAAGGAATACTGGTAACGACAAGATTGAATTCTCCACCTGCCAGGCATCCAGAGACTCAGAGCAGATTTAAGTGAAGTTACAGAAATAGGAATGTGACATTTCCTACATCCGGGTGTGCTGGAGCAAATATATTCCTTCTCTGGTTTGTGGGGAAGGAGAATGCTAACAGACAAGACTCCAGGATTTTGCTCTTAAACCTGGTGCCTACAGATGCATTTTCTACTGGATGCAGACAGAAGCTCCATATAGACATATCCATCGCTGCATCTCTCATGCCTTCTGTTCTCCCTAATTTTCCCTTTTTCACCCACAGAGGAAGAAAGTTCCAGCATCACTTCTGGCCTCTCAAGAGTGAGTTAGGTGGCCAGGTGGGGTTATTCATGCCTGTAATCTCATACTGAAGGGGTGGCCTGCCCCTCCACACCTGTGGGTATTTCTTGTCGGGTGGGATGAGAGACAGAAAAGAAATCAGACACAGAGACAAAGTATAGAGAAACAACAGCGGGCCCAGGGGACCGGCGCTTAGCATGCTAAGGACCTGCACTGGCACAGGTCTCTGAATTCCCTCAGTTTTTATTGATTATTATCTTCATTATTTCAGCAAAAAGGAATGTAGTAGGAGGGCAGGGTGATAATAAGGAGAAGGTCAGCAACAAACGTGAGCAATAGAATCCATGTCATAATGAAGTTCAAGGGAAGGTACTATGACTGGACGTGCATGTAAGCCAGATTTATGTTTCTCTCCACCCAGACATCTCAGTGGAGTAAAGGATAACAAGGCAGCATTGCTGTAAACATGTCTCGCCTCCCACCATAGGGCGGTTTTTCTCCCATCTCAGAACTGAACAAATGTACAATCGTGTTTTATACCGAGACATTCAGTTCCCAGGGGCAGTCAGGAGACAGTGGCCTTCCTCTATCTCAACTGCAAGTCTTTCCTCTTTGACTAATCCACCTCAGCACAGATCTTTTATGGGTGTCGCGCTGGGGGACCGTCAGGTCTTTCTCATCCCACGAGGCCATATTTCAGACTATCACATGGGGAGGAACTTTGGACAATACCCAGCTTTCAAGGGCAGAGGTCCCTGCGGCTTTCCACAGTGCATTGTGCCCCTGGTTTATTGAGATGAGAGAATGGTGATGACTTTTACCAAGTATACTGCTTGCAAACATTTGGTTAACAAGGCACGTCCTGCACAGCCCTACATGCCTTAAACCTTGATTTCATACAACACATGTTTTTATGAGCTCCAGATTGGGTCAAAGTGGTTGGGGCAAAGTGGCTGGGGCAAAGCTACAGATTAACAACATCTCAGCAAAGCAATTGTTTAAAGTACAGGTCTTTTTCAAAATGGAGTCTCTTATGTCTTCCCTTTCTATGTAGACACAGTAACAGTCTGATCTCTCTTTCTTTTCCCTACATATCCCCATTTTCGTTTTGACAAAACCACCTCCATCATCATGGCCCCTTCTCGCTGGTCGCTGTCTCTCTGGAGCTGCTGGATACACCTGTAGACTAAAAATAGAAAGGACAGACATACAAGGATTAATAAAAAATTTGCAATAGTGGAATTTCCGGTGGTTTGAACCCAAGTGACGGGGCAAGAGGACGGTGTGGGTGCTGCGGCACCAAGGCAGTCTCCCACCTCCTTTGTGTCTTAGTTGCTGTTTCTCATAGTTTTCAGTCTTTCTCCTCACCTGCTCACTCGCACCTTTTATCTCTTTGTCTCCCTTCTTTTACGGTCTCTCTCTCTCTCTCTCTTTTACACTGTCTCTCTCCCCAGTCTCACTTTCTGTGTCTCTCTCTGATCTCTGTCTCTTTTTCTTTCTCTTCCTCTCCCTGGCTCCCAACATGTGCCGTTTCCTTGGTGGATTGTAACTTCATCTGTTCTTCTGATATCACCATTTTGTTCACCCTGCGAGTCGATGATGCTCGACTGCGGGTTTTCTGTCTCTGCAGAGGCACTTTCATTTGCATCTTGATAGGTTCATTGTAGAACTTCAAATGTCTAGTGGGTATCCAAACAGGAAGCTGATTTTCTCCGGGTGAAACACAAGCACAACCTCTCCCCCATATTATCACCTTACCTATTTCCCATATTTTGTTTTTGTTGTCTTTCCACCAAATCAGTTTTCCCTCACGTGGCCTATTATTTTTACTAGTAAAATGTTCTGCAGAAGTAGTGGTCTGATTTCTATGTATGTCTAGAAAATCTAAAGTATAGAGTGTTAGATTAAGTTGCATCTGGGGAGTGCTATACTCCTTATTGTATTTTTCCTTTTTTTGTTTAACCAATTGAGCTTTGAGTGTTCTAAGCAGGACAGGTAAGATCTGCGTCTGGCACAGTCAGCCAGGTCTCCTTACCCTGTGCTTCCCTTTCTGCCTGTGACTGAATGGGCATGTCAGGGTCTAGTAGGGGATCCAGGAGGAGGAAGCCTCATTAACTTCTATTCTGCAGCAATTGATAGACACCCAACTTGAACAGTGGGGGCTTATCGCCTCATATACTAAGACCAGAGATAGCTGATGCCAAGGTTGGCTAAATTAGTAGCTTGAGATGTTAGATTTTTCATTTGAGGTTTCTATGCTGCTGTTGTCTTCCGCTCTTGGTCACAGAGGCTGCCACAATCCGCATGTCAAGTCCTCATGTGACAATATCCAGACACAGCAAGGAAGAGGTAGAGTGTATTCCTGCATGTTTCTTAAAAAAAAATGTTTTTGATAGAGAATAATTGTACACATTTATGGGGTCCATGTGAGATTCTGGTACATGCATGTAATGTGTAATGATCAAGTCAGGGTCTTTAGGATATTAATCACCTCAAACGTTGATCATTTCTTTGTGTTGGGAATATTTCAAATCTTATTGCTATTTAGAAATACACAATAAATCTATTTATCAGGATACAAAATCTATGTACACATATCAGTAGCAGTGCTATACACCAACATCTACCAGGCTGAGAATCAAATCAAACCCTTTTATAATAGCTGTAAAAATAAAATACTTAGGAATATACCTAACCAAGGAGGTGAAAGACCCCTACAAGGAAAACTACAAAACAATGTTGAAAGAAATCATAGATGACACAAACAAATGGAAACACATTCCATGCTCATGGATGGGTAGACTCAATATTGTGAAAATGACCATACTGCCAAAAGCAGTCTCCAAATTCAATGAGTTCCTATCAATGTACCATCATCATTCTTTATAGAACTAGAAAAAAAAAATGCCAAAATTCATTTGGAACTAAAAAAGAGTCTGCAAAGCCAAAGCAAAACTAAGCAAAAAGAACCAATCTAGAGGCATCACATTACCCAACTTCAAACTATATTACAAAGCTATAGTCACCAAAACAGCATAGTGCTGGTATAAAAATAGGCACATGACCAATGGGACAGAGTAGAGAACCTAGAAATAAAGCCAAATGCTTAACAGCCAACTGATCTTTGACAAAGTAAACAAAAACAAAGTAAGAAAAGTACACCCTATACAACAAATAGTGCTGGGATAATTGGCAAGCCACATGTAGAAGAATAAAACTGGATCCTTATCTCTCACCTTATACAAAAATCAACACAAGATGGATCAAAGACTTAAATCTAAGGTCTGAAACCATAAAAATTCTAGAAGATAACATTGGAAAATGCTTCTACACATTGGCTTAGGCAAAGAGTTTATGACCAAGAACCCAAAAGCAAATACAACAGAAACAAAGATAAATAGATGGGACTTAATTAAACTAAAAGCCTCCTGCACAGCATAGGAAATAATCAGCAGAGTAAACAGATCACCCACAGAGTGGGAGAAAATTTTCACAAACTGCATTTGACAAAGAACTAATGTCAGAATCTACAGGGAACTCTAATCAGCAAGAAAAAAATAATCTCATCAAAAAATGTGCCAAGGACATGAATAGACAATTCTCAAAAGAAGATATACAAATGGCCAACAAACATATGAAAAAATGCTCAACATCACTAATTACCAGGGAAATGCAAATCAAAACCACAATGCAATACCACGTGTAAAATAAACAAAAAGAGGGCCGGGCGCGGTGGCTCACGCCTGTAATCCTAGCACTTTGGGAGGCCAAGGTGGGCGGATCACGAGGTCAGGAGTTTGAGACCAGCCTGACCAACATGGTGAAACCCAGTCTCTACTGAAAATATAAAAATTAGCCGGGCATGGTGGCAGTTGCCTGTAATCCCAGCTACTCAGGAGGCTGAGGCAGGAGAATTGCTTGAACCCGGGAGGCAGAGGTTGCAGTGAGCTGATATGGCACCATTGTACTCCAGCCTGGGCGACAGAGCGAGACTCCATCTCAAAAAAACAAAAAACAAAAGACAAAACAAAACAAAAAAAACAAAAATTGATGTTGGCATGGATGTGGTGAAAGACAACGCTTTTACACTGATGGTGGGAATGTAAGCTAGTACCAGCACTATGGAAAACAGTATGAAGATTCCTTAAAGAACTAGAAGTACATCTACCATTTGATCCAGTAATCCCACTGTTAGGTATCTACCCAGAGGAAAAGAAGTCATTATATGAAAAAGATACTTTTGCACACATGTTTACAGCAGCAGAATTCACAGTTGCAAAACTACAGAACCAGCCCAAATGCCCATCAATCAATTTGTGGATAAAGAAAATGTGTTATATATATATATGTATACCATAGAACACTACTTAACCTTAAAAAGGAATAAAATAATGGCATTCATAACAACCTGGATGGAGTTGGAGACCATTATTTCAAATGAAGTAACTCAGGAATGGAAAACCAAACATTGCATGTTCTCACTCGTGGGAGAACATGGGAGCTAAGCTATGATGATGCGAAGGCACAAGAATGAAACAGTGGACTTTGGGGGCTCAGGGGGAAGGTGGGAGGGGGTGAGAGATAAAAGACTATACATTGGGTAAACTGCTTTGCTGATGGGTATGCCAAAATTTCAGAGATCACCCCTAAGGGACGTATCCATGTAACAAAATACCACCTGTTCCCTAAAAACTATTGAAATTAAAAAAAAGAAATATACAATAAATTATTGTAGTCACTTTCTGTGATAATAAACACTAGATCTCATTCCTTCTATTATATATTTTTATACCCATTAATCAACCTCTTTTCAAACCTCTCCTATTCCTAGCCTCTGGTAACTATCATTCTACTCTTTATCTCCATGATATCAATTTTATATAGCTCCAGGGCACACAAGTCCATAACTGTGGTCTCTATCCGTGACCCTACTGACCTGAAATATGGCCCCGCTTTGATTTCCAGGAGCATAAGCTGCTCATATAAGTGAGAACATGCAATAGTTTTCTTTCTGTGCATGGCCTAGTTCACCTGACGTTATGACCTTTAATTCCACCCAATTAGCTGAAAATGACAGGATTTCATTTTTTATGGCTAAATACTATTCCATTGTGTGTATATTCCCATTTTCTTTATCCATTCATCCATTGATTGACATTTAGATTGATTCCATATCTTGGCTATTGCAAATAGTGCTGCAGTAAATATGGGGGTATGGGTATCCCGTTGATACACTGATATCTTTTTTTGGATATATACCCATGAGTGGGATTGCTGGATCATATGGTAGATTTGTTCTTAGTTTTTTGAGAAATCTCTGTACTTTTTTTCATAATGGCTGTACCAATTTACATTCCCACCAACAATATACAATAATTTCCTTTTCTTCACATGCTTGCCAGCATTTGTTGTGCTTTGTCTTTTTAATACCCATTCTAACAAGTGTGAGATGATATCTCATTGTGGTTTTGATTTGCATTTCCGTGATGATTAGTGATGTTGAATATTTTTTCATAAACTTGGTGATTTGTATATTTTCTTTTGAGAAATGTCTGTTTATTTTTTGATAGTTTCTTTTGCTGTGTAGAAGCTCTTTCATTTAATTAGATCCCATTTGCCAATTTTTGCTTTTGTGGCAATTGCGTTTGGCATCTTCACCATGAACTCTTTGCCCATCACTATGTACCAGATGGTATTGCCTAGGTTGTCTTCAGCGTTTTTATAGTTATGAGTTTTACATTTAAGTCTGCAGGCCATCTTGAGTTAATTTTTGTGTGTGGTGTAAGGGAGGGGTGTTGTCTTTTCACTCTGTTGATTGTTTTAATTGATATACAGAAGGAATTTAATTTAATATAATCCCATTTGTCTATTTTTGTTGCTTGTACTTTTTAAGCGTTAGCCATACAATCTTTGTTCTCAAGCGTTTCTCCTGTGTTTATTTCTAGTAGTTTTATAGTTGTGGCTGTTACATTTAAGTCTTTAACTGATTTTGAGTTTATTTTTCTAAGTGATGAGAGATAAGGGTCTAGTTTTATTCTTCTGTGTTTGGATATCTAGTTTTGCTGGCACCATTTAATGAAGAGGGTGTCATTTATTCAATGCATGTTCTTGACAGCTTTCTTGAAAATCAGTTAGCTGTAAATATGTGGATTCATTTCTGGATTCTTTAGTCTGTTTCCTTTGTTTTTGTGTCTGTTTTAATACCAGTACACGCTGTTTTGGTTACTATAGCTTTGTAATACATATATATATGTATATCTATATACACACACACATATATACTTATATATATACACGTATATATACATATATACGTGTATATATATACATATATACGTGTATATATACGTATATATACATATATACGTGTATATATATACGTGTATATATATACACATATATACGTGTATATATACGTGTATATATATACATATATACGTGTATATATATACGTGTATATATATACATATATACGTGTATATATATACATATATACGTGTATATATATACATATATACGTGTATATATACGTGTATATATATACATATATACGTGTATATATACGTGTATATATATACATATATAACGTGTATATATACGTGTATATATATACATATATACGTGTATATATACATATATACGTGTATATATACGTGTATATATATACATATATACGTGTATATATACGTGTATATATATACATATATACGTGTATATATATACATATATACGTGTATATATACGTGTATATATATACGTGTATATATGTACATATATATGTGTATATATGTACACATATACGTGTATATGTACACATACGTGTATATATGTACACATATACGTGTATATGTACACATATACGTGTATATATATACACATATACGTGTATATATACACGTATACGTGTATATATACACATATACGTGTATATATACATATAAATATATACATATATACGTACACACATATACATATATACGTATATATATGCGTATATACACACATATACATATATACGTATATATATGCGTATATACGTATATATACATACATACGTACATATATACATATATACATACATATATACGTACATACATATATACGTATATACACACACATATACGTATATATATACATATATATACAAATATATTTATACACACACACACACATATATATATATATATATATATATATATATTTTTTTTTTTTTTTCTTTTTGAGATGGAGTCTTGCTCTGTCGCCCAGGCTGGAGTGCAGTGGTGTGATCTCTGCTCACTGCAAGCTCTTCCTCCCGGGTTCATGCCATTCTCCTGCCTCAGCCTCCCGAGTAGCTGCTGGGACTACAGATGCCCGCCACCACGCCTGGCTAATTTTTTTTTTATTATTATTAGAGACGGGGTTTCACCATGTTAGCCAGGATGGTCTCGATCTCCTGACCTTGTGATCCACCCGCCTTGGCCTCTCAAAGTGCTGGGATATAGGCTTGAGCCACCTCGCCCGGCCTCTTTGCAGTATATTTTTAAATCAGGTAGTGTGAGGCTTCTAGCTTTGTTCTTTTTGCTCAGTATTGCTCTGGCTATTTGGGGTCTTCTGTGGTTCCATATGAATTTCAGGGTTTTTTTTTTTCCTGTTTCTGTGAAGAATATAATTGATAGGGATTGTACTGAATCTCTAGATTGCTTCGGGTAGTATGGTCATTTTAACAGTATTAGTTACTCCAACCCACGAGCATAAGATGCCTTTCCATTTGTTTGTGTCCTTCTCAGTTTATTTTATCAGTGTTTTGTGGTTTTCATTGTAGAGGTTTTTTGGGTTTTTTTTTTCCTCATCCTTGGTTAAGTTTATTCCTAGGTATTTTATTTTTGTAGCTATTGTAAATAGAATTTCTTCCTTGATTTCTATTTTAGCTAGTTTGTTACTGGTATATAGAAACATTACTGATTTTTGTATGTTGATTTTGTGTCCTGAAGCTTTACTGAATTATACATCCTTTTTTAAAAATGTTTTTTATTTTTTATTTTTTATTTTGTGAGAGAGTCTCACTCTGTTTTCCAGGCTGGAGTGCAGTGGTGCAATCTTGGCTCACTGCAACCTCCACTTCTCGGTTTCAAGCGATTCTCCTGCTTCAGCCTCCCAAGTAGCTGGGATTACAGGCACCTACCACCATGCCTGGCTAATTGTATTTTTCGTAGAGACAGGGTTTCACCATGTTGGCCAGGCTGGTCTCAAACCCCCAACCTCAGGTGATCCATCCACCTTGGTCTCCCAAAGTGCTGGGATTACAGGCATGAGCTACCATGCCCAGCCTAATTTATTTTAAGAGTTTTTTGGTAGAGTCTTTAGGTTTTTCTGTTTACAGGTATACGATTATGTCATTTGCAAAGTGAGACAATTGGACTTCCTTTTGTCCATTTGGATGCCTTTTTTTTCTTTATCTTGTCTGATCACTCTGGCTTGGATGTCCCATACTGTGTTGAATAAGAGTGGTGAAAGTGGGCATCCTTCTCTTGTTCCAGTTCTTAGAGGAAAGGCTTTTCAATTTTTCCCAGTGAGTAGGATGTTAGCTGTAGATTTGTCATATATGCCTTTTCTTAGGTTGAAGTGTTCCTTCTATGCTTAATTTGTTGAGAGTTTTCATCATGAAGGAATGGTAAGTTTTACTGAGTGATTTTTCTGCATCTGCTGAGATGATCAGATAGTTTTTGCCTTTCATCTTGTCAATGTGATGTATCACATGTATTGATTTGTGTATGTTGAGCCACCTTTGCATTCCTGGGATAAATCCCACTTGATCATGGTATATTATCTTTTTCATTCATCATTAGATTTGGCTTGGTAGTATTATGCTGAGAATTTTACCATCTGTGTTCATTAGGAATATTGGCCTGTAGTTTTCTCCTTTTGTTGTGTCCTTGTCTTGATTGGATATCAGGGTAATGCTGGCCTTATACAATGAGTTAGGAAGAATTCCTTCCTCTTCAATTTTTGGGAATAGTTTGAGAAGAATTGGTGTTTGTTTTTCTTTATAAATTGGGTAGAAATCAGCATAAAAGCCTAGTCTAGGGCTTTTCTCCTTTGGGAGACATTTTGTTACTGATTCAAACCTGCTATTCATTTTGGGTCAGTTCACGTTTTCTGTTTCTTCCTAGTTCAACCTTGGTAGGCTGTGTATGTCTGGGAATTTATCCCTTTCCTCTAGGTTTTCCAATTTGTTAGCATATGATTGTTCATAATAGCCTCTAATTATCCTTTTTATTTCTTTGGTAACACTTGTAATGTCTCCTTTTTCATTTCTGATTGTATTTATTTTGGTCTCTTTTTTTTTTTTTTGGTTAGCCTCACTAGTGGTTTATCAATTTTGTTTAACTTTTCAAAAAACCAACTTTTATCTTGTTGATTCTTTGCATTTTTTTTTGTCTCTGTTGCATTTGGTTCTGCTATGTTATTTATATTTTTTCTTTCTACTAATTGTGTGTTTGATTTGTTCTTGCTTTTTGAGTTCCTTGAGGTGCATCATTAGGTTGTTTATTTGAAATCTTTCTACTTTTTTAGTGTAGGCATTTATTGCTATAAACTTTCCTCCTAGTACTGCTTTTGCTGTATCCCATAGGTTTTGCATGATGTGTTTCCATTTTCTGTTTAAAAAATTTTTTTGATGTCCATCTTAATTTCTTCATTGACCCAATGATTATTCAATAGCATGTTTAATGTCCATATATTTGTACAGTTTCCAAATTTCTTCTTCTTATTGATTTCAAGTTTTATTCCTTTGTGGTCTGAGAAGATACTTGATATGATTTTAATTTTTAAAATTTTATTGAGCCTTGTTCTGTGTCCTAACATATGGTCTATCCTGGAGAATATTCCATGTGTTGATGAGATGATTGTATATTCTGCTGCTGCTGGATGAACTATTCTGAAAATATCTGTTAGGTCCATTTGGTCCAAAGTGCAGCTTAAATCTAATGTTTCTTTGTTGATTTTATGTCTAGATGAACTGTCCAATGCTGAGAGTAGGATATTGAAGTTCTCAACTATCATTTTATTGGACTCTATCTCTCCATGTAGATTTAATAATATTTGCTATATGTCTCTGGATGCGCTTGTGTTGGTTGCATGCATATTTGGAATTGTTATACTTTGTTGCTGAATTGATCCCTTTATTACCATATAATGATCTTGTTTGTCCTTTTTACAGTTTTTGACTTAAAGTCTGTTTTATCTGATGTAAGTTTAGCTACTCCTGATTATTTTTGATTTCTGTTTGTGTGGTATATCTTTTTCCATCCCTTCACTTTCAGTCTGTGTGTGTCTTTACAAGGGAAGTGATGTTGGGTCACTTTTTATCCATTAAGCCTGACTGTATCTTTTAGGTAGGTAATTTAACCCATATTCGAAGTTATTATTGATAGGCGAGGATTTATTCCTGTCATTTTGTTCATTGTTTTCTGGTTATTTTGTATATCCTTTTGATATGGTTTGGCTGTGTCCCCACTCAGATCTCATCTTGAATTCCCATGTGTTGTGGGAGGGACCCAATGGGAAGTAGTTGAATCATGGAGGCAGGTATTTCCCATGCTATTCTTTTAATAGTGAATAAGTCTCATGAGATCTGATGGTTTTAAAAGGAGGAGTTTCCCTGCTCAAGCTCTCTCTTTGCCTGCTGCCATCCCTGTAAGATGTGACTTGCCTCTCCTTGACTTCCGCAATGATTTTGAAGCCTCCCCAGCAATGTAGAACTGTAAGTCCATTAAGCCTCTTTCTTTTGTAAATTTCCCAGTCTTGAATGTGTCTTTATCAGCTGTGTGAAAATGGACTAATACAGTAAATTAGTACCAGAAGTGGGGTGTTGCTAAAAGATACCTGAATATGTGGAAGTGACTTTGGAACTGGGAAACAGGCAGAGGTTGGAACAGTTTGGAGGGCTCAGAAGGAGACAGGAAAATGTGGGAAAATTTGGAAGAGATTTCCTAGAGACTTGCCCAAAATGCTGATTGTTATATGGACAATAAAGTCTAGGCTTAGGTTGTCTCAGATGGAAATGAGGAACTTGTTAGGAACTGGCACAATGGTGACTCCTGTTATGTTTTAGCAAAGAGACTGGTGGCTTTTTGCCCCTGCTGTAGAGATTTGTGGAATTTTGAACTTGAGAGATTTAGGGTAACTGATAGGGTATTTGAACTTGAGATTTAGGGTATCTGATAGAAGAAATTTCTAAGCAGCAAAGCATTCAAGAGATGACTTGGGTGCTGTTAAAGGCCTTCAGTTTTATGAGGGAAGCAGAGCATGAAAGTTTGGAAAATCTGCAGCCTGACAATGCAATAGAAAAGAAAATCCCATTTTCTCAAGAAAAATTCGATCTGGCTGCAGAAGTTTGTTTAAGTAACGAGGAGTCAAATGTGAATCCCCAAGACAATGGGGAAAATGTCTCCAGGGCATGTCACAGGTCTTCATGGCAGCCCCTCCCATCAAAGGTCCAGAGGCCTAGGAAGAAAAGATGGTTTTGTGGGCTAGACCCAGGGACCCCTGTTGTGAGCAGCCTAGGGTGCCTGAGTCCTAGCCACTCCAGCTGCAGCTAAAAGGAGCCAAGGTACAACTTGGGCTGTGGCTTCAGAGGGTGCAAGCCCCAAGCCTTAGCAGCTTCCACATAGTGTTGAGCCTGTGGGTGCACAGAAGTCAAAAATTGAGGTTTGGGAACTGCTGCCTAGATTTCAGAAGGTGTATGGAAATTCCTAGATACCCAGGCAGGAGTTTGCTGCAGGGGCAGGGCACTCATGGAGAAACTCTACTAGGGCAGTGCAGAAGGGAAATGTGGGGTCGGAGCCCCCACATAGAGTCCCTACTGCAGCGCCACCTAGTGGAGCTTTGAGAAGAGGGCCACCATCCTCCAGACCCCAGAATGGTGGATTCACTGACAGCTTGCACTGTGTGCCTGGAAAAGCTGCAGACACTCAATGCCAACCCGTGAAAGGAGCCAGGAGGGGGGTTAAACCATACAAAGCCACAGGAGTGGAGCTGTGGCCTTTTTTCTCCCAAGGCCATGGTCATACATCAGTATGACCTGCATGTCAGACATGGAGTCAAAGGAGATCATTTTGGAGCTTTGAGATTTCACTGCCCCACTGGATTTTGGGCTTGCATGGGTCCTGTAGCCCCTTTGTTTGGCAATTTTCTGCCATTTGGAATGACTGTATTTACCCAATGCCTATACCCACATTGTATCTAGGAAGTAACTAACTAGTTTTTGATTTTACATGCTCATAGGCAGAAGGGATTTGCCTTGTCTCAAATGAGACTTTGGACTGTGGACTTTTGAGTTAATGCTGAACTTAGTTAAGACTTTGGGGGACTGTTGGGAAGGCATGATTGGTTTCAAAATGTGAGGATATGAGATTTGGGAAGGGCCAGGGGCAGAATGATATGGTTTGGTTGTGTCCCCACCCAAGTCTCATCTTGAATTCCCACATGTTGTGGGAGGGACCTGGTGGGAAGTAATTGAGTCATGGGGGCAGGTCTTTCCCATGCTGTTCTCATGATAGTGAATAAGTCTCACAAGGTCTGATGGTTTTGAAAAGGGTAGTTTCTCTGCAGAAGCTCTATCTTTGATTGCTGCCATCCATGTGAGACATGACTTGCTTCTTCTTGCCTTCCAACGTGATTCTTAGGCTTCCTCAGCTATGTGGAAGTGTAAGTCCATTAAACCTCTTTCTTTTGTAAATTGCTCAGTCTCAGTCAGGTATGTCTTTATCAGCAGTGTGAAAACAGACTAATACACCTTTGTTCCTTTTTTCTCTCATTATTTATGGTTGCAGTTTGGTGGTTTTCTTTAGTGGTGATGTTTGAATCCTTTCTTCTTTGTGTGTCTGAACTACCAGTGAGTTTTATACTTTCATGTATTTTCATGATGGTAGATATTGTTCTTTCACTTCCCAATGTAGGACTCCCTTAAACATTTCTTATAGGACCACAACAAACAAGACACAAACAAACAGTCTTTTGCTTATCTGGGAAATACTTTTTTCCCTTTTATTATTACTATTTTTTTTTTTAGCAATGGAGTCTCACTCTGTCACCCAGGCTGGAGTACAGTGGCATGATCATAGCTCACTGCAGCCTTGAACTCCTGGGATCAAATGGTCCTCCTGCCTCAGCCTTGAGTCTCTGGAATTGCAGATGTGAGCCACTGTGCCAGGCTCCTTCATTTGTGAAGGATAGCTTTGCTGGGTAGAGTATTTTTGGCTTACATTTTTTTATTATTTTTTTTTTTTGTACTTGTAATATACATCCCCTTTTCTCCTAGCCAGTAAGGTTTCTGCTGAGAAATTCCCCGTTAGCCTGATGGAGATTCTCTTATAAGTGACTTGATGCCTTTCTCTTGCTGTTTTTAGCATTTTCTCTTTGTCTTTTGACAATTTTACCATATTGTGCCTTGGAGAAGACCATTTTGAGTTGTATTTACTTGGTAATCTTTGAGCTTCCTGCATTTGGAAGCATTCAGGAAGTTTTCAGTTATTAGTTCATTAAATAGGTTTTCTATGCCTTTACCCATCTCATCTCCATCCAGAACTCCCAGAATTTCAGTTTTTGGTCACATATGTGTCCCATATGTCATGTAGCCTTGCTTCATTCTTTTTTCTTTCTTTTTGTCTGACTGGATTATTTTAAAAGACTAGTCTTCAGGTTCAGAAATTCTTTGTTTTGCTTGATCTAGTCTATTGTTAAAGCTGTCAATTATCTTTTGTATTTATTTCAATGATTTATTCTCTTCCAGGATTTGTGTTTGGTTCTTTGTTATGCTGTCTATCTCTGTTGAATTTGTCATTCAGATCATGAATAGTTTTCCTGTTTTTGTTTTTTTTTTTTGTATTCATTATCTGTGTTCTCTTGTATCTCCCTGAGTTTCTTTAATAACATCATTCTGAATTTTTTTCAGGTATTTCATAGATTTTCTTTTCATTGGATCTGTTGCTGGAGAATTATTGTGCTTCTTTGAGATGTTATGTTTCCTTTTTCATATTTCTTGCATCCTTATGTGACTATCTGTGCCTCTGACATAACAGTCATTTCTTCCAATTTTATGGATTGGCTTTTATATGGGAAAGACCTTTTCTTACAGCTGTATCTACAGTGTTCATTGGATATCACACTTTGGCTTTGATTCTGGGTGGGTACAGTAGTATAGTTTGCATATGATTCCTTCAGCTGTAATTGGCATGGGTGGTGCCTGTGAGTCATTCAGTGGCTTAGACTGCAGTGGTTTTTTTTGGTGGTTGTTGAGATGGAGTCTAGCTCTGTCACCAGGCTGGAGTGCAGTGGCACAATCTCAGCTCACTGTATCCTCTGCCTCCCGTGTTCAACCAATTCTCCTGCCTCAGCCTCCTGAGTAGCTGGGACTATAGGCACGTGCAACCATGCCCAGCTAAATTTTGTATTTTTAGTAGAGACGGGGTTTCACCATGTTGGCCAGGCTGCTCTCGAACTCCTGACCTCGTGATCTACACGCCTCGGCATCTCAAAGTGCTGGGATTACAGGCGTGAGCCACCACACTTGGCCAGACTGCAGTTGTTATTGGAGGCTTTGGTGAGGCTTTGCTGAGGATGGGGATGCCAGGAAGTCTTGTCCTTCAGCATCAGTGGTAGTGGCGGTGGACCAGGTGTGTCAATACTAGGGACCATGGGCAGCGTTTGTGGGCACTGATGATAGCCTGTCTGTGTGGGCCAATCCCTGGGACTCCAGGTGGCTTCTTTGGTTGCTGGCAGTGGGCCAGATGGGCAGGTGCACCACTGGGCTCCTGGGTGGTGTGTGTGGCAGGCTGATCTCTAGTTCTCCAGGTGACCTATACAGGTTCTGGTGGTGGGTAGGCAGGCGTTTCCTCAGGCCTCTCAGTAGTAAGTGTGAGCACCAGCTCTGGAGGCAGGTGAGTCAATCTCCAGGTCCCCGGATGGTACATTCAGGCACCAGCATATTCCTATGCATTTCTAGATAAAAGTATTTTTCAGAAAACCTGAGCATATGTCCTATTAATACAACTTACCCTCATCAGCTCTGCATGAGAAGAAGGCGGAATTCCCTCAGTAGAACAGTCAGAATGGAATCACAGACTTGTTTTGAGCCAGTCACTGGTGAGGGGGGGTAGGATAACATGATAAGCTCAGAATCTAAACCTTAGACTAGGGAATGGCAAACTTTTTCCATAAAGAGGCAAACGGTAATATTTTAGGCTTTTTGTCTAGATAACCTCTTTTGTAGTGACACAGTGGTGCCATCGTAGCCTAAAAGCGTATGTAGACAATGGATAAATCAATGGACCTGGTTTTATTCCAGTAAAACTTAATTTATACAGTCAGAGGGCCAGATTTGGCCCTTGGTCTATGGTTGTTTAGAGCAGTCAAAATTTATTCCCTGGGGCTGGGCCAACTTTTTCTTTAAAAAAAAAAAAAAAAAGCAACCCACTGTCAGAATAAAATAAGGTTTCTATTTAAAAAGAAGAAGAGGCTGGGTGTGGTGGCTCATGCCTATAATCCTAGCACTTTGGAAGGGTGAGGCAGGAGGACTGCTTGAAGCCAGGAGTTTGAAACCAACTTGGGCAATATAGTGAGACCCTCTGTCTGCAAAGAATAAAAAAATTAGCCAGGCATGGTGGCACATGTCTGTAGTCTTAGCTACATAGGAGGCTGAAGGGGAAGATCACTTGAGCCCAGTATTTTGAGGCTACAGTGAGCTCTGACTGTACCATTTGTACTCTAGCCTAGGCAAAGAGGGAGAACCCAAAAACAAACAAACAAAAAGTTGGTTTGGGCGGGTTGGAGAAGAAAGTATTTCTGAATTTCTGGGTAGGTTACTGGTAGTGTCAGGCCAAACTAGCTCTACAGTCATATTCATTATAAATAAAGGCAACTAGAAGATCTCCATCTAGCTATTAAAATTGGTTAAAATCTACAGAGATAAAGGACGGTGACTCTTGTGTCAGTTAGTTGTTGTCACAAAATGCTGCATAACAAGTCACTCCAAATCTCAGTGGCTTAATACAACAATCGTTTATTTTCATGGATCTATGGGTCAGCTGAGGATTGGTCAATCTAGCATGAGCATGTCTGGGAAGCTCGACGTTGCTCTTGCTGTCTCTTCTGCTGGAAGCAGCAGTCTGGCCTGGGCTTGTTCTCATGGTGATAGCAGGAGTGAGTGAGCAGAAATGAATTCACACTTTCCAAGTTTTTGGTCATACAGATTAATATTCCAGTGGCCAAAGCTAGACACATGACTAAACCCAACATTAGGGACTGGAGAAATATACTCCGATTCTTCAGTGGGAGGAACTGCAGAGACAAATGGCAGAATCTTGGATACAGGGAGGACACGGATCCATTAATGTGCCTTAATCAATCGCAACCCTCTAACCACCAATACAATTAAATAAGTATTTGTTGAATGCACTTGTGCCTGAATGCTTCTGGCTGCAGCCCAGGCAATGGGGGTCTGACTGGGGAGGGACCATAGCAGGGACTCGATGTCCTGCAGGTCTGCATGTAATTGTGCACGGCCGACTCCTCATTGGTCATGGCTGACTTGCTTTATCCTGCGTCCCCAAGGGGCAACGATTGGCTGATTATATTTCTGAACAATTTTGACAAAGTTGTTTTCAGGAGCCCAGGAAGCAAATCAGTTGTAGATTTGAATTTTTCAGGGGATCAGAATTGTTGAATATATATATAGTCTTTTACATGCTGATAATTATTTCCACATCACAAAGAAGGCTGGCTATTAGGAGGCTGCTGTTCATTTCCTTTGCCCCGTGAACTCATGAGCTGTGGCTATGTGGGGGGCACTCAGTTGTTAGAGCTGTTTCCCTTCATAATAACATCAGCCAACATTCTAAATAAATGCAGGAAATTAAATAGTCTTCCCCAGACAGGTACTTTGCCCTTCTAAAGTGAATTACACATTCTAAAATAAAACACAGTCACATTAAAAAAACAAAAGGTCTTTGTGTCAGGTTGGTCTGGCTTCAGCAAAGATAATATTTGCCTCCAGAGTAGAAGATCCGTGGAATCCACGGTATTACATATGGCAGCCCCACATCTTGTTTCCTTTTCTTTTTTTTGTTTTTAACTAAAAGAGTTGTCAATTTTATTTTCACATTTCCCAATACAAATGAAAACTGCATCTTTTTTGGTCCCACTTCTCCCCTCCAAAACTATTCTCTTTGATAGGGCAAGAGGGCAAGTCTTCCTTATGCTGTTAAGAAAACTCGACATCACAGCAGCATGATCTCCTGGTGAAGGGAGCAGGTAAATATAAAATTCATATAGGCCAGGCGCAGTGGCTCACACCTGTAATCCCAGCACTTTCAGAGGCTGAGGCGAGCGAGTCACGAGGTCAGGAGATTGAGACCATCCTGGCCAACATGGTGAAACCCCGTTTCTACTAAAATAAAAAAAATTAGCCGGGCATGGTGAATACGCCTGTAGTCCCACACTACTCAGGAGGCTGAGGCAGGGGAATCGCTTGAACCCGGGAGGTGGAGGTTTCAGTGAGCTGAGATCATGCCACTGCCCTCCAGCCTAGGCGACAGAGGAAGACTCTGTCTCAAAAACAAAACAAAACATTACAAACAAAAAAAACACAACAATAACAACAACAAAACAACACTGATGCAATGAGGCCTCCCCTCTATCCTTATCTGTCTGGTCAAGTCATTCTGGGCTGACTGGGCACCATCATGAGACGGGCAGGAGGTCTTATCATTGGGCACCCAGGCATCACAGGCATGTGGCCTCCCATGGGCGGCCTCATTCCAAGAGCAGGTCCCACTGGCATCATCCCAGGAGGAGGAGGGCCCATCTTTGGCATCATGGGCGGGCCACCCATATGGGCTGCTGCCATCATTCTGAAATGTGCGAGAAGTGTCAAATACACATTAGATTGTGAAGACTTAATATAAAAAGAAAGCAAAGTATTTTGTTACTGTTAAAAAATTTTATACATGTAGACCTGGTATTTTGGATAGATTTGTTTAAATCTGTGATATTATTCCAATTACCTTCACTTCTTTTGTTTTACTTTTTAAAATGTGGTTATTACAAAATGCAAATGTAAATATGTGGCTTGCATCATATTTCATCACATTTAGTGTGGACCCTGAGGATCTAGGGGAGTTATGAGCCTTAAGTTGAGGGTGACCCAGGTCAACGTGAATTGCTCTGAAAGAGAAGCAAAGGGCTTAAAGAGAATGTATAAATGGAGAGAGGGAGCTCAGTCTCACAGGGTGAGGAAAGGCTTTCTTTCTTACACAGTCTGGCACTTCTTCAAAAGCTTAAACACAGAGTTCTATGACCCAGCACTTCCACTCCAGTTTATGAAAGAAATGAAAATATATGTCCGTCCAGAAACTTGTACACAAATGCTCATAGCAGCATTATTCATAATAGCGCCAAAGTGAAAACAACACAAATGCTTGTCTACTGATGAGTGGAGAAATAGAACATGGTTTGATCATGCAATGGAATATTATTCAGTCATCAAAAGGAATGAAGTACTAACACGTGCTACAACACGGATGAACTATGAGAATATTAAGCTAAGTGGAAGAAACCAGTCACAAAAGGTCACATATTCTAAGATGTCATTTATATGAAATGTCCAGAACACGCAAATCTATGAAGAGAGAAACCCTGCCTCTACTAAAAATACAAAATTAGATGGGCGTGGTGGCACATCCCTGTAATCCCAGCTACTCTGGAGGCAGGAGAATTGCTTGAACCCGGGAGGCGGAGGTTGCAGTGAGCCGAGATTGTGCCACTGCACTCCAGCCTGTGACAGATACTCTATCTCAAAAAAAAGTAGATTGTCAGGGCTTAGTGGGAGGAGGAAATGGCAGGAACCTGCTCATGGATACAGGGTTTCTTTTTGGGGTGATGAAAATGTTTGAAAATTGATCATGATGGTGGTTGCCGAGCTCTGTGAATGCACTGAAACCATTGATTTGTTCACTTTAAATGGGCAAATCATACGGTACCTGAATTATATTTTAATAGTTATATTAAAAAAGTAAAATCTTCCTTGAAGTGATGACACTTAAGGAGAGGCCTAGAGGGTGGGATGAGTTCACTATGTAGAGAAATGAGGAACAGCATTTCAGGGTGAGAAACAGCATAGTGAAGTCCCTGAGGTTGATAGGCATAGAGCAGATTTAAGGGACTTTTTTTTTTGAGACGGACTTTCACTCTTGACGCCCAGGCTTGGGTGGAGTGGTGCGATCTTGGCTCATGGCAACCTCTGCCTCCCGAGTCCAAGCGATTTTCCTGCCTCAGTCTCCCGAGTAGCTGGGATTACAGGTGCCATCCACCACACCTGTCTAATTTTGGGATATTTAGTAGAGATGGGGTTCCACCATGTTGACCAGGCTGGTCTCGAACTCCTGATCTCAGGTGATCCAGCCGCCTCAGCTTCCCAAAGTGCTGAGATTACAGGTGTGAGCCACTGCGCTCAGCCAGATTTAAGGGACTTTAAAGAAGTTTGTGTGGCTGAAGCCTGCAGGCCAAGCGAGAGAATCAGGAAATGAGGCTGGAGAAAGAGAGGGGCTAGGTCATGGAGGGTCTCACATTAGGGTGTGGAAACTTCACACGAGTGGTCCCACCTTGGGCATCCCACCTAACTACTCTGTGTCCCAGCTTCCCCACTGGTGAAATAAAGGGCTGATGTAGGGATGGACTGAGATAGGGTGTGCTCAGTAAAGGTGACCTTTTATCTTTTTTTTTTTTTTTTTTTTTGAGATGGAGTCTCACTCTGTCGCCCAGGCCGGAGTGCAGTGGCGCGATCTCGGCTCACTGCAAGCTCCACCTTCCGCGTTCACGCCATTCTCCTGCCTCAGTCTCCCAAGTAGCTGAGACTACAGGCGCCCGCCACCACGCCCAGCTAAAATTTTTGTATTTTTAGTAGATACGGGGTTTCACCGTGTTAGGGAGAATGGTCTGGATCTCCTCATGTCATGATCCGACCGCCTTGGCCTCCCAAAGTGCTGGGATTACAGGCGTGAGCCACCGCGCCCGGCCGAGCTTTTATCGTTGTCAACCCACACAGCAGAGGGAGCCATTGAAAGCGAGTGATCGGTTTGGATGCACCTTCTGAAGTGATCGCTTTGGTCCCTGTGAGGAGTGCAGATTGTCACAGGGCCAGGGGAAGACAGAGGCCAATGAGGAGGCCTTTGCAGTCAAACAGCTGGAGGTGATGGTGGCTTGGTTTATGGTGGTGTCAGGAGAGTGGCTGAGCAGTGAACGGATCTGAAAAGATTTAGGAGGTAAAACCCACGTGACTTGGTCACTGAATGTGGGTTGGGTTGGCTGGAGGGAAGGTAAGAAAGAATGAGAAGAAAAACATACTCAAGTGGGCCCTCCAGCCTAAGGTTACTTGAAGTCCCTTTGTGAAGAGGAATGTTTGTGTTTATGATGAAGATGTCTAGACTTTCAAAGGCCATTTGCAGTATTTTTTTAACAGCCAACAACTCCTCCTTCCCTATGACCTAAACATATGAATTTTTTTTTTTTTTGCCCTAACTTATCACAGAGGGATGGATGTTTATTTGCTTTAATGAAAAATGCAGAATGCCAATAAGAAAGCATATTAAATTAATCTGGATTGCTGGGAGGGAGTTAAATCTGTTTCGATGTGCACCAGTGTTACTATACTAGTTTGGTCTAAACCCATTTCTGGCCTGCGGCTGCAGGAGGTTGACTCCCAGCTTGCTTTCATTTGAAAGATCCTAGCAACAAGTACACTTGGCATTTCCAGCCAAACCCACTTTGTGCAGCGAAGGAAAAGTTGAGGAGTGCCTCTGTTGTTTTCCCCCAAATCATTTGGCAGAAATGTGGCTGGGAGCTTCATTGCTGATTTTTTCAGTTTTAATATTGCTGTGGAAAGCCTGTACCAACACTCAGCCATGTTATTAATCCACAGCTCCAGTCTGGGCTGTGATTTGTTTTTCCTTTGAGTGACACAACCTTTTTTTCCATTAAGACTCAATGCAAATAGACACTCATGCACCATCACCATAACTCCCCCTGATTGGCGGAGGGAAATCAGTGGAATGATTCTAGTTTGGTGTTCATATCGGAGGGTTTTATTTATCTATTTTGAGACGGAATCTCTCTCTGTCGCCAGGCTGGAGTGCAGTGGTGCGATCTCGGCTCACTGCAACCTCTGACTCCCTGGTTCAAGCGATTCTCCTGCCTCAGCCTCCCTAGTAGCTGGGCTTTCAGGCATGTGCCACCATGCCCGGCTAATTTTTTGTATTTTTAGTAGACACGGGGTTTCACCATGTTGGCCAGGATGGTCTTGATCTCCTGACCTCGTGATCTGTCCGCCTCGGCTTCCCAAAGTGCTAGGATTACAGGCGTGAGCCACTGCGCCTGGCCTTGAGTTGTTTTTAAAAGCATATTTCTCTCAAATTATCTCCGGGGTGTCCCACTGTGACTTGGGAAAAGGTTGGATTTTCTGGAGGTGGAAAGTCAAACTTCAAATACAATTTGGAGGCTGCCACTGTGGCTCATGCCTGTAATCCCAGTACTATGGGAGGCTGAAGTGGGTGGATCATTTAAGGCCAGAAGTTCGAGACCAACCTGGGCAACATGACGAGACTTCGTTTCTACTAAAAATACAAAAATTAGCCAGGCGTGGTGGTACATGCCAGTAATCCCAGCTACTTAAGAGGCTGAGGCAGGTGTTATTGCTTGAACCTGGGAGGCAGAGTTGTCCTGTGTCCAAACCCCATGAGGCGTATCAGCTGGCTGAAGATAAAATCGGTCACGCAGTGTTGGGATTGGGGTTGCTGTTATCATCCCTCATCCCCACCCCTGCTAGGCATCCACAAATAGTCGTCTTCAATGAGACGTCCCTCCTGCCCCTGGCTGCCTTATTTCATCTGCACCCGATCGTATCCATTGCTTGTCAGTGGGTCTCAACCTTGGCTGCATCTTGGAATCTCCTGGGGAGAAGAGACAATACCAAGGCTCTCTCTCACTTAGCATGATGTTTCCAGGGTCCATCCACATGTAGTAGGCACCAATATTTCCATTGTATGGATACCGCACATATTGTTTGTTCATTCGTCAACCAAATGGCCATCTTGGTTGTTGCTACCTTTTGGTTATTATATATATTGCATGATTCCATTTATGTGAAAGGCCCAGAATAGGCAAATCTATAGAGGCAGAAAGCAGGTAAGTGGTTGCCAGGAGCTGGGGGAAAGGGGAGGGGATGGAGAATGCTTGATGGATACAGGGTTATTTTTTTGGGGGGCGGGGGTGTTAATGAAAATGTTTTGGAACTAGACAGAGATGATGATTGCTTAATATTGTGAATGTATTTAATGATACTGAAGTGTATGGTTTCATACAGGGACTTGTATGTTATGTGAATTTTGCCTCATTAAAAAAATACTGCTAGGAGCAATGGCTCATGCCTGTAATCCCAGCACTGTGTGAGGCCAAGGTGGGCAGATCACCTGAGGCTGGGAGTTCGAGACCTGCCTGGGCAGCACGGTGAAACCCTATCTCTATTAAAAATACAAAAATTAGCCAGGCGTGGCGGTGCACACCTGTGATCCCAGCTACTTGGGAGGCTGAGGTAGGAAAATGGGTTGAACCCGGGAGGCAGAGGTAGCAGTGAGCTGAGATCGCACCACTGCACTTCAGCCTGGGTGACAGAACAAGATTCCATCTCAAAAAAAAAAAAAAAAAAAAAACCACACACACACACACAAACCAAAAATACTGATGCCCATGTTTCATCCCCAAGAGATTCTTTAATAATTGATCTGGGCTGCAGAGCCCGGGCATTGGGGGTTTTAAAATCTCCCCAGGTGATTCTGATGTGCAGCTGTGGTTGAGAATCTCCTTCTGGAATGAACTTGTTCATGTTTTACTTGTGTTGTTTTCTAGCCTGCCAATGTCTTTCTGTTTCCGTTCACATCTTTGGGTTGTAATTTTTACAATGCAGTCTTAACAACCAGCTGCCTCAAAATGCACTGGGATCTCTCGTAACCAGGTAGCTCCCCATCTCTAACTCTGACCTGCTAAGACA
Organism: Homo sapiens; assembly: GCF_000001405.40. Taxonomy (NCBI): domain Eukaryota; kingdom Metazoa; phylum Chordata; class Mammalia; order Primates; family Hominidae; genus Homo; species Homo sapiens. Next base: position 12,543,991 of record NC_000008.11, on the reverse strand, counting down.
GAATCTTGTGCGTGTGGCCCAGGACTGTACATATTGAAACAGGCAATGACCTGGGAACTATTTCTGAACACCCCTAGGTTTCCCGTGTTTGCCCTTTCCTTTCACATTTGGACCCCTTTGTGTGCTGACCACTGGGCTGTTTCACATGGACATAACATAAAAAAGACAGGCCAGGTGCATTGGCTCATGCCTGTAATCCCAGCACTTTGGAAGGCCGAGGTAGGCGAATCGCTTGAGGCCAGGAGTTCAAGATCTGCCTGGCCAACATGAGTAAACCCCGTCTCTACCAAAAATATGAAATTAGCTGGGTGCGGTGATGCACACCTTTGATCCCAGCTACTCAGGAGGCTGAGGCTGGAGAATCCCTTGAGCCCAGGAGGCAGAGACTGCAGTGAGCCGAGATCGCACCACTACACCCCAGCCTGGGTGAGAGTGAGACTCTTAAAAAACAAACAACAACAAAAAAAAAAAAACAAAGAGACAGAGATGATCCTTCCTTTATGGAGCTCTCAGTAAAACAAGAAAGCTCATGATGTCCTGTCATTTGTCAGAAATATATTTGGTATATGTAGCTGGGGTCACATGCTTGACATGCCTATTGAAAGCTTCTGGGTAGGAAGAGAACAATCATCACAGCATCACAGCCTGGCATAACTGTCTCCCAGGACAGGTCTCCCTGGGGAGACTGAAACCACAACTCTGAAATCAGAGCTTAAATCCAGGTTCTACATTTCACTCAGTAATGTACATGATGTAGGACAGTTTTCATATTAGTTATCTATTGCTGTGCAACAATATTACTGCAAACTTTGTGGCTTGAGACAGCACACAGTTATCACTATGTGGTTTCTGTGGGTCAGGAATCCAGGCGTGACTCAGCTGGGTTCAGTGCAAGGCTACAACCATAATGTCAGCCAGGGCTCAGTTCTCATCTGGAGGCTTGACTGGTGATTGATCTGCTTCCAGGCTCATCTGGTTGTTGGCAGCATTCAGTTCCTTGCAGGCTGCTGGACTCAGGGCCCCAGGTTCTTGCTGTCCTCAGCTTCTTGCCACATGGGCCTCTCCATCTGGCCACTCATGACATGGCAGCTCACATCTTCAAAGCCAGCAAGATAACCTCCTAGCAAGACAACTTAACATCCTATCTAACATAATCACTACATCCCATCACCTCTGCCATATTCTCTTGGTTATAAGAAAGTCATTGGTCCCTTTGTCAGATGAGTTGATTGCAAAAATTTTCTCCCATTCTGTAGGTTACCTGTTCACTCTGATGGTAGTTTCTTTTGCCGTGCAGAAGCTCTTGAGTTTAATTAGGTCCCATTTGTCAATTTTGGCTTTTGTTGCCATTGCTTTTGGTGTTTTAGACATGAAGTCCTTGCCCATGCCTATGTCCTGAATGGTATTGCCTAGGTTTTCTTCTAGGATTTTTATGGTTTTAGGTCTAACATTTAAGTCTTTAATCCATCTTGAATTGATTTTTGTATAAGGTGTAAGGAAGAGATCCAGATTCAGCTTTCTACATATGGCTAGCCAGTTTTTCCAGCACCATTTATTAAATAGGGAATCCTTTCCCCATTTCTTGTTTTTGTCAGGTTTGTCAAAGATCAGATAGTTGTAGATAAAGCGGCATTATTTCTGAGGGCTCTGTTCTGTTCCATGGGTCTATATCTCTGTTTTGGTACCAGTACCATGCTGTTTTGGTTACTGTACCTTGTAGTATAGTTTGAAGTCAGGTAGCGTGATGCCTCCGGTTTTGTTCTTTTGGCTTAGGATTGACTTGGTAATGCCAGCTCTTTTTTGGTTCCATATGAACTTAAGTAGTTTTTTTCCAATTCTGTGAAGAAAGTCATTGGTAGCTTGATGGGGATGGCACTGAAACTATAAATTACCTTGGACAGTATGGCCATTTTCATGATATTGATTCTTCCTACCCATGAGCATGGAATGTTCTTCCATTTGTTTGTATCCTCTTTTATTTCTTTGAGCAGTGGTTTGTAGTTCTCCTTGAAGAGGTCCTTCACATCCCTTGTAAGTTGGATTCCTAGGTATTTTATTCTCTTTGAAGCAATTGTGAATGGGAGTTCACTCATGATTTGGCTCTCTGTTTGTTATTGGTGTATACGAATGCTTGTGATGTTTGCACATTGATTTTTATCCTGAGACTTTGCTGAATTTTGCTATTTTAGTAGAGATGGGGTTTGCTGAATGCAGCCCCCAGTCACGTACTCCCTTCTTGGTCAATCGATCACGACTCTCATGATCACGACCCGCTTACGCGGACCCCCTTAGGGTTGTGAGCCCTTAAAAGGGACAGGAATTGCTACTTGGGGAGCTGGGTTGTTAGAGACGTGTGCCACCACTCCCAGCTATTTTTTGTGTTTTTAGTAGAGACGGGGTTTCCCCATGTTGGTTGGCCAGGATAGTCTCGATCTCTTGACCTCGTGATCCGCCCACCTCGACCTCCCATAGTGTTGGGATTACAGGTGTGAGCCACTCCACCCAGCCCAGTGAAGGCTTTTCATACTTGCTTGTCAGCCTCCTGCATCCTACTCCAGCACCTGGCGCTCACAACCTGTGGGCTGCTCTCATCCGTGATCATCTCTCCCCAGGCCTGCTGTTCCTCGAGGAAGGAAGTTGTAATGGGCAGAGTTCTAGGACAGCCCCCAAGAGAACCACTCCCTTATATCTGCTCCCTGTATCATCTCTTCTTGAGTGTGTGCAGAGCTTGTGATTTGGCCAAGGGGAAGGAATTTTGCAAATGTGATTATGGTCACACTTGCTTTGTTAAGCACATTTGCTCAGCTGACTTTGAGTTCATCCAAAGCAGGATGATCTTAGGTGTGCCAGACCTAATCAGGTGAGTCTTTTAAAGGTGAAGTTTCAGAGATTCAACCCTTAGCCTCCAAGGAGACAAAAATGGCCATGCTGTGAACTGTCTTTGGAGGTGGCAGCTCTAGGAGCTGAGGGCCTTCGTTCTACAATTGCAAGAAATTGAATTCAGTCCACAAACTGAATAAGCTTGGAAGAGGACACTGAGCATCTGATGAGACCCCAGCTGACACTCTGGTTGCAGTATTGTGACCCGGAATAGAAGATCCAGTTAAACCCTGCCCAGAGCCTTGGCTCATGGAAACAGATAATAACTGGATGGTGTTTTAAGCTGCTCAGTTTGCACTGGTAAATCCACCAACAGGAAAATAATATAGAAGTTAAATGGGCCAGGCATGGTGGCTCATGCCTGCAATCCCAACACTTTGGGAGGCTAAGGTGGGTGGATCACAAGGTCAGGAGGTCGAGACCATCCTGGCCAACATGGTAAAACCCCGTCTCTACTAAAAATACAAAAATTAGCCAGGCTTGGTGGCATGCACCTGTAGTCCCAGCTATTCAGGAGGCTGAGGCAAGGGAATCACTTGAACCCAGGAGGTGGAGGTTGCAGTGACCCGGGACCATGCCACTGCACTCCAACCTGGGCAACAGAGAGAGACTCCATCTCAAAAAAAAAAAAAAAAAAAAGTTAAATGAATACTTTTGACCATTGATGGAAGTTGCTTTCATTCCCTCTTACTTAATCATCTTTATCTTAGCCCTGAAAGAGGGATGCTTTAATCCCATTTGTAACAAGTGAGTCTGAGGCCCAGGAAAGTGATAGAATTTAGCAAAGTCCACCTTGCTACCTGGTGGTCCCAGCTAGAACTCTGCCCCAGGTCCATATACCTAAAGTCATTACAGCGTCCACTAAAATTTTGCCCCTCTCTCGATGCCTTCCTCTTTAGAAGCCTGTTCCTTCAGGGATAGATCCCAACTCAGTGTTACAAGGTACTGAACTCTGATTTTCACAAAATATAATAACTGCCCCCCAAAATTAATAATAGTATTTTTGAGCTGGGCACGGTGGTTCATACCTGTAATCCCAGCACTTTGGGAGGCTGAGGTGGGCGGATCATGAGGTCAAGAGATCGAGAGCATCCTGGACAACATAGTGAAACCCCGTCTCTACTAAAAATACAAAAATTAACTGGGAGTGGTAGCAGGCGCCTGTAATCCCAGCTACTCGGGAGGCTGAGGCAGGAGAATCGCTTGAACCCAGGAGGCAGAGGTTGCAGTGAGCCGAGATTGCACCACTGCACTACAGCCTGGCAACAGAGCAAGACTCCGTCTCAAAAAAAAAAAAAAAAAATGTATGTTTGAGTCCTTATGTGTCAACCACTGGGCTATCCCAACACCAATAGCTATTATGATTATGATTAGTTTTTCCATTTTATTGATGAGGAAACCAACACATAGAAAGGTAAAGGAACTTGCCAAAAGTGATGGTCACACAGCCAAAGAGCTGTAGAAGCAGCACAGGAATCCCAGCAAACTCACAGCCAAGCTCTGCTTTTCACCTTCACATCATACAGTCCTCAGACTAAAACCCTAACTCTGACCTTCCAAATCAAAAATCGTACTCAAGGCCGGGTGCGGCGGCTCACGCCTGTCATCTCAGCACTTTGGGAGGCCGAGGCAGGTGGATCACCTGAGGTCAGGAGTTCCAGACCAGCCAGGCCAACATGGTGAAACCCCATCTCTACTAAAAATACAAAACTTAGCCAGGCGTGGTGGTGGGTGTCTGTAATCCCAGCATTTTGGGAGGCTGACGCATGAAAATCACTTGAACTCAGGAGGCAGAAGTTGCAGCGATCCATGATCATGCCACTGCACTCCAGCCTGGACAAGAGAGTGAGACTCTGTCTCAAAAAAAAAAAAAAAAAAAAAAGAATTGTGCTTAATAATAGCTTGGAAGTGCACATATCTTCTGTGAAGTTTGATGGACTACAATTAGCTTCAAAACACAAATAAGTAACTGTGTTTAAATGAGGCCTTCTGTGTAATATCTAGGGAAAATCAATGTGGCTATTCATATTTTGTTTCCCCTTCCAGGCACAGAGAAGTTGCCCATGACTCTGTGATCCGTTTTGTCCAATGAACCATGAGCAGCAGCAACTTGAGTCACCTCCAGGTGGAAGTGTTAAGAGGTTGCTCTATGATCCACCACATTCCCTTTGCCCTGAAGTGGAGATCAAGGACACATGCAGAGATGGGGCTTTTGTCAGCCTGGATCCCTGAGTGAACACAATGAACAGACCACCCCAGAATGCCCTAACACAGCCCAGACATGCAACGTGACCAAGAATAAGCCTCACTGTGGCCAGGCATGGTGGCTCATGCCTGTCATCCCAGCACTTTGGGAGGCCAAGGTGGGTGGATCATTTGAGGTCAGGAGTTCAAGACCAACCTGGCTAACAGGGTGAAATCCTGTCTCTACTAAGTACAAAGATTAGCCAGACAGTGGTGGCATGGGCCTGTAATCCCAGCTACTCAGGAGGCAGGAGAATCACTTGAGTCTGGGAGGCAGAGGTTGCAGTGAGCTGAGATTGCACCACTGCACTCTAGTCTGGGTGACAGAGTGAGACCCTGTCTCAAAAACAAACAAACAAATACCTCACTGCATGAGGCCACTGAGATTTGGGGTTTGTTGTTACTGCACCAGAACCCAAATCATCCTGACCGCTAGGGTGTCCTAACTAGGGTTTCTTACCAAAAGCAAAGGCATTTTTAAAGTTCGTGACATTTAAACAAAAGAGCAAATACCAATATCTACCACTTTGTCAGGCTAAAAAACCCAAACAAAGCCAACAGCCAGAAGTTAAAATAAACAGATCATTAGGTTGAAAATAGAACTGTCAAAACAGGCACAATTGACTTCATTTAGTGATTGCAAAGAACATCAGGCAAGACACAGGTATGCTCATCATAACATTTATCACATGCTTCATTGCACATGTTTGACTAAGAAAAACAAAGTATTTAAGCTCATCTGTAGCTCAAAGTGCCTATCCGTGTATTTATCTATTCATCCTGATTTATTTATTGAGCAACTCTTTTGTGCCAGGCACTGTGCTGTGTTGCGGGAAGTCAGGGACCCCAAATGGAGGGACCAGCTGAAGCCATGACAGAAGAACGTGGATTATGAAGATTTTATGGACATTTATTAGTTCCCCAAATTAATACTTTTTTAATTTCTTATGCCTGTCTTTACTGCAATCTCTAAACATAAATTGTGAAGATTTCATGGACACTTATCACTTCCCCAATCAATACCCTTGTGATTTCCTATGCCTATCATTACTTTAATCTCTTAATCCTGTCAGTCGAGAAGGATGTATATCGTCTCAGGACCTGTAATAATTGCGTTAAGTACATAAATTGTACATCATGTGTGTTTGAGCAATATGAAATGTGGGCACCCTGAAAAAAGAACAGGATAACAGCAATTGTTCAGGGAATTAGAGAGATAACCTTAAACTCTGACCGCTGGTGAGCCAGGCAGAACAGAACCATATTTCTCTTCTTTCAAAAGCAAATGGGAGAAATATCGCTGAATTCCTTTTCTCAGCATGGAACGTCCCTGAGAAAGAGAATGCGCACCTAGGGGTAGGTCTCTGAACTGGCCCCCCGGGGCGTACCTGTCTCTTATGGTCGAGATTGCAGAGGTGAAATAAACTCCAGTCTCCCATAGCACTCCCAGGCTTATTAGGAAGAGAAAATTCCCGCCTAATAAACTTTGGTCAGACGGGTTGATCTCAAAACCCTGTCTCCTCATAAGATGTTATCAATGACAATGGTGCCAAAACTTCATTAGCAATTTTAATTTCACTTCCGTCCTGTGGTCTGGCCCTGTCTCCACTTGCCTTGTGATATTCTATTACCCTGTTAAGTACTTGATGTCTGTCACCCACACCTATTCATATACTCCCTCCCCTTTTGAAACTCCCTAATAAAAACTTGCTGGTTTTTGTGGCTTGTGGGACATCACGGATCCTACCAATGTGTGATGTCTCCCCCAGATGCCCAGCTTTACAATTTCTCTCTTTTGTACTCTGTCCTTTTATTTCTCAAGCCAGTCGACGCTTAGGAAAATAGAAAAGAACCTACGTGATTATCGGGGGAGGTCCCCCGATATCTGGCGCCCACGTGGTCTTTCTTTTTTCCTAAGTGCATGAGGGAACCGGATTCCGTTTGGTAGGTGCGGTGAAACGTCAATCGGCTTGGTCCACAGATAAGCGTGTTCAACTCCCCGATGAGTGGTGAGTAATCTGTGTAAGGTCTGGGTTAACTGTGGGTCATGTGTAATCTAACAAACTCCTGTTAAAACCGGTAACCATGAAAAATATGATCACTCTATTCAGGGCAGTAGAAAAATACTGTTCTTGGTTTCCTGAAAAAGGAACGGTGTATATAAAATTGTGTGATTGTGTCCGTAAGGCATTCCGAAAACTGATCTCGGCCGGGTATTATGTGCCCATCACTGTTTGGGGTGCTTGGTGCGTGACATCTTCGTGGCTTGCCAATCTCCTGACCCCCTGCAGTTGCCGCAGTTTTCTGCCTTTTCCTCAGTTTCTCTGCCTTTTTCTCAACCTTCCTCTCCCACATGGCCTTCGTTCAGACTCTCCCTTCAGCTACTCCTCCCCTCCCTAACGATTCTGAAAATTCGATTTCTAACTCTGGTAACTTTGGCTTAAAGTTACCCCCTACTTTTCTTACTTCTTCCCACGAAAAGCCGGTACTTCAAACTCCTGCGGCTGTGACTCAAAAAGCCCGGTACCATAAATATGCTAATTCTTCTCTCTTCAAACCTCCAGCATCAAATAATGGCTCTGGGACCAAACTACAATTTACCTGTCATTCTCCAGGCCCTCCCCCATCCACTACAGCCCCTCACCCTCCTGTCGTTTCAGTTCCTCAGCCAGTCTGCATCGATAGGCGCCGCTCAATCTTACCTTTTTAAAAACAATTTAAGGATGCTTGTACTCAGTATGGTCCTACTTTTCCTTATGTTCAAATGGTATTGCAAACTTTTTATACTGAGGTCGTTTTGCTTCCTTTAGACTGTGATCTTTTGGCAAAAAGCTGTTCTAAGTCCATCTCAGCCTGGTGGTAGGAGGAGGCCTGTTTACAGGCTCAGCTAAATCGGAGTAATGGCATTCTAATTACTCAGGCTCAGCTCACAGGCTCCGATAGTTTCTCTGATGCTTATGCCCAATTAAACTTTGATACTCTTACCACAGAACAAGTAACAAAAGTGTGTATGAGAGCTTGGGATAAACTACACTCCCCAGCCCAAGCTCCTGTTTCTTTTACTACTCTTCAACAAGCTCAATTGCTTTTACTACCTAATATCCTTTTAAACAAAGGAGATAAGACAAGTGGCCCTGGGATTCAGCAGGGGCCGCTTTCTAAAGAAAAACTGGAGGCTTTAAATCAATTGGTTTCTGAGCAGTTACAACTTGGAAATGTGGAACCTTCTCTTTCCCCTTGGAATTCTCCTGTTTCTAGTAAAAAAGAAATCAGGCAAATGGCGGATAGTAACCGATTTAAGGGCCATTAATGCTGTAATTAAACCTATGGGGGCCGTCCAACCCGGCATGCCTGCCCCTGCTTTAATACCTAAAGATTGGCCTCTCATAGTTATTGATCTTAAAGAGTTTTTTTTTTCATATCGCTTTACATAAATCGGATTGTGAAAAATTTGCTTTTACTGTACCATCTATCAATAATCAGGAGCCTGTAGCTCGTTATCAATGGAAAGTACTTCCTCAGGGAATGCTAAATAGCCCTACAATCTGCCAGCTTTATGTTGGACAAGTGCTTTCACCAGTTTGAGCCCGATTTCCCGAGGCCTATATTCTTCATTATATTGATGATATTTTAATTTCTGCCCCCACTGATAAAAAATTAATTGACTGTTACCAAATTTTGAACCGCTGTGTTACAGAGGCTGGATTACGCATTGCTCAGGATAAAATTCAACAGACCACTCCTGTTCAATATTTAGGAATGGTGGTCGATAAACAATGTATTCAACCTCAAAAAGTTCAAATTAGGAGAGATTCTTTAAAACTTTAAATGACTTCCAAAAACTTTTGGGTAACATTAATTATTTAAGACCTACTTTAGGCATTCCGACCTATACCCTGTCTAACTTGTTCTCTATGCTGCGGGGAGATTCTGATCTCCGCAGCCCTAGGACTTTGACCCCTGAGGCTTTACTGGATCTGGAATTTGTAGAGGAAAAAATCCAGACTGCCCAGTTATCTAGAGTACAGACATTTCAGCCTTTTCAGCTTCTGGTTTTTGCTTCATTACACTCTCCTACTGGACTAATAGTTCAACATAATGATTTAGTGGAATGGTGTTTTCTTCCTCATTCTGTGTCAAAAACTTTATCTAGACCAAATAGCCATATTAATTGGACAGGTTCGGTGCAGAATACTTCAATTTTCTGGATTTGATCCAAGTGTAATTGTAGTTCCTTTAAATCAGCTCGAAGTTCAAGCTGCCTTTCAACATTCTGTACTGTGGCAAATTCACTTGGCTGATTTTATTGGTGTTATTGACGATCATTATCCAAAAAAACAAATTGTTTGATTTTATAAAAATAACGTCTTGGGTGGTTCCTCGATTAACCAAAAATCAACCCATTCCTGAGGCCGTTACAGTATTCACTGATGGCTCTGGTAATGGCAATGCTGGCTATACAGGTCCTGCAGACAAACTTCTTTCTACCTCTTATACTTCTCTTCAAAATGCGGAGTTAATTGCTGTGATTACTGTCTTACAGGATTTCCCCAAACCTTTAAATATTGTCTCTTATTCTACTTAACGTGGGGAAGAGGATATGCTTGTGTTTCACCAGGAGATCATCAATCCCCTGTCTGGGTGCCCACCAGAAGACTCAAGCTTCTTGTGAATACTGACAATCAAAACCACAGTGAAGAGACGTCTGTGTCAGAGACTGCCTTCAGATGTGGTGAGATCTGTGCCGACTCCTCAGAAACAGGCACACCAAATCACAATGGGTGTAAATCAATCCTCCCTGATGACAGTGGAGACCCATCTAACTAATCACACTTATCCTGATTACCTTTCTTTTTCTCCTTACAAACCTAAATATCTCACCATTTCTATTAGCCTGAAAATAACATCCCACTCTTCTTCTCTTTCTCCTTCAGCACTCCATCTCGCTTACACTAGGTTTTATTTAATGATTCTCCTCCTTATACTTTCTGTCTCACCAGTTTCCTCTCACACTGATTTACCTGCTACACATAATTATTCTTCTTGGGCTTAGGTGTCTTTTCCTCCACTTATTCGCTCTCTCACCCGGATAGATGCTCCCGCAGAAATCTACACTAACGATAGTGTGTGGATGCCTGGAGCCATAGACGACCCTTGCCTCGCACAACCAGGAGAAGAAGGCACTGCATTTAATGTTACCATGGGTTATAAATACCCACCTCTGTGCCTCGGACATGCACCTGGTTGCATCCATCTAGAAACTCAGTTCTGGGCTGCTTATCTTTCAGAAACATCAGCTACAGATAAAATGGGACATTTGGCCTCTGGCCTCTCCCTTTCTCCTTTACAACAAATGAAAGGAGGAGTAATGGGAGGTACCCCATACTTTCAATATAAACCTGCAGGAAAACCATGCCCTAAACATTTTGAGGGACCATCTAAAACTTTAATTTGGGAAGATTGTGTTAACTCACATGCAGTAATATTAAAAAATGACTCATATGGTTTAGTAATAGACTGGGCACCATAGGGCTATTTAAAAAACAATTGCTCCTCTGTGGAAGGGAATGCCTGGAGGCTACTTATTTTATTTCTTATCAGGAGAAAGAGAATCATCATTCAAGGATCAGCTCATTCTTTCCCTTAAAATGGGAAGATAAAGGCATTACCCCCGCCCCCACCAGGCATCCTATGATACTCCCTATTCTGAGCCCAGAACACCCAGAACTTTGGAAATTGGCTATTGCCATGGCTGGACTGCGAGTATGGGAAGGAAAAACTATTTTGACTGTTGTTCCCACTACCGTCCCACTCTCTCAGTATCAACGTAGACCCAGATATTCTGCTTTACTTACCTCCAACCTGACTGTTCCCATACAGAGTTGTGTTAAGCCTCCTTACATGATATTGGTAGGAAATATCAAAATTTGGATGAATAATCAAATTGTCCAATGCATCAGTTGTCATCTATACACTTGTATTAACTCCCACTTTGACTCCAGGAAAAGTGTAATGTTGGTTTGAGCTCGAGAAGGAATCTGGATTCCGATAACTTTACCTAGACCTTGGGAATCCTCCCCCTCAATACATTTAATTAATGAATTGGTACAACGAATTCTAAAAGAACCTAAGATATTTGTTTTCACTTTAATCGCTGTTATCATGGGCCTAATTACAGTCACTGCAATGGCCACCACTGCTGGAATGGCATTACACCAGTCTATTCAAACGGCTCATTTTGTTAATGATTGGCAAGCCAATTCCACCCAAATGTGGAATTCTCAACAAGGCATCGATCAAAAATTGGCAAATCAAATTAATGATTTAAGACAGTCTGTTATTTGGCTTGGAGATCGGGTAGTGAGTCTAGAACATCGCATGCAAATGCAGTGCGATTGGAATACTTTGGATTTCTGCATCACCCCTATTCCTACAACGAGACTGATCATTCATGGGAAATGGTCAAAGGACATCTTCTAGGTAGAAAATATAATTTATCATTGAAAACAACTAAATTAAAAAAAAAAACAAATTTTTGAAGCCTCCCAAGCTCACTTATCCATCGTGCCTGGAGCTCAGGCGTTAGATCAGGTGGCAGAAAATCTTTATGGATTAAACCCCAGAACTTGGATTAAGTCTATTGGGGGCTCCACTGTAGTAAATTCTGGAATTATGTTTCTCTGCTTCATCGGCTTGCTTTTAGTGTGCCGTACCAGTCAAATAATCCTGTGTCAAAATCGAGAGAATGAACAAGCCTTCATCGCCATGGCACATTTATATAAAAAGAAAGGGAGAGATGTTGCGGGAAGTCGGGACCCCAAACAGAGGGACCGGCTGAAGCCATGACAGAAGAACGTGGATTATGAAGATTTTATGGACATTTATTAGTTCCCCAAATTAATACTTTTGTAATTTCTTATGCCTGTCTTTACTGCAATCTCTAAACATAAATTGTGAAGATTTCATGGACACTTATCACTTCCCCAATCAATACCCTTGTGATTTCCTATGCCTGTCATTACTTTAATCTCTTAATCCTGTCAGTCGAGAAGGATGTATATCGTCTCAGGACCTGTAATAATTGCGTTAAGTACACAAATTGTACATCATGTGTGTTTGAGCAATATGAAATGTGGGCACCCTGAAAAAAGAACAGGATAACAGCAATTGTTCAGGGAATTAGAGAGATAACCTTAAACTCTGACCGCTGGTGAGCCAGGCAGAACAGAACCATATTTCTCTTCTTTCAAAAGCAAATGGGAGAAATATCGCTGAATTCCTTTTCTCAGCATGGAACGTCCCTGAGAAAGAGAATGCGCACCTAGGGGTAGGTCTCTGAACTGGCCCCCCGGGGCTTACCTGTCACTTATGGTCGAGATTGCAGAGGTGAAATAAACTCCAGTCTCCCACAGCACTCCCAGGCTTATTAGGAAGAGAAAATTCCCGCCTAATAAACTTTGGTCAGACCGGTTGATCTCAAAACCCTGTCTCCTCATAAGATGTTATCAATGACAATGGTGCCAAAACTTTATTAGCAATTTTAATTTCACTTCCATCCTGTGGTCCTGTGATCTCACCCTGTCTCCACTTGCCTTGTGATATTCTATTACCCTGTTAAGTACTTGATGTCTGTCACCCACTCCTATTCATATACTCTCTCCCCTTTTGAAACTCCCTAATGAAAACTTGCTGGTTTTTGTGGCTTGTGGGGCATCACGGATCCTACCAATGTGTGTTGTCTCCCCCGGATACCCAACTTTAAAATTTCTCTCTTTTGTACTCTGTCCTTTTATTTCTCAAGCCAGTCGACGCTTAGGAAAATAGAAAAGAACCTACCTGATTATCAGGGCAGGTCCCCCGATAGTGTTGGGTGGTGGTAATGCAATGATGAAGATGGCAGGCATGCCTCTGCCCTCCAGGAGTTTCTAGGATACAGAGGGGGACAAACAAAAAATAAGTAAATCTATGAAAGAAGTATAGGTGGAAACTGCCCCCAATATTTCAATGTAGGTTCTTTCTGTTTTCCATAAGTGTCAGCCAGCTGAGAAATAAAGAGAGACACTACAAAGAGGAATTTTACAGCTGGGCTGCTGCGGGTGACATTACACATCAGTAGGACCGTGATGCCCCCTGAGTCTCAGATGAGCAAGTTTTTATTAAGGGCTTCAAAAAATGCATTCCTTTCCCAGGGTATTACTATTAATATTCCTTGCTAGGAAAAGAATTTAGCGATCTCTCTCCTACTTGCACATCCGTTTATAGACTCTCTGCAAGAAGAAACATATGGCTCTTTTTGCCCAACCCTGCAGGCAGGCAGACCTTATGGTTGTCTTCCTTTGTTCCCTAAAAATTGTCGTTATTCTCTTCTTTTTCAAGGTGCACTGATTTCATATTGTTGAAACACACATGTTTTACAATCAATTTGTACAGTTAACACAATTATCACAGTGGTCCTGAGGTGATGTACATCCTTAGCTTATGAATATAACAGAATTAAGAGATTAAAGACAGGCATAAGAAATTATAAAAGTATTATTTGGGAACTGATAAATGTCCATGAAATCTTCACCATTTATGTTCCTCTGCCATGGCTCCAGCCAGTCCCTCTCCATTTGGGGTCCCTGACTTCCCACAACAAGAAACAATAAGAGGTTAAGGTGGAGAAGAGCAGGCAAGTCCACTTTATAAAGGGGTCAGGGAAGAGCTGTCTGTGGAAGCACCATTTTAGCTGACACCTGAAGGATGGTCTAATTTGGGGAGGTGCAGGGAAAATCATTCCAGGCTGAAGCAGCAAGTGCAAAGGCCGTGTTGTGGAAAAAGGTTTGAAAGTCCAAGAAAACAAAAGGAGGCCATAGTGGCTGAAATAGAGTAGGCCAAGGGCAGGAGATAGTAGAGGGCTGGAGAGGTGGCAGGAACAGGCAGAAGACTCGGGGTCTCGATTTTATTCTATGTACCATGGGCAGGAAAGGCAGGGATGAGACTCAATGGAAGCCTTAAGATCACTGAAGCTGCCAGGTAGGAAATGGATTGCTGAGCATGGAGAGCAGGTGCAGAGTACCAGTTAAGACCAGTTAGGAGGCTGCTGTAGCCCAGCTGAGATAGTGGTGTCCTAGGCAAAGATAATGACAGTGAAGCTACAGAGAGTGGACAAGTTGGATAAAGTTTAGAATCACAGGACTTGCTGACTGCAGAAGAGGGCAAAAGCAGAGTTAGCACAACACATGAGTTATGACCACCTTGAGCAGCTCAGCAGGGGGTGGTGCCATTTACAGAACAGAGATGGCATGGACAGAGCCCATGGAGAAGGAGGAGGAAAAAGAGAGTTTGGCTTTGTTTTTTTTTTTTTTTAAGACAGGGTCTCTGGCTGTGTCACCCAGGCTGGAGTGCATTGGTGCAATCATAACTCTTTGCAGCCTCAAACTCCTGGGCTCAAGTGATCCTCCTGCCTCAGCGTGCCATGTAGCAGGACTACAGATCCTACAGATGCACATCACCATGCCTAGCTTTTTTTTTTTTTTTTTTTTTTTTTTTTTTTTTTTGTAGATAGGGAGTCTCACTGTGTTTTCCAGGCTGGCTTCCAACTCCTGGCCTCAAGTAATCCTCCCACCTCTGCCTCCCATAGCACTGGGATTACAGCCATCACCTACCACTCCAAGCCATGAGTTTGGCTTTGGATGTAACAAGGTTGAGGTGTTCATGAGTTGACAAGTGGAAAAAACAAGAAAGAAGTTGAGTGTTAAAACTGCTGTTTGAAGGAGAATTCTAGCCTCAAGACAAAAGTTCAGGACTCATTAGCTGAGAAATGGCACTGAAAATTATGTAAATGGATGAGCTCAGCTAGCAAACCAGTCCAGAGAGAGCAGCACTGGGCTATACATCTGGCCTAATGCCGCCCTGCTCCTCCCAATCCCTGTGTTATGCTGGAGAGGGTTCAGCCTCTGGTGAGTTTCACCAAACCCCCACATCTCTTTCTTCTGAGACCTTCTCTAAAATCCCCTCTTTTATACTTAGTGAAATGGGATTCTCTTTTTCCCATCCAGCTTAAGCACAAACTTTTGACTATGAGAAGAATGAGGATGCATTTAGTATCTGTTCTGCATGGCTAATTCCATCAAAGATTTCTCATTATTCATGCCTGGCAGTCTCATTTTCTTCTTTTGCCTCTAAGAGCACAGTCGTAGCCATAATTACTGACATTTTCACTCTTCTAATACCAGCTATTTCCCGCATCTCAGTTCTCAGGAAGTTCTGTTCACAGAATTATCTCCTGAATCCTCACCTGGAGATAGAAATTGTTCTCTGTGACCATTTCTTCCCCCTCTAATTCTTATCAAAAAACTCAGTGATCTCTGTGCATCAGATATTAAACTCAAGCTCAACAGATCATGATTCTGGCTTGTCTCTCTCTCCTGCCTGTGGGTTAACAGGTATGCAACCTTTGCAGAGGAGACACCAAATTCTCAGGAGGCCAGAGTTTCCAAAGGTACTGGTCACTCTTGCTCTCTTTCTCCTGCTCAGAATTCAGCACTAGAGAGTGTTACACCATTGCACCTGCAGAGGAGTTCATCTGACTCTAGGGACTACAGAGGAGAGAGATGGACAAACTAACAGGCATTCAGAAAATGACTACCACAATGGGGAAGAAAATGAAAGTCAAACCAAATAAGCAATGGTCAACAAAAAAAAAAATCTAGAGGGCAGCTGCAGTGGCTCACACGTGTAATCTCAGCACTTTGGGAGGCCGAGGCAGGTGGATCACTTGAGATCAGGAGTTCGAGACCAGCCAGGGCAACATAGTGAAACCACATCTCTACTAAAAATACAATAATTAGCCAGGTGTGGTGGCGGGCACCTGTAATCCCAGCATTTTGGGAGGCTGAGGTGGGTGGATCACCTGATGTCAGGAGTTTGAGACCAGCCTGGCCAACATGGTGAAACCCTATTTCTATTAAAAAATACAAAAATTAGCCAGGTGTGGTGGCAGGTGCCTGTAATCCCAGCTACTTGGGAGGCTGAGGCAGGAGAATTGCTTGAACCCAGGAGGCAGAGGTTCTGGCGAGCAAAGATTGCACCACTGCACTCCAGCCTGGGCAACAGTGAGACTTCGTCTCAAAAAAAAAAAAAAAAAAAAAAAAAAAAAACAACCTAGAGATGTCCATCCAGGCTGGACAGAATATTCCAGAGCAGAGATTGGGACACTATGGCCTATGGGCCAAATCTGACCTGCTTGCACATGTGTTTGTCAATAAAGTTTTATTGAAACACAGCCATGCACATTTGCTACATATTGTCTACGGCTGCTGGATTTGGCTGTTCTCATGGTATAAAGAAATACCTGAGACTGGGTAATATATAAAGAAAAGAGGTTTAATTGGCTCGCAGTTTTGTAGGCTATACAGGGAGCATGACACTGACATCTGCTGAGCTTCTGTGGAGGCCTCAGGAAACTTACAATGATGGCAGAAAGTGAAGCGGGAGCAAGAGAGTAAGGAGGGAGGTGCGACACACTCGTAAACAACCCGATCTTGCAAGAACTCACTCACTATTGCAAGGACAGGACCAAAAGGATGATGCAAAATCATTCATGAGAAATCCACCCCCATGATTCAATCTCTTCCCACCAGGCCCCACCTCTAACACTGGGGACAGCTTTTATCTTGGCTTTTTCACTGGCAGCCCCTTCCTCAAGGACTTAACTTGTGTAAGCTGACTCTTAGCAGATCTAAGAATGCAATTAACTGATAAGATACTGTGGGGCGAGCAATATCCACAGTTCCCAGGAATTTGTCCAATTGATAATGCCTAAAGCCCCACGTCTATCACTTTGTAATAGTCTTAAAGCCCTTAGACCTAGAACTCTTTACTTTCCTGTATCAATTTATCCTTTTAACTTTTTTGCCTACTTCTGTAAAATTCTTTTAACTAGACCTGTTTCCCCTTTCTAAACTGAAGTATAAAAGAAAATCTAGCCCCTTCTTCGGGGCCAAGAAAACGTTAAGAGTTAGCCATTTCTTAGGCACCAGCTAAATAAGGAGACTCTTAATTCATGTGAAAGTGTGGCATTTTCTCCAACTCATTCAAGTACAACATTTGGAGGCCCCAGCGAGAAACGCCATGAGGAGAGAGCCGGGCTCCCCCAGAAGGACGGCCGGCTTGTGGGGGGTGCCACCTAAAAAAAAACCTTCAGGTCCTCGAAAAGTGACCGTCTTCCAGAGGAGAGCGGATCGACTACCCGGTGGGTGCCCATAAAAATTCCACCTCTGAGTCCTCGACTTCTGACCCTGAGGTCACGTAGGTCAGATTTGACTTCAGTTCTAGGAAGAGGGAAGCGGCCCTGATGAGGGTGTCCCTCTTTCGACTCTGCATGTTTCTCTAGGACGCTAGAAGGTAGAGCCCTGGTTTTCTGTTAGGCACCTCTGTGTCTCTTTCTAGGAGGGAAGTGGCCCTGACAGGGGCCCTCCCTTGACTCAGTCCACATCCCAGGAAGCTGGAGGACTGAGTCCTGGTTTCCGGCAGACCGGTCACTCTCTCTCTCTCTGTTTCTATCTCTCATCTTTCTCTTGTTCAAGTTTCTTGAAGAATCTCCAAGAAAGAAAAAAAAAAAACTGTTATATACTCTGTGTGAATAATGAATGAGTGAGGGAGGACAAGGGCTCGCGCTTGTCCTCCAGTTTGTAGCTCCACGGCGAAAGCTACGGAGTTCAAGTAGGCCCTCACCTCACCTGCGGTTCTGTGGCGACCCCATAAGGCTTAAGGCAGCATCAGGCATAGCTTGATCTGAGCCGGAAGTTTATACCGGCCTGCCAATGCTAAGAGGAGCCCAAGTCCCCTCAGGGGGAGGGGCCAGGCAGTTATCTGACTGATCCTATCACAGGAAACCCTCCCCTTGTCTGTCTAAAAAAAAAAAAAAAAAAAAAAAAAAAGGAAGAAACTGTCGTAACTGTTTACATGCACTAAAGTCAATTGTTTGTTTTATATTGATTGTTCTGCTCAGTGTCTATTGTCTTGTTAGTAGTTGTCAGAGTTTTGCATGTCAAGACGTTGATATTGCCAAGACGTCTAAGTAAAAACTTCTTCAAAGCCCTTAGTGCTGATTTTTTGTCACAGGAGGTTAAATTTCTCATCAATCTTTTAGGCTGGCGACCACAGTCCTGTCTTTTCTGCCAGAAGCAAGTCAAGTGTTGTTACAAGAACAAGTGTGAAAAACATTTGCCTGATTAAGATTTCTAGCACTATGAAAGTTGTAAGTATTTAGATCGTCATACTCCACGTCCAGGTGATTAGACCTCCTCTAAACTAAACCAGTAGTGAGTTCAAAACAGCCACCCTGCAAATTTCCTTGCTCACCTCTCTCGTCATTCTGTAACTTTTCCTGTGCCCTTAAGTAGAACACTGTGTAAAGAAATGTACGCCCGTACTGCTTTACTTCATTTAGATTCTTACTCTGTTCCTCTGTGGCTACTGTCCCATCTTAAAAATGATCCGAGTAGTCCTTTTCTGCCTTGTCCCTGCCCCCTATCCCGCACATCTCGTTTTACGGTGCGACAGCAAGTTTACCATCTCCAGGACTTGGCTCTGCTCTCACTCCTTAAACCCTTAAAACAAAAAGCTAAGTTTAAGCTATTTGCATTTAAGTCATAAAGACACCAAAAATATTTAAAGTGCAGATCTAGAAGAAGAAGAAGAACGCCTAGATCAAACTGACCCAGAAGATCTCAGGCTGGCTCTAGTCCTCCTCCCTCAATCTTAAAGCTACAGCAATGTAGCAAGTAGTATTAGCTGTTGTAAGTTTTTCTGCTCTCTCTGGTCATACTGATTCTGTTCTTTCACTATGCCAGTCCCCCAAGAAATAAGTTTCTCTGTCCATGCTAAGTTTAATATCTATGCTCAAATCTTATTAAATTGCCTTCAAAAAAAATAAAAATAAGAAACACTTCCTCCCAGCCTTGTAAAGTTAAAGCCCTCTCCAATGTATGCTGCAGAATTTTTCTCTCAGTTCAGAGGATTATAAAGTCCGCCTAAAAAAGGCAAGTTCCAGACACTCTGCAAAATAAAATGGCCAAAGTTTAAAGTCAAGTGGCCCCCTGAAGGGTCATTGAACCTCACAATTGTTCAAGCTGTGTGGCAGGTTGTTACTGAAACTCCTAGTCACCCTGATCAGTTTCCCTACATTAGCTACGTTTAGTCAGGATCCACTCTCCATGGCTCCGTTCATGCGCCATTCATAATTCTACCTCCAAGGTCCTCCTAAGCCAGACCGCGTTTTCGCCTCAACCCTCAGTCGGTTCAGCTTCCCCTGTACTGCCTCCCTCTGAAGAAGAGGAGAGTCCCCCTCACCCAATCCCACCGCCTTACAACCAACCTTCTCCCTTAAAGTTATCCCATGTCTCCTCGACGACGTCCCCTGTAGGCTCGCCACCCATTGCCTCTCAGTCATGACCGTGGCAGGAAGAAGTAGTCCCTCTACTACCACTGAGAGAGGCACAAGTCCCTCCAGGTGACGAGCGCTCAGCACCCTTCTTAGTTTGTGTCCCTTTTTCTACTTCTGACTTATATAATTAGAAAACCCATAATCCTCCCTTCTCTGAAAAGCCCCAGGCTTTGACCTCTCTGACAGAGTCTGTACTCCGGACCCGCCCGCCCACCTAAGATGATTGCCAACAGCTCCTTTTAACCCTTTTCACCTCTGAAAAGAAGGAACGTATCCAAAAAGAAGCCAAAAAGTACTTCCTCACATCAGCCAACGGACCGGAAGAAGAAGCTAGAGACCTCCTTGAGGATGTCTTTCCCTCTACCCAGCCTAACCAGGACCCACATTCCTCAAGTAGAAAGGGAGCTTTAGACGATTTTCACCGGTATCTCCTCGCAAGTATTAAAAGAGCCTCTCAGAAACCCATCAACTTGTCTAAGACGACCGACGTTGTCCAAAAGCCCGATAAGTCACCAAGAACGTTTTAGAGCGCCTCCAGGAGGCTTATCGGATTTACACCCCTTTTGACCCGGCAGCTCCCGAAAATAGCCTTGCTCTTAATTTAGCATCTGTGGCTCAGGCAGCCCAGGATATTAAAAAGAAACTCCAAAAACTAAAGATTTTCTAGAATAAATATCAGTCAGCTTTTAGAAATAGCCCAAAAAGTTTTTGATAATCAAAAGCTTAAAAAACAAAAGCAACACAGGCAACTGGAAAGGCCGCTGATAAAGCATTCAGAAGACAAACAAAAATCTTAGTGGCAGCCATCCAAGAAGTACAGAATGAAGTAGCCCGTTAATTTAGCATTAACTGAAGCCCCTGCTTTAGCCCTCCCTAATATCTCCATAAAAGCCAAGGAGTTGCTAAAGACGTGCTTACTCAGACTTTAAGACCCTAAAGCCGCCCAGTGGCCTATTTGTCTAAGAGGCTAGATCCTGTGGCCTCTAGATGGCCAAGTTGTCTTCGAGCCTTAGCGGCTACAGCAAGCCTGGCCCAAGAAGATGATAAGTTAACTCTAAGCCAAAATTTAACCCTTACAGCTCCTCACGCCGTAAAGACCTTACTACAAAATGCTTCTGGCAAATAGATGTCAAATGCTCGCATCTTGCGGTATCAAAGTTTACTGTTAGATCAGCCTCGTTTGACTTTCTCTCCCACAAAGTGTTTCAATCCAGCTACACTACTTCCTGACTCAGACTCCACTATTCCTGCTCATGACTGTCAAGAACTGTTAGAAACTATCGAAACTGGCCTATCTGATCTTCAAGCTGTGCCCCTAGAAAAGGCAGATGCCGCCGTGTTCACAGACGGTAGCAGCTTCCTCAAGCAGGAAATATGAAGAGCCAGTGCAGCTGTTACCACGGAGACACATTTGTTGTAAGCTCAAGCTTTACCAGCGAACACCTCAGCACAAAAGGCTGAATTGATCGCCCTCACTCAGGCTCTCCAATAAAGTAAGAATAAACTTATTAACATTTACACTGACAGCAAGTACGCCTTTGCTGCTGTGCATGTACATAAAGCCATCTACCAGGAAAGCAGGCTACTCACCTCAGCAGGTAGCTGTGATCCACCGCAAAGGACATCAAAAAGAAAACACGGCCGTGGCCCATAGTAACCAGAAAGCTGATTCAGCAGCTCAGGTCGCAGCAAGACTTTCAGTCACGCCTCTAAACTTGCTGCCCACAGTCTCCTTTCCACAGCCAGATCTGCCTGACAATCCCGTATACTCAACAACAACAACAACTGGCTTCGGATCTCAGAGCCAATAAAAATCAGGAAAGTTAGTAGATTCTTCCTGACTCTAGAATCTTCATACCCTGAACTCTTAAACAAACTTTAACCAGTTACGTACAGTCTATCACCCATTTAAGAAGAGCAAAGCTACCTCAGCTCCTCCAGAGCCATTTTAAGATCCCCGGTCTTCAAAGCCTAAAGATTAAGCAGCTCTCCAGTGCACAACCTGAGCCCAAGTAAATGCCAAACAAAGTCCTAAACCCAGCCCAGGCCACTGTCTCTGGAAAAAGTCGCCAAGAAAAAAGTAAGAAATTGACTTTACAGAAGTCAAACCACACCAGGCTAAGTACAAATACCTTCTAGTACTAGTAGACACCTTCTCCAGATAGACTAAGGCATTTGCTACCGAAAACGAAACCACCAACATAGTAGTTAAGTTTTTACTCAATGAAATCATCCGTCAATATAGGCTGCCTGCTGCCATAAAGTCTGATAATAGAGCAGCCTTCACCTCGCCTATAGCTCAGTCAGTCAGTAAGGCGTTAAACATTCAACAGAAACTCCATTGTGTCTATCAACCCCAGAGCTCCAGGCAAGTAGAACGCATGAACCACACCCTAAAAAACACTCTTATAAAATTAATCTTAAAAAAACAGTGTAAATTAAGTAAGTCTCCTTCCTTTAGCCCTACTTAAATTAAGGTGCACCTCTTACCAGGCTAATTTCTCACCTTTTGAAATTATGTATAATAAGGCACCGCCTATCTTGCCTAAGCTAAGAGATGCCAAATTAGCAGAAATATCACAAACTAATTTATTACAGTACCTATAGTCTCTCCAACAGGTACAAGATATTATCCTGCCACTTGTTCCAGGAGCCCATCCCAATCCAATTCCTGACCAAAGTCCTGCCATTCGTTCCAGCCAGGAGACCTAGTGTTGTTAAAAAGTTCCAAAAAGAAAGACTCACTCCTGCTTAGAAAAGACCTCACAACGTCATCTTCACGACTCCAATGGCTCTGAAAGTAGATGGCATTCCTGCTTACATTCATCACTCCCGCATCAAAAAGGCCAACAGAGTCCAACTAAAAACATAAGTCCCCAAGCCTAAGTCAGGCCCCTTAAAACTGCACCTAAGTCAGGTGAAGCCATTAGATTCATTCTTTTTATCTACCTCACTCACTTGTTTTTGCCCGTTACATCCTCTGTGCCTTCCTACTCCTTTCTCCTCACCTCTTTCACAACAGGACTTGTACTTGCAAACACCACTTAGAAGGCCAGTACCTCCAAGGAAGTGTCCTTTGCAGTTGACTTATTTGTACTCTTCCCAAAGCCAGCCCATACCCACGAAAAGCAACACAATCTGCCAGTTCCAGGAGCAGGAAGTGTCGACTTTGCAGCAAGACTCAGACACTCCAAGAGCCAAACTAAATGTAGAAGCTCCAAAAGTGCAGAAAAAAGACTCCAAAATATTTACTTTTACCTCTGTCCTAGAAATCACCCTGATGCTAGCTGTCAAGATACTTATCAGTTTTCCTGTCTTGATTAGACATGTGTAACTTTAGCCACCTGCTCTAAAAGATCAACCAGATCTTCAACTCTTTCCATAAGTCCTGCTTCTCATCCTAAATTATATACTAGAAGAAATTGTAATCCTCTTACTATAACTGTCCATGACCTTAATTCAACACAACAGTATCATGGCATGTCATGAAGATTAAGATTTTATATCCCAGGATTTAATGTTAAGTCTATGTTCACCATCCAAAAAAAACCTAGTCTCATAAAGCCTACCCAAGCCAATCAGGCCTTTAACTGATCTAAGTAACCCTATGTTCCAGAAACACCCTGAGAAAGTTGATTCAACTGTTCCTCCACCATTCTTAGGCATAAAAGATACACTCCAGAAAGTGCAAGAAAATCTAGATAAGCGCCAACAAGAACAAGAAAATAACATCCCCTAGTATCAAAGCATGTTCAACTAGAACCCAGAGCTAACTATTCTAATTACTCAGTTAGCCAGACCCCCTCCCCATCCTACTATTAAGTTTAATTTTTGGACCTTGTATATTAAATTAGTTTATTAATTTTGTAAAACAACGTATACCTTCTGTCAAACTTATGTATCTTAAGACTCAAAATAACCCCCTCGTTATAACTGAAGAATCAACGATTTGATTCCCCAAAAATACAAGTGAGGAATGTAATGCCCAACCTTGTTTTTACTAACCCTGTTCTTAGACTCTCCCTTTCTTTTAATCACCTAGCCTTGTTTCCACCTGAATTGACTCTCCCTTAGCTAAGAGAGGCAGACAGACTCCATCTTGGCTCTTTCACTGACAGCCCCTTCCTCAAGGACTTAACTTGTGCAAGCTGACGCCCAGCACATCGAAGAATGCAATTAACTGATAAGATACTGTGGTGAGCAATATCCGCAGTTCCCAGGAATTCGTCCAATTGATAACGCCCAAAGCCCCGCGTCTATCACCTCATAATAGTCTTAAAGCCCCTAGACCTAGAGCTGTTTACTTTCCTGCAACAATTTATCCTTTTAACTTTTTTGCCTACTTCTGTAAAATTGTTTTAACTAGACCCCCCTCCCCTTTCTAAACGAAAGTATAAAAGAAAATCTAGCCCCTTCTTCGAGGCCGAGAGAACTTTAAACGTTAGCCATTTCTTAGCCGCCAGCTAAATGAACAGACTCTTAATTCGTCTTAAAGTGTGGCATTTTCTCTAGCTCGTTCAAGTACAACACATCCAGCAGGCACGTAATCCACTCTAAAATGCCATCCTGGGGTAGTGAAGATGATGATGCTGGAAATATCCTTAAATGGCATGTGGATGTGTACCCCCAGAGGCATACATGTTGAGCTAAGTACTTTGCTGATGAAGGGTACAAGTTGAAGGGGTTTTGAAAGGCAGAGTGAGGTTCTTCAGAAGGCTGTTGCTACAGAAAGACAGGAGGAGAAATTACATGGCCAGATAGAGTGGCATGACCATTGGATAAGGGCTTTTTGTTTGTTGGTTTTTGAGATGGAGTTTTACTCTTGTTGCCCAGGCTGGAGTGCAATAGCACGATCTCAGCTCACCGCAACATACGCCTCCCAGGTTCAAGCGATTCTCCTGCCTCAGCCTCTCTAGTAGCTGGAATTACAGGCATGTACCACCACTCCCGGCTAATTGTGTATTTTTTGTAGAGATGGGGTTTGTCCATGTTGGTCAGGCTGGTCTTGAACTCCCGACCTCAGGTGATCCACCCGCCTTGGCCTCCCAAATTGCTGGGATTACAGGCGTGAGTCACCGTGCCCAGTCTGGATGAGGGTCTTTAGCAAAGATGGAAGTTTTGGTACCTTGCAGTTTAGTCTCTTCATTTATGTCCTCCTGAAATCTTCAGGAATTGCACTATTTTGTCAATACTTCTGGGGTCGTACTTAGGGGGACTTAAAGGAGATGTGATGTGGCAGCCTTTGACTCAAGGGAGTATCATACTAGCTCAAAGAGATCTGGGTACATGCCAGTTGAACCAACTCTTCTGAGGATGTGATAGATCCTGGGAGGCCACTCTGATCCTGCCAACGTTGAGGCCAGATGAGTCTTTGAAAAACATGGTTTGGCTTAACACCAGCACTTACTCTAACACCCACCATGAATCTTGCTGAACTGAAGCTATACAAATACCTTTTCAAAAGATTTTTTTTCATTCAAGATCCTTCTTAGAAATTCCTAAGGCTCAATGCTTTGTGGAAGATTCTGAGAAAGAAAATAGTTTCCGATCTTTGGGATTCCCGAGATGGTCCAATCTGCAAAAAGTTCATTGCCATTTCCATCAAGGACACTGAGAACAAGAGTCTTATCTGGATTGGATCCTGGGAATTGAGAAGCTTCAGCAGGTGGGAAATGCACCCTCCACAGGCTCACACCCTTGTGGGCTGTTTCAGTTACCTATTGCACCTAAAATTAGAAACTTTAAACCACCAGAAGCCATTATTGCTCATGACCCTGTGAGTTGCATGGGGACTTCCTGGCTGGTTTAACCTGGGCTCATTTGTGTGGCTACCTGCAGCTGGAGGGCCAGCTGGGCGGAGCATCCAGGATGGCCTCATGCATGTGCCTGGCAGTTGGTGCTGGTTGTCAGCCGGGGAACCTTGTTTTCCTCCATGTGGCCCCTCGCCCTCCAGAGCCCCTCTCCAAATGTCCCTTTAAGCAGGATAGCCAAGGTTTGCTTGGTGCCAGCATCCAAGAGGGCAAAAATATGGAAACTACGAGAGGGCTCTCAAGGCCTAAGACTATTTGCACCCCAAAAATATGAGGTCTCAGTTAATTCAGAAAGTTTATTTTGCCAAGGTTAAGGACTCACGCCTGTGACACAGCCTCGGGAGGTCCTGACAACATGGGCCTAAGGTGGTGGGGACACAGCTTGGTTTGATACATTTTAGAGAGACATGAGACATCAATCAATATGTGTAAGATGTACATTGTTTCAGTCTGGAAAGGCGGGACAACTCCAGGTGAAAGTGAAGGTGAGACAAGGGGAAGGGGCTTCCAGGTCATTGGTAGTTAAGAGACAAATGGTTGCATTGTTTTGAGTTCCTGATTAGCCTCTCCAAATGAGGCAATCAGATATACATTCATCTCAGTAAGCAAAGGGTTAACTGAATAGAATGGGAGGCAGGTTTCCCTTAAGCAGTTCCCAGCTTGACTTTTCTCTTTAGCTTAGTAACTTTTTTTTGGGTGGGCGGACAGAGTCTCGCTCTGTTGTGCAGGCTGGAGTGCAGTGGTACGATCTCGGCTTATTGCAACCTCCAACTCCAGGGTTCAAGAAGTTTCCCTGCCTCAGCATCCCAAGTAGCTGGGATTACAGGCGCCTGCCACCACGCCTGGCTAATTTTCATATATTTTAGTAGAGATGGGGTTTTGTCATGTTGGCCAGGCTGGTCTTGAACTCCTGACCTCAGGTGATCTGCCCACCTCAGCTTCCCAAAGTGCTGGGATTACAGGCGTGAGCCACGGAGCCCAGCCTAGCTTAGTGATCTTGGGGCCCCAAGGTTTATTTTCCTTTTACGGCTAGAAGTTGGTCACCATCAATTTGGCAGCATTCCACTGACCAAAGCAAGTCATAGGCAGCCCAGATTCATGTAGAGGAGTATAAATTTTCCCTCTTTAAGGAAAGATTGGTTCAATTATACTGCACGAACATTTGCAGAAAGTTGTACCCATCTTTGGAAACCACACACACACACACACACACACACACACACACACACACACACCCCTTTACATGCAACCCTCCCTTGAGGTGCATCTACTTCCAGGCAGAACCAAAACTTGACAGTACTCGACAGAAGAAAAGTAGCGTCCTAAATGCCAGTTCTCTTCTTACTCAACTTCAGCCTCATTATAAGCAGATTCTAACAGTTTATGTGTCTTGAGAAACATTTTAATTAATCTTTGGAATTTAAGAATTTCAATTCATAGCAGTAGCCTATGCATAGGAAATATGCATATTGTAAGTTTTTCCTTTCTGATAAATCACGCTGGGGGAACGACAATGTAACTTTTTTTTTTTTTTTTTTTGAGGAGTCTCACTCTGTTGCCCAGGCTGGAGGGCAGTGGCATGATCTCAGCTCATGCAACCTCCCCCTCCCTGGTTCAAGCAATTCTCCTGCCTCAGCCTCCTGAGTAGCTGGGATTACAGGTGCACAAGACGGGGTTTCACCATGTTGGTCAGGTTGGTCTCGAACTCCTGACCTCTGATCTGCCCACCTCAGCCTCTCAAAGTGCTGGGATTATAGGCGTGAGCCACCGGCTCACGTATACTGTGACAGTATATTGAAAGTTTCTCTTTTTTTCAAATAATTAACAGGTTTAACAGAATGTATCTCCTGATCTATTCCTTTCACTGCAGACATCTATTGCCTTTTCAGCCTAGCAGCCCTCCCCTCTATAGAGAGTCACACTTCCTACTCCAGTCATGTGGATCTCATGGGGGCTGCCATGTTCTCAAATGACTCCACCTCCCTGGCCTCAGTTGATTGGTCCAGGGATGAGCATCTGGCCTAAATTGGCCAATCAGAATTCTTCCCTTGAATATTTTTCCAAACTGGAACTAGACCAAGTTAATCATTCTCTGTGATGACAGGAATTGTGTGTAGTGAGAAATACAGGAGCTTTTGTGGACACGTTTCTCACCTTATGGAGAAAAGGCTTGAGTAAGAAGAAATTAAGCCAGTATGCAGACAAAGCTAGAGACAGAGATAGAGAGAGAGATCTTGTGGTAAGCCCCTTGGTTTTTGTCATTTTAGTACATGCTCGATACTGCATACAACCAAGACTTTCACCTGAGGGCTTTCTGAAAGTCAGGCATGGAGTATGTCAGAAAAGCCACAGAAGCTGGGCGCAGTGGCTCACTCCTGTAATCCCAACACTGGGAGGCCGAGGCAGGTGGATCACGAGGTCAGGAGTTAGAGACCAGCCTGACCAACGTGGCAAAACCCCGTCTCTACAAAAAATAAAAAAATTAGCCGGGCATGGTGGCAGGCGCCTGTAATCCCAGCTACTGAGGAAGCCGAGGCAAGAGAATCGTTTGAACCTGGGAGGCAGATGTTGCAGTGAGCCGAGATCATGCCTTTGCAGTCCAGCCTGGGTGACAGAGCAAGACTATGTCTCAAAAAAAAAAAAAAAGAAGAAGAAGAAAGCAAAGCCAGAGAGTTGATGCCCTGGGACCAGTCCTCAGCCAGTGACGGATGGGAGCCAGGCTATAAATGCTTCAATATCTTTGCCCCCTGGATGGAACAACTTTGAAATGTATTCCACATCACCTCTCAGAGGTCCCCAGTGGGGTCAAATCCTAGTTGCCTAGAGTGGTAAGCTGCTCATTGAAGCCCCCTGTGTGGCCTCCTACCTTTCCATGAATCAATTCCTCACTCCCCTATTGGTGTCCCCTGGAATCATCTCCTAAATAATCCACTTGCAATCCTGTCCCTCTTTCAGGATCTGCTTGGGGTTGGGGTTGGGGAGTGCAGAGAAAAACATGATCCCTTTTCCACTCCACACTAGTAAGATGAGTTTCTGTCACTGACAACCAAGAGTTCTGACTATTACCTCCTTCTGAGATAATTCCTAAAATGTATTTGGGAATTTCCCCACCTCCACCCCACTGCATATGTCATCAATATGTAGATTTCTTAACAAAGTGGTATTCTTTGATCAACCTCAAGTTTCACAAAACACACTGCACTTTCATAAGGGCTCCCCAGGACTGACAGATCAGCCGTTCAAAAGAAGGGAAGTGTCAGAGATGGCTCTCCCAGACTCGCGTATTTTTCAGTAGAATCTGGGTCAGGATGTTGTGGTCGGGAGATGCTTCTGGATCTCTGGGACCCACAAGCCTGCGTGTCATGGTGGAGTATTAGGACAACTTGAAAACATAGTGGCAGGAGGAGGCTTCCTCTCTCCCCTGCAGTTCATCCTCCAGCACACCCAATGTGCTCAACAGATATTGGTTAAATGAATAATGGGGCCGGGCATGGTGGCTCACGCCTGTAATCCCAGCACTTTGGGAGGCTGAGGCAGGTGGATCACCTGAGGTCAGGAGTTCAAGACCAGCCTGGCCATAGAGGCAGGAGAAGCACTTGAACCTGGAAGGCGGAGTTTACAGCACGCTGAGATGGCACCACTGCACTCCAGCCTGGGTGACAGAGCAAGACTCAAAAAAAAAAAAAAAATGGATTTATTCCTTCCAAACTGAAACTCACCAAAAGAAGACCAACACGCATGACAATGTTGTGGCCATAATCACCACAGTGACAATAATAAATATAATCAACTCTCGAGCCAGCCACCTCCACTAAACCTAGTGGATCACATCTAGTGTTTCACTTTGGGGATATTTTAGTGGTCATCGTAGATTGTCGCCTGACTGCTGGCTGTTTCTACCATGTTTCAGGAATATAGAGATGTGTACAGATGGCCCCTAAAATTAATTAGTATGCAATTCTCAAAGAGCCAAACTGTACCCCAAAAGCTACTGGAATGAAAAAAAAAAAGTTTTAATTCTCAAAGAGACAAACTAGATAGTAGAAGCATTTATGTTCCCTTGGAGAATCTTCCCACCAAGGACTCAAAGTTGTCTCCAGACCAGGGAATGCCTGGGGCCTTGGACTTTCCCAATTCTGGTATCACCTCCCATTCTCCTTTAGGTCCAGCTTTCTCAGAGGGGCATGCATTGTTCATTGCCACCAAGGGTATCCAAGGACAGAAACTGAAGATAATAGTGCCTTATTGTCTCTCAGTCATCTTTCTCTCCCACATGCTGGAAAGAGAGCCAAGTCCAATTTATCCAATTACAAAATAGCAACATTGGCATCATGAGATCAGCTAACAAAACTTTCAGAGGCAATCTATCTTCCTACCAAAAGTAACAAACATCTGTGGAGCACTGACCATGACTAAGGGTCAACATAAGTGGTTTGCATGCTACATGCATCAGGATGGACTAGGTTATGCTGCAGTAACAAATTAACCCCAGAGTCTCAGCAGCTTAGCAACCAAGGTTGATTTCTTACATTCCATGTCCACAATGGGTTGGCTGGGTATGGTGTGCTCCATATGGCCACTCAAAGACCTAGAATGATGGAAATTCTACCATCTTAATGCAAGGATTCTCCCCTAGTTACTGCACCAGGAGATGAGAGAATGAGATAGTTATTTCCAAGCCCTCAAAAGCTGTAGACTAGAGGTGATGTCAGTGACTTCCACTTATAGAGCATTGGACCCTGGCATGGATCCATCTAACTACGGGGGTCTGGGGAATACAGGGAGCAGATGGAAATCCCATGAGCAGTAACCATTCCTGCCAGCATGCATTATTTCATCTGAACCTCACAACCCTATGGAATATATAACAGAGGCTTGGAGAGTTATGGGACCTGCCCCAAGGCATCATAGATAATGAGTTGCAGAGCTGAGATATGACCTTCGGCCTCCTCACCCACCTCCTCACCCACCCCCACCCCCACCGAAAGAATCAAACTACGCAAATAACTGGAATGAAATTCTCAGGCAATTTCAGCAGGGGAAATGGGGTTATCTCATCTGGGTCTCACATCCGACCTCGTCAAGACAAGACCTTCCCTACACTTCACCTGAACACCTGGACACACTGTCATGTCTTGCCAGTTCTTGTTACTGGAGATCCAATGATGATGTCTTTATACAATTTATAGGTCTTTCTATAAGTGTCAAGATAAATGTCATCTCTGTACCTGCCTATCTTTCAGAGGTAGGCAAGCTTCTATGTAAAGTGCTAGATAGTAAATATTATAAACTTTTCAGGACTCATCTGATCTCCATCCTATATATTTTTTTGTTTTTATTTTTGTTTTACAAATTTTTTTTTTCTTTTTAGATAGGGTCTAAAAAGAAAATAAAACTTATCCATGTTGTGATATGGATGAACGTTAGGGTTAGTGAAAGAAGCAGACATGAAAGGTCATATATTGTAGAATTCCATTTATATGCAATGTTCAGACTAAGCCAATCGACAGAGATAGAAAGTAGATGAGAGGTTTCCAACGGCTGCAGGAGGGAGTATGCAGAGTGACTGCTGAATGGATATGAGGCTTCCAACTGAGGTGTTGAAAAAGCCCTGAAACTAGGTAGTGGTGATAATTGCACAACATGATAGATGTACAAAATGTCCCTGAATTGTACACTTTCAGATGCACAAAATGATAAATGTTGCATATATTATGCCACAATTTTATTCATTTATTTTAGAGATAGAGTCTCACTCCGTCACCCAGGCTGCAGTGCAATGTCACAGTCATAGCTCACTGCTGCCTTTACCGCCTGGACTCAAGCAAGCCTCCCACCTAGTCTTCCAAGTAGCTGGGACTACAGGTGAACGCTACCACACCCAGCTTTTTAAATTTTTTTATAGAGTTGCATTCTCAGTATATTGCCCAGATTGGCCCAAACTCCTGGCTTCAAGTGATTCTCTCATCTCAGCCTCCCAAAGTGCTGGGATAACAGATGTAAGACATCAGACCAGGCAATTTTCAATTCTTATGCAAAATTTTCAACTAATTCCTAGGATTGAAAAAAATGTCGATCAACATGGGGATTAGAGGAAAAAATAATTTTAAACAAGAGAAAAAATTAAATGAGATGATGTACATGTATACAGTGCCTGGCCTCATGATCAATGACTCCACTGCAGCTTTTTATTTCTTTTTCCATACAGGGTCTCACTCTGTCACCCAGGCTGAGTACAGTGGCATAATCATGGCTTACTACAGCCTCAACCTCCTGGGCACAAGTGATCCTCCCACCTCAGCCTCTCAAGTAGCTGGGACTACAGATGCACACAATCACACCTAGCTATTTGTGTTGTTGTTGTTATATTTTTTGGTAGTGGCAGGGTCTCACCATGTTGCCCAGGCTGGCATCTCGAACTCCTGGGCTCAAGCGATCCTCCCACCTCAGCTTCCCAAAGTGCTGGGATTACAGGTGTGAGCCACCATGCCCATCCTGTTGTAGCTATTTTAATAGTGCTGGTGAACAATAATTTGCTCTCCCTATAAAAACAGAACATACTAAGCCAAGGAAAGCACCAATCTAGTTTGTTCTCCCCAGATCTTCAAAGTGTTGGAATTAGTATAAGAGTCCAAAATATTTCATGTGGTTTGATTTTTTTTTTTTTTTTTTTTTTTTTTTTTTGGAGATGCAGTCTCGTTCCATCGTCCAGGTTGGAAGGCAGTGGAGCAATCTCAGCTCACTGCAACCTCCGCCTCCCGGGTTCAAGCAATTCTCCTGCCTCAGCCTCCCGAGTAGCTGGGATTACAGACATGTACCGCCACGCCTGGCTAATTTTTGCATTTTTAGTAGAGATGGGGTTTCTCCATGTTGGCCAGGCTGGTCTTGAACTCCTGACCTCAAATGATCTACCCGCCTTGGCCTCCCAAAGTGCTGGGATTACAGGTGTAAGCCACCATGCCCGGCCAGCTTGATTTTTTACTGTGGTAAAATACATACAAAATCTATTATTTTAGCCATTTTCAAAGGAAAAATTCAGTGGTATTAAGTGCATCCCCCACATTGTACAGCCATGTCCCCCATCCATCTCCAGAACGCTTTCATACTGTCCTGCAAATATGCAGCACCTTGCTACACTCCAGGTTGTTTGTCCCACAACAGAGCTGGGCTGAATTACTAATGCGGACTTTGTTTAACAACGGACTAAAGAGGGAGAAGCCCATGAACTCTGTGAGGAGTGCATGACAGGTGCTTGTGGGATGACATGACTCGGCGCCCTCCAGCTGCTGCTGCCACCGCCTGTCCTGCTGGGCGGCCACCCCCTCGCAGGGAAGAAGAGCACTCACAACTGCTGCTGATCTCCTTCCAGGGCTTCCGCTGGGACTAGGATCAGGATGTGAACACCCCCAACCTGGACCATCTGGCCAGGGAGGGCGTCAAGGCCAAGTACCTCATGCCGCCCCTTGTGACAATGACCTCCCCGTCCCACTTCACTGCCATCACAGGTAAGCGCCACTCTGCCCATTTCACCCGATGCCCATCAAATCCCCAGCGTCCGTCATTCCCTGTGATAAGAAGCAAAAGCTCGGTCAGCTCTAGGGAGGTTGAGGTTGCTCCGGGGTCTCACTCTGTTGCCCAGGCTGTAGCTCAGTGGCATAATCACAGCTCAGTGGAGCCTCAAGCTCCTGGTCTCAAGCAGTCCTCCCTAGCTCAGTCTCCTCAGTAGCTGGGGATACAGACAAGCCACCATGCCTGATTTTCTCATTTTCTTAGAAACTGGGGCAGGGGGTGTCTCACTATGTTGCCTGGGCTGGTTTTGAACTCCTGGCCTCAAGTGATCATCCCACCTCAGCCTCCCAAAGTGCTGAGATTGGAGACATGAGCTACCGTGACTGGCCTGTTCTTTTTTTTTAAAGTAAATAAGGCCGAGCATGGTGACTCACCCCTGTAATCCCAGCACTTTTGGTGGCTGAGGTGGGTGGATCACCTGAGGTCAGGAGTTCAAGACCAGCTTGCCCAACATGGTGAAACGTCACCTATCCTAAAAATACAAAAATAAGCTGGGCGTGGTGGCAGATGCCTATAACCACAGCTACTCTGGAGTCTGATACAGGAGAATCACTTGAACCCAGGAGGTGGTAGTTGAAGTGAGCCGAGATCATGCCATTGCATTCCAGTTTGGGCAAAAGAGCAAGATTTTGTCTCAAAAAAAAAACAAAAGTAATAAAAATAAAAAGGTAAATAACTAAAATCACTTTTAAATAATTGTATAAAAATAATAAAACACTGACATTTACAGAGCTCAGTTAGATGAGGTGACTCATACCTTCCAATGGTGTCTTGGTTCTCTTACATAAGAATTCAAATGTCTTTCTGTGGCCCAAAAGATCCCACACAGCCTGGCCCCTGGCCTATCTTCTGCCAGCCTCTCTCATCTCTCTCCCTCTCCTTCACTTCCTTCCGGATCACAAAGGCCTTTGCCTGTGCCTTCTGCCCTGCTCCCTCAAGCCCCAGGGCCTTGGCCTGTGCTAGTCCAGTCCCTCCAGCTCACCAGGAGCATACAGTCCAGTCGGGGAGACAGACACCAGACACCCAAACAGGCACATACATCCTGTAACAACTCAGGAGGCATCAAGGAGGAAAACGAGTTTTCCAGGCACAGACTACAGGCGTAAACTGGTTTCAAACTAGAGAGGGAGAAAGGGGGTCTCTGAGCATGGGGCAGTTGAGCTGAAAGAGATCTCAGGGGACCAGAGGAAGGAAAAGTGTTCCAGGCGAGGGAAGAGCATGTGTGAGGTCTCTGAGACAAAGACCTGGTCATTTCAGAATCCCAATGGCCACTAAAATAGAGGGATTCCAACCTAAAAAGGAGGAAGAGGAGGCTGCTGGAAAGCAAAGGACTCTGTGTAAGAATCATAATAGCAGGAGTGGAGCCAAGATGGCCGAATAGGAACAGCTCCAGTCTACAATTCCTGGCGTGAGCGACCCAGAAGACAGGTGATTTCTGCATTTCCAACTGAGGTACTTGGTTCATCTCACTGGAGAGTGTCAGAAAGTGGGTGCAGGACACTTGGTGCAGTGCACCGAGCATGAGCCAAGCAGGACAAGGCATTGCCTCACCTGGGAAGTGCAAGGGGTCAGAGAATTCCCTTCCCTAGTCAAAGAAACGGGTGACAGATGGCACCTGGAAAATCGGGTCACTCACACCCTAATACTGCACTTTTCCAATGGTCTTAGCAAACGGCACACCAGGAGATTATATCCCATGCCTGGCTCAGAGGGTCCTAAACCCATGGAGCCTCACTCATTGCTAGCACAGCAGTATGAGATCAAACTGCAAGGTGGCAGCAAGGCTGGGGGAGGGGCGCCCGCCATTGCCTAGGCTTCAGTAGGTAAACAAAGCAGCTGGGAAGCTCCAACTGGGTGGAGCCCACCTCAGCTCAAGGAGGCCTGCCTGCCTCTGTAGACTCCACCTCTGGGGGCAGGGCATTGGCAAACAAAAGGCAGCAGAATCCTCTGCAGACTTAAATATCCCTGTCTGACAGCTTTGAAGAGAGAAGTGGTTCTCCCAGCACACAGCTGGAGATCTGAGAATGGACAGATTGCCTCCTCAAGTGGGTCCCTGACCCCCGAGTTGCCTAACTGGAGGCACACCCCCGTAGGGGCAGACTGACACCTCACATGGCCGGGTACTCCTCTGAGACAAAACTTCCAGAGGAACAATCAGGCAGCAACATTTGCTGCTCAACAATATCTGCTGTTCTGCAGCCTCAACTGCTGACACCCAGGCAAACTCCAACAGACCTGCAGCTGAGGGTCCTGACTCTTAGAAGGAAAACTAACAAACAGAAAAGACATCCACACTTAAAACCCCATCTGTACGTCACCATCATCAAAGACCAAAGGTAGATAAAGCCACAAAGATGGGGAAAAAACAGACACACACAGGCTCAAATAAAGGGATGGAGGAAGATCTACCAAGCAAATGGAAAACAAAAAAAAGGCAGGTGTTGCAATCCTAGTCTCTGATAAAACAGACTTTAAACCAACAAAGATCAAAAGAGACAAAGAAGGCCATTACATAATGGTAAAGGGATCAATTCAACAAGAAGAGCTAACTATCCTAAATATATATGCACCCAATACATGAGCACTCAGATTCAAAAAGCAAGTCCTTAGAGACCTACAAAGAGACTTAGACTCCCACACAATAATAATAGGAGGCTTTAACACCCCACTGTCAACATTAGACAGATCAACAAGACAGAAAGTTAACAAGTATATTCAGGAATTGAACTCAGCTCTGCACCAAGCGGAACTAATAGACATCTACA
The DNA here is from genome assembly GCF_000001405.40 of Homo sapiens. Classification (NCBI taxonomy): domain Eukaryota; kingdom Metazoa; phylum Chordata; class Mammalia; order Primates; family Hominidae; genus Homo; species Homo sapiens. The sequence continues at coordinate 12,508,292 of NC_000008.11, read as the reverse complement.
GAACTCTCCACCCCAAATCAACAGAATATACAGTCTTCTCAGCACCACATCGCACTTCTTCCAAAATTGACCACATAGTTGGAAGTGAAGCACTCTTCAGCAAATGTAAAACAACAGAAATTATAACAAACTGTCTCTCAGACCACAGTGCAATCAAACTAGAACTCAGGATTAAGAAACTCTCTCAAAACTACTCAACTACATGAAAACTGAACAACCTGCTCCTGAATGACTACTGGGTACATAATGAAATGAAGGCAGAAATAAAGGTGTTCTTTGAAACCAACGAGAACAAAGACACAACATACCAGAATCTCTCGGACACATTCAAAGCAGTGTGTAGAGGGAAATTTATAGCACTAAATGCCCACAAGAGAAAACAGGAAATATCTAAAATTGACACCCTAACATCACAATTAAAAGAACTAGAGAAGCAAAGAGCAAACACATTCAAAAGCTAGCAGAAGGCAAGAAATAACTAAGATCAGAGCAGAACTGAAGGAAATAGAGACACAAAAAACCCTTCAAAAAATCCATGAATCCAGGAGCTGGTTTTTTGAAAAGATCAACAAAATTGATAGACCACTAGCAAGACTAATAAAGAAAAGAGAGAAGAATCCAATAGACACAATAAAAATTGATAAAGGGGATATCACCACCAATCCCACAAAAATACAAACTACCATCAGAGGATAGTATAAACACCTCTATGCAAATAAACTAGAAAACCTAGAAGAAATGGATAAATTCCTCGACACGTACACCCTCCCAAGGCTAAACCAGGAAGAAGTTGAATCTCTGAATAGACCAATAACAGGTTCTGAAATTGAGGCAATAATTAATAGCTTACCAACCAAAAAAAGTCCATGACCAGACGGAATCACAGACGAATTCCACCAGAGGTAAAAGGAGGAGCTGGTACCATTCCTTCTGAAACTATTCCAAACAATAGAAAAAGAGGGAATCCTACCTAACTCATTTTATGAGGCCAGCATCATCTTGATACCAAAGCCGGGCAGAGACACAACCAAAAAAGAGAATTTTAGACCAATATCCCTGATGAACATCGATGCAAAAATCCTCTATAAAATACTGGCAAACCGAATCCAGCAGCACATCAAAAACTTATCCACCATGATCAAGTGGGCTTCCTCCCTGGGATGCAAGATTGGTTCAACATTTGCAAATCAGTAAACATAATCCAGCATATAAACAGAACCAATGACAAAAACCATATGATTATCTCATTACATGCAGAAAAGGCCTGTGACAAAATTCAACAACCTTCATGCTGAAAACTCTCAATAAATTAAGTATTGATGGGACGTATCTCAAAATAATAAGAGCTATCTATGACAAACCCACAGCCAATATCATACTGAATGGGCAAAAACTGGAAGCATTCCCTTTGAAAACTGGCACAAGACAGGGATGCCCTCTCTCACCACTCCTATTCAACATAGTGTTGGAAGTTCTGGCCAGGGCAATCAGGGAGGAGAAGGAAATAAAGGGTATTCAATTAAGAAAAGAGGAAGTCAAATTGTCTCTGTTTGCAGATGACATGATTGTATATCAAGAAAACCCCACTGTCTCAGCCCAAAATCTCCTTAAGCTGATAGGCAACTTCAGCAAAGTCTCAGGATACAAAATCAATTTGCAAAAATCACAAGCATTCTTATAAACCAATACAGACAAACAGAGAGCCAAATCATGAGTGAACTCCCATTCACAATTGCTTCAAAGAGAATAAAATACCTAGGAATCCAACTTACAAGGGATATGAAGGACCTCTTCAAGGAGAACTATAAACCACTGCTCAACGAAATAAAAGAGGACACAAACAAATGGAAGAACATTCCATGCTCATGAGTAGGAAGAATCAATATCGTAAAAATGGCCATATTGGCCAAGGTAATTTATAGATTCAATGCCATCCCCATCAAGTTACCAATGACTTTCTTCACAGAATTGGAAAAAACTACTTTAAAGTTCATATGGAACCAAAAAAGAGCCAGCATTGCCAAGTCAATCCTAAGCCAAAAGAACAAAGCTAGAGGCATCACACTACCTGACTTCAAACTATACTACAAGGCTACAGTAATCAAAACAGCCTGGTACTGGTACAAAAACAGAGATATAGACCAATGGAACAGAACAGAGCCCTCAGGAATAATGCCACATATCTACAACCATCTGATCTTTGACAAACCTGACAAAAACATGAAACGGGGAAAGGATTCCCTACTTAATAAATGGTGCTGGGAAAACTGGCTAGCCATATGAAGAAAGATGAAACTGGATCCCTTCCTTACACCTTAGACAAAAATTAATTCAAGATGGATTAGACTTAAATGTTAGACCTAAAACCATAAAAACCCTAGAAGAAAACCTCAGCAATATCATTCAGGACATAGGCATGGGCAAGGAATTCATGTCTAAAACACCAAAAGCAATGGCAAGAAAAGCCAAAATTAACAAATGGGATCTAATTAAACTAAAGAGCTTCTGCACAGCAAAAGAAACTACCATCAGAGTGAACAGGCAACCTACAGAATGGGAGAAAATTTTTGCAATCTACTCATCTGACAAAGGGCTAATATCAAGAATCTACAATGAGCTCCAATAAATTTACAAGAAAAAAACAAACAACCCATCAAAAAGTGGGCAAAGGATATGAACAGACACTTCTCAAAAGAAGACATTTATGTAGCCAAAAGACACGTGAAAAAAATGCTCATCATCCCTGGCCAGAGAAATGCAAGTCAAAACAACAATGTGATACCATCTCACCCCAGTTAGAATGGCGATCATTAACAAGTCAGGAAACAACAGGTGCTGGAGAGGATGTGGAGAAATAGGAACACTTTTACGCTGTTGGTGGGACTGTAAACTAGTTCACCCATTGTGAAATTCAGTGTGGCAATTCCTCAGGGATCTAGAACTAGAAATACCATTTGACCCAGCCATCCCATTACTGGGTATATACCCAAAGGATTATAAATCATGCTGCTATAAAGACACATGCACACGTATGTTTATAGTGGCACTATTCACAATAGCAAAGACTTGGAACCAAGCCAAATGTCCAACAATGATAGACAGGATTAAGAAAATATGGCACATATACACCATGGAATACTATGCAGCCATAAACAATGATTTCATGTCCTTTGTAGGGACATGGATGAAGCTGGAAACCATCATTCTCTGCAAACTATTGCAAGGACAAAAAACCAAACACCGCATGTTCTCACTCATAGGTAGGAATTAAACAATGAGAACACATGGACACAGGAAGGGGAACATCACACACTGGGACCTGTTGTGGGGGCGGGGGAGGCGGGAGGGATAGCATTAAGAGACATACCTAATGTTAAATGACGAGTTAATGGGTACAGCACACCAACATGGCACATGTATACATATGTAACAAACCTGCACGTTGTGCACATGTACCCTAAAACTTAAAGTATAATACAAAATAAAAAATAAGATAAAAGCTTCGGCTGTTGACTCCCAATATCCTGCTTCATCATCTCTCTACTCCAGAAACTTTTCACATGCTTACAAAGGGTGTTCGTTTCTCCTCTAAGTATTTGCTCCCCAGCCCCACCTGCAAGAAGGTGGAAGTAGGGCCTCTGCCTGGGATGGTAACTCTCAAATATAAGGCAAGACCTGTCTCTCCACCAGTATCCCCAGGACTGAAGGACTGTGAAAGTCTGCATATTGATCAAGCTTCTCCCTCCCTTATCTGAAGGGACTTACTTCCTTCAAGACACTTTTCCTCTTCCCACCTAGCTCCATGCCCCCATCCAGTCATCTTCCAACCCATCTCTCCCAACCTGCATGCCACACAAGAGGGGCGTGACCACAGCACCTGGAAGCTCATTAAAACTGAATGGTGTGTCAGGCCAGGTGCGGTGGCTCATGTCAGCAACCCCAGCACTTTGGGAGGCTGAGGCAGGCAGGTCACTTGAGGTCAGGAGTTCGAGACCAGCCTGGCCAAAATGGAGAAACTCCATCTCTACTAAAAATATAAAAATTAGCTGGGTTTGGTTGTGCTTGCCTGTAGTCCTAGCTACTTGGGGGGCTGAGGAAAGGGAATCACTTGAACCTGGGAGGCAGAGCTTACAGTGAGCCAAGATTGCGCCATTGCACTCAAGCCTGGGCGATAGAGTGAGACTCTGTCTCAAAAAAAAAAAAGAAAAAAGAAAAAAAAGAAATCGAATGGTGTGATTAGCTTATGATTTTTTAAAAATGGAATGATGTATTCATTTTCTAAGCTGCATAACAAATCAACACAAATTTAGCAGCTTAAAACATCCATCTATTACCTCTCCTTTCCTGTGGGTCAGGAGTCTGGGGGTGCAGTTTAGCTGGGCCCTCTGCTTAGGTACTTACAAGGTTGTGATCAAGGTGTTGGCTGGAATTAGTGTCTCATATGAGGCTTGGGGTCTTCTCCCAACCTCACATGGTTGTTGGCAGAATTTATTTCCATGCAACTGTGGAACTCATGTGGCTTGCTTCTTCAAAACCAGCTAGGCATGGTGGCTCACGCCTGTAATCCCAGCACTTTCGGAGGCCGAGGCATGTGGATCACCTGATGTCAGGAGTTCGAGACCAGCCTGGCCAATATGGTGAAACCCCATCTCTACTAAAAATACAAAACTTAGCCGGTCATGATTGTGCACGCCTGTAATCCCAGCTACTTGGGAGGCTGAGGCAGGAGAATCACTTGAACCCAGGAGACAGAGGTTGCAGTAAGCCGAGATCGTGCCACTGCACTCCAGCCTGGGCAACAGAGTGAGACTCCATGTCAAAAACAAACAAACAAACAAAAACCAAAAACCAGGAGGAAGGAGTCTCTCTCCTCCAGACCCTCATTGAAGATCTCACCTGAAGATGTCAGGCCCACCCTGAATAATCTCTCTTTTGATTAACTCAAAGTGAATGGATTAGGGGCTTAGTTACATCTGCAAAATCCCTTCAACTTTTCCATAGGTATAGATTAGAAGCAAGCCACGGGTCCTGCCTACACTCCAGGGGAGAGGAGATTACACCTGGCATTTATCCAGGGCAAGAACCTAAGGGGTCATCTCAGAATTCTGCCTTCCAAATAGATCCTCGGTGGAGCTCACGAGCCTGGGCGAGCACCAGCCTTTGTTTAAAGGCAACAGAGAATGATGCCCTGGCTCAGATCTCCAGCAAGCCTCCAGAATGATGGTCCAGTCTCTGAACCCTGGGCCAAGGCAGCAGGAGGTTTGGGTGCACATGGGAGCTTCCCCCACTTTGAAGTGAGTCGTCACATCTGTATTAGACCCTAGCTGTTGCTTAGGCAAAAATGATGATTTAGAAGAAGATGGAGAGAAGAGGAGAGTTAATTTAAAAGTACTTGTATTCGGCCGGACGTGGTGGTTCACGCCTGTAATCCCAGCACTTTGGGAGGCTGAGGCAGGCGGATCACGAGGTCAGGAGATGGAGACCATCCTGGCTAACACGGCGAAACCTTGTCTCGATTAAAAATACAAAAAATTAGCTGGGCGTGGTGGCGGGTGCCTGTAGTCCCAGCTACTCAGGAGGCTGAGGCAGGAGAATGGCGTGAACCCAGGAGGCGGAGATTGCAGTGAGCCGAGATCGCGCCACTGCACTCCAGCCTGGGCAACAGAGCGAGACTCCGTCTCAAAAAAAGAAAAAAAAAAGAAAGTACTTATGTTCATTCCCTAGGGCTGCCACAACCAAGTACCAAAAGCTGCGTGACTTGAAACCAGAGAAACTGATTGTCTTGTGGCTCTGGTGGCCAGCAGTCTGAAATGGAAGTGCCAGCAGGGCCACGCTCCCTCCTGCACTTGTCGGGGAGTCCTGCCTTGCCTCTTCCTACCTTCCTGTGGTCTCCTGGCAGTCTTCAGTGTTTCTTGGTTTGCATACGCATCAGTCCAATCTTCCGGCCAATCCATGGACGCCTTCCCTGTGTCTCTGTGACTCGGCGTGTCCTCTCGTCTTTTATAAGGACACCAGTCGTTGACTTAGGGCCCTCCCTACTCCAAGATGACTTCATCCTAATCAATAGCGTCTGCAATAACCCTATTTCTTTCTTTTCTTTCTTTCTTTCTTTCTTCCTTTCTTTTTTCTTTATTTCTTTCTTTCTTTTTTTTCTTCTTTCTCTCTCTCTCTCTCTCTCTCTCTCTTTCTTTCTTTCTTTCTTTTGAGACGGAGTTTCACTCTTTTTGCCCAGGCTGGAGTGCAATAGCACGATTTCAGCTCAATGCAACCTCCGCCTCGTGGGTTCAGGCGATTGTCCTGCCTCAGCCTCCCTAGTAGCTGGGATTACAGGTATGTGCCACCACACCCAGCTAATTTTGAATTTTTAGTAGAGACGGAGTTTCTCCATGTTGGTCAGGCTGGTCTCAAACTCCTGACCTCAGGTGATCCGCCTGCCTCGACCTCCCAAAGTGCTGGGATTATAGGCATGAGCCACCACGCCCGGCCCGCAATAACTCTATTTCTAAATAAGGTCACATTCTGAGCTACTAGAATTTAGGATTTCAACATGTTTTGAGGAGGACTCAATTTAACCCATAAGAATACTATGTGGGCCACACATGCTGCTTCACATCTGTTATCCCAGCACTTTCGGAGTTTGAAGCAGGAGGATCATTGCTCAGGGCATAGGGGACACCAGGTGCATAAGACCACAGCGTTGACTGGTGTGGGGGCTCACACCTGTAAGTTTGGGAAGCTAAGGCAGGACGATCACTTGAGCCCAGGAGTTTGAGGCCAGCCTGGGTGACATAGTGAGATCTCATTTCTAAAGAAAAAAATAATAATAATAATTAGCTGGGCATGGGGGTAGCAGCCTACAGTCCCAGCTACTCAGGAGGCTGAAGCAGGAGGGTCGCTTGAGTCCAGAAGATCAAGGCTGTGGCGAGCTGTGATTGCACCACTGCACTCCAGCCTGGGCAATAGAGCAAGCCCTGTCTCAAAAAAAAAAAAAAAAAAAAAAAAGTCATCTCCTTTGTCTTCTGATTCCGTGAGCTCTCATAGAAAGGAAGTGAAGCAGTGAAAGCATCCCCCCAAAAGGGAGTTTTCAAAACCAGCCTAAGCAACATAGCAAGACCTTGCCTTTAGAAAGTATTTAAATTTGAAGGAAAAAAAAAAGCAGTACTATAGCACAGAGGTGACAGCTACAGGTGTGGCTACATCCAGGTCCTAAAATTATATCATCAGAATGACCCCTCACCCTCCCCCCGCTTTCCATTTTACTTTCTTAAGCATGAACATGAAATTTCCAAGATTGTCTCTCCTTTGGCTAATCTGCTTCTCAGACCCAATCACTGTGGCCAGGGTGGTGGAAGGACACTGGCATCCAGGCTGGGACCACATGCCCCAGCTCCAGATCAGGGTGGGGAATGGCCAGTGGCACACATGCCGTTGGGGACTAGTGACTCCTCAGCGGAAAATCAGGAACTATCATTGGAGAGGAGCGATAGAAGAAAGGCTGACACAGTGCAATGTGTCTCCTGCACCAGCCTGGGCCTTGATGTCTTGAGTACTGATGACACAGTACTCAGTCCAGGGCAATCCCAACTCCATCTATGGGGCTGCCCACAGTACATGGACCGCCTCACTGGATTTGCTGACCACATGTGCAAACAGCCACCTCCCAGCCCCACTCCCCGCAGTCCCCCTGAACCCTGTCAAAATTCCCCTCAGTTCTCACCAAGACTAAAAGCAATTCTGAGGGTGAGCGGCTCATTCTGCTAGTTTAACTCTCTCGATTCCTTCCCTCTCCAGAACTCTGTACTTACTGCTCCGTCACTGGTAATGACAATGAACATCTTCACAATCTCAGGTTTTATTGCAAAGTGATTGAGGACCAGTTAGAATAAGTTATGCTGCAGAAACTAAAGAAATCCCGTCAAGCAAATTGTGTGTCATAGAAAGTCTTAGGACAGCCGTGTATATTTTCTCCCCCAATGAATCAATTGAAAATGAGAAGCTCTTACCGCCATGTTCCGGGCAGAAGCTATCAAAAGTATAAGCCATGATATTATAATTTGATGATTTTTCATGCGTCAAATGGTTATGGCCCAGGGGTGAAAAGTGGATGCTCCGTAACTAGATGATGGTCAAGAGTTATAAAAATGAGGTCCTCTCTGTTCAACATTTCTCCTTTCTTGAAAGGATACTCAATATCATGCTCAGGGCCTCTAATGGCCAGAAATAAAGTTCCTCCCAGTTCCAGAGCACCCCAGGATAACCCCAAAACCAGAGCAACTGCTTATTTCCATATAGACTATATACTGTGCAACTCCCGGGGTGGCATTTTCATAAATATGTGGGTGGCGCCCCCTGGAGGTAAGCAATGCACAACTTGCACAAATGGTAAGACACCGTATCCCAAAGTCCACAAAGAAGAGCTAAGCAAAACTCCCATCGATGTTGCCATCGGTAATGAGTCTGCCTTTTCTTCATGGGACAGTAGCAAAAACAATTTGGCCAAGTGTGCTTGGATGATCTCTAAGATGGAATCAGGGTCTCTCACTTTCAGCACTATTGACATTTGGGGCTGGATCATTCTTTTGTCTTAGTGGGAGTTGTCCGGGGCATTGTAGGATGCTTAGCAGCATCGCTGGCCTCTACCCATTAGCTGCCAGTAGCACCACCTCCTCCAGCCGCAACCACCAAAATTGTCTCCAGACATGGCCACGTGTTCTCTGGGGGGCAAAATCACCCCCTGGCTGAAAAGCCCTGAAGTAAAGACATAATATGCAGATCACATGTAAGTAAGGGAGCCTAAGGGCCACACAGGTGATGCTGTACCCATGACAAAGACAGAGTCTTAAAGAGGTTAGAGAGGCGGAGAAAGAGAAAGGAAATGAAGTCCCAGTTGCCTAGAGCAACAGATGCTGACTAGATGTTGTTGATAGTCATCTTTAAACTGAGTTAAAAGATGCTGAGAAGCCATCAGCTCCCATCCTGCTCTCCAGGGACAACGCTGCTGAAAAAAGGCCTGGAGATCAACAAAGCCCCAAACACAGGTGCACTGAGCAAAGAAACCAGAGATTGAGACAAAATGACATTCCCTCAAAGACTACACATTTCCAAGAGGAGAGAAAAAGTGGAGTCATGAAAAACAGTTGAGGCTGGATAGAGTGACTCACACCTGTAATCCCAGCACTTTGGGATTACTCCCAGTCTGAGACGGGAAGACTGCTTGAACTCAGGAGTTCAAGACCAGCCTGGGCAACGTAGCAAGACCTTGCCTCTAGAAAAAGGGAAAAAATTAGCCAGGTGTGGTAATACATGCCTGTGGTCTCAGCTACTCGGGAGGCTGAGGTGGGAGGATCACTTGAACCCAGGAGGTAGAGGCTGCAGTGAGCCGGGATCGCACCACTGCACTCCAGCCTGGGCTACAGATCCTGTCCCAAAAAAGAAAAAAAATAAACCAAATTAAGGCCAGGCACGATGGCTCATGGCTGTAATCCCAGCACTTTGGGAGGCCGAGGTGGGCAGATCACGAGTTCAGGAGATTGAGACCATCCTGGCTAACACGGTGAAACCCCATCTCTATTAAAAATACAAACAATTAGCCGGACATGGTGCTGGGTGCCTATAGTCCCAGCTACTCTGGAGGCTGAGGCAGAAGAATGGAGTGAACTCGGGAGGTGGAGCTTGAAGTGAGCCAAGATCACGCCACTACACTCCAGCCTAGGCAAAAGAGCAAGACTCTATCTCAAAAAAAAAAGAAAAGAAAATTAAAAATTTTTTTGAGACCAAGTCTCACTCTGTCACCCAGGCTGGAGTGATCTCCAGCTCACTGGATCTCCGCTCACTGCAACCTCCGCCTCCTTGGTTCAAGTGATTCTCAGTTCTCAACCTCGTACCTCAACATGACTACAGGCATGTTTTCACCATGCCTAATTTTTGCATTTTTAGTAGAGATGGGATTTCACCATGTTGTCCAGGATGGTCTTGAACTCCTAGGTTAAAGCAATCTACCCACCTCAGCCTCCCAAAATGCTGAGATTACAGGCATGAGCCACCGTGCCTGACCTCTAACTTTTCATTATGGAAATTTCCCATATGCACAAAAATCAAGGAGAGAATTACACCATGAACCCCCATGCACCCATCATCCCACTGCAAGAACTTGTCAACATTTCGCCAATCTCATTCCAGTTCCCACTTTTCTTTTCCTTCTTGCTATTTTAGGATATTTTAAAGCAAATTCCAGACATTTCATTTCACCCACATCCATAACACACCAGGGTGCATTCTTGATGTAAGGATTTTGTTTTGTTTTATAACCCCCCATGCCATTGCCACAGTTAATAGATTTAACATGAAGAAACTAAGATTCTTGCAGGTGGAGAAAAGATCTAATTACCACCTTAAAGCCTCACCTACTAGCGCTTCTCAGATCTGAACGTGTATGCAAATCACCTGGGCATCTTGTTAAAATGTAGATTCTGGCCCAGCAGGTCCTTCCGGGTGAGCCCTGAGAGTCTTCAATACCAAAAGCTCCCAGGTGACGCAATGCTGCGGGTCCATGAATCACACAAGAGGAAGTGTCGTGTCGGCCAAACACCCACAACAACTGGGTGTGAAGTCCTGACCGTTCCTGACTGCAGGGCCTTCAGTGAACGGGGCAGCTGGGGACCATTTGGGAAAGAAGGGAGGTTTTTCCTATCAGCTCCAGGCCTTGTAGAACTGCCAGGGAATAACAGACACAAGGTCAGCAAAGTCTAACCAACAGCACGAGTGCATTCATATTCCACAACCACTGCAGCAAAGAACCATGAAATGGGTGGCTTCAAACAATGTCTGTGCCGGGTGCCGTGGCTCACACCTAAGTAATCTCAGGACTTTGGGAGGCTGAGTTGGGTGAATCACTTGAGGCCAGGAATTCGAGACCAGCCTGGCCAATATGCCAAAACCTCGTCTCTACTAAAAATACAAAAATTAGCCATGCATGGTGGCAGGCACCTGTAGTCCCCACTTCTTGGGAGGCTGAGGCAAGAGAATGGCTTGAGCCTGGGAGGTGGAGGTTGCAGTGAACTGAGATCATGCCACTGCACTCCAGACTGGGCAACAGAGCAAGCCTCTGTCTGAAAAAAAAAAAAGAAAAAAAAAAAAATTAATTGTCTGGAGGCCAGAAGTCCAAAATCAATCAAATGTCAGCAGGAGAATGCTCCTTCAGAGGTTCTAGGGGAGAATCCATTCCTTGCGTCTTCCAGCTTGTAGAGGCTACTAGAATTCCTCAACTTGTGGCTGCATGATCCAATCTCTGCCTCTGTGATCACCTTGCCTCCTCCTCTTCTGTCTGGGTCTCCTCCTCTGGAGGAAGAGTGTCAGTCCTCTGAGCCCAAGCTAAGCCATCATTATCTCCTGTGACCTGCATGTACATATCCAGATGGCCGGTTCCTGCCTTAACTGATGACATTATCTTGTGAAATTCCTTCTCCTTGCTCATCCTGGCTCCAAAGCTCCCCTACTGAGCACCTTGTGGCCCCCACTCCTGCCTGCCAGAGAACAACCCCCCTTTTTCCTTTACCTACCCAAATCCTATAAAATTGCCCCACCCCTATCTCCCTTCACTGACTCTCTTTTTGGACTCAGCCCACCTGTACCCAGGTGAAATAAACAGCTTTACTGCTCACACAAAGCCTGTTTGGTGGTCTCTTCACATGGATGCATGTGAAATTTGGTGCCGTGACTGGGATCGAGGGACTTCCCTTGGGAGATCAATCCCCTGTCCTCCTGCTCTTTGCTCTGTGAGAAAGATCCACCTATGACTTCAGGTTCTCAGACTGACCAGCCCAAGAAACATCTCACCAATTTCAAATCTGGTAAGCGGCTTCTTTTTACTCTCTTCTCCAACCTCCCTCACTATCCCTCCACCTCTTTCTCCTCCCAATCTTGGCACCACACTTCAATCTCTCCCTTCTCTTAATTTCAATTCCTTTCATTTTCTGGTAGAGACAAAGGGGACACGTTTTATCTGTGGACCCAAAACTCTGGCACCAGTCACGGACTAGTGAAGGCAGCCTTTCCTTGGTGTTTAATCACTTGCAGGGACACCTCTCTGATTATTCACCGAGGTTTCAGAGGTGTCAGACCATGCAGGGATGCCTGCCTTGTTCCTTCACCCTTAGCAGCAAGACCTGCTTTTCTGGGGGAGGGACAAGAACCCCTCAACCCCTTCTCCTTCACCCTTAGCAGCATGTCCCACTTTTCTGGGGGAGGGACAGGAACCCCGACCTCTTATCTCTGCACCCCGATCCCTTATTTCCATGCCCTGACCTCATCTCTGTGTCCCGATCCCTTATTTCCACAACCTGACCTCTTATCTCTGCACCCCAACCCTTTATTTCTGTGCCCCCAACCCTTTCCCTCTATTCTGGAAGGCAAGAACCCCCCACCCCTTCTCTCCATGTCTCTACTCTCTCTTTTCTCTAGGCTTGCCTCCTTCACTATGGGCAAGCTTCCGCCTTCCATTCCCCTTTCTTCTCCCTTACCCTGTGTTCTTCAAAACCTAAAACCTCTTCAACTCACACCTGACCTAAAACCTAAATGCCTTATTTTCTTCTACAATGCTACTTGACCCCAATACAAACTCAGCAGTGGTTCCAAATAGCCAGAGAATGGCACTTTCAATTTTTCCATCCTACAAGATCTAGATACTTCTTGTCATAAGATGGGCAAATGATCTGAGATGCCTGATGTCCAGGCATTCTTTTACACATTGGTCCCTCCCTAGTCTCTGTTCCCAGTGCAACTCATCCGAAATCTTCCTCCTTTCCCTCCCACCTGTCCCCTCAGTCCCAACCCCAAGTGTCGCTGAGTCTTTCTAATCTTCCTTTTCTACAGACCCATCTGACCTCTCCCATCCTGGCCAGCCTGAGCTAGGTCCCAATTCTTCCTCAGCCTCCACTTCTCCACCCTATAATCCTTTTATCACCTCCCCTCCTCACACTGGGTCTGGCTTACAGTTTAATTCCGTGACTAGCCCTCCCCCACCTGCCCAGCAATTTACTCTTAAACAGGTGCCTGGAGCTAAAGACATAGTCAAGGTTAATGCTCCTTTTTCTTTATCCCAAATCAGATAGCATTTAGCCTCTTTTTCATCAAATATAAAAATCCACCCCAGTTCATGGCTCGTTTGGCAGCAACCCTGAGATGCTTTACAGCCCTAGACCTTAAAACGTCAAAAGGCCGTCTTATTCTCAATATACATTTTATTACCCAATCTGCTCCCGACATTAAATAAAACTCCAAAATTAAATTCCGGCCCTCAAACCCCACAACAGGACTTAATTAACCTCAACTTCAAGGTGTACAATAATGGAGTAGAGGCAGCCTAGCAGCAACATATTTCTCAGTTGCAATTCCTTGCCTCCACTGTGAGACAAAGCCCAGCCAAATCTCCAGCACACAAGAACTTCCAAACGCCTAAAGCGCAGTGGCCAGGCATTCCTCCAGAACCACCTACCCCAGGAGCTTGCTACAAGTGCCAGAAATCTGGCCACCAGACCAAGGAATGCCTGCAGCCCGGGATTCCTCCTGAGCCATGTCCCATCTGTGCGAGACCCAACTAGAAATCGGACTGTTCAACTCACCTGGCAGCCACTCCTAGAGCCCCTGGAACTCCAGCCCAAGGCTCTCTGACTCATTCCTTCCCAGATCTTCTTGGCTTAGCAGCTGAAGACTGACACTGCCTGATAGATCACCTCGGAAGCCTACAGGACCATCACAGACGCTCTAGGTAACTCTCACAGTGGAGGAGAAGTCCATCCCCTTCTTAATCAATACGGAGGCTAACCACTCCACATTACCTTCTTTTCAAGGGCCTGTTTCCCTTGTCTCCATAACTGTTGTGAGTATTGACAGCCAGGCTTCTAAACCTCTTAAAACTCCCCAACTCTGGTGCCAACTTAGACAATACTCTTTTAAGCACTCCTTTTTAGTTGTCCCCACCTGCCCAGTTCCCTTATTAGGCTGAGACACTTTAACTAAATTATCTGCTTCCCTGACTATTCCTGGACTACAGCCACTCCTCATTGCCACCCACCTTAACCCACAAGTAGAAGATACCTCTATTCCCTCCTTGGCAACCTATCACGCACCCCTTACCATCTCATTAAAACCTAATCACTCTTACCCCTCTCAATGCCAATATCCCATCCCACAGCATGCTTTGAAAGGATTAAAGCCTGTTATCACTCACCTGCTACAGCATGGCCTTTTAAAGCCTATAAACTCTCCTTACAATTCCCCCATTTTACCTGTCCTAAAACCAGACAAGCCTTACAAGTTAGTTCAAGATCTGTGCCTTATCAACCAAATTGTTTTGCCTATCCACCCCAAGGTGCCAAACACATATACTCTCCTATCCTCAGTTCCTCCCTCCACAACCCATTATTCTGTTCTGAATCTCAAACATGCTTTCTTTACTATTCCTTTGCACCCTTCATCCCAGTCACTCTTCGCTTTCACTTGGACTGACCCTGACACCCATCAAGCTCAGCAAATTACCTGGGCTGTACTGTCGCAAAGCTTCACAGACAGCCCCCATTACTTCAGTCAAGCCCAAATTTCTCCCTTATCTGTTACCTATCTCAGCATAATTCTCATAAAAACACACGTGCTCTCTCTGCCGATCGTGTGTGACTCATCTCTCAAACCCCAACCCCTTCTACAAAACAACAACTCCTTTCCTTCCTGTGCATGGTTGGATACTTTCACCTTTAGATATCTGGTTTTGCCATCCTAACAAAACCATTATATAAACTCACAAAAGGAAACCTAGCTGACCCCATAGATCCTAAATCCTTTCCCCACTCCTCTTTCTGTTCCTTGAAGACAGCTTTAAAGACTGCCCCCACCCTAGTCTTGGTTCCCTGACCGGGAAGCGAGGTAATTGACGGCAGTTGAGGCAGCCCTTTAGGCGGCTTAGGCCTGCCCTGTGGAGCATCCCTGCGGGGGACTCCTGCCAGTTTGAGCGACGCGGATCCTGAGAGCTCTCCTGGGTAAGCAATTGACCCGGTGGAATGCCTCGTCAGAGCAGTGTGTGGTAGGCCCCGGTGGAGGATCAACATAGTGGGTGAACACCGGGAAGGAACAGGCACTTGGAGTCTGGACATTTGAAACTTGGTAAGACTGGTCTTTGGAACTTGCCCACTCTATTTGAGTGGAAGTGTGGCCTGATCACCCACGGCGTGCCTGTACTGGCACTTTGGTTTTTGTTTTTGACTTGAATTGAATTGCTTGATACTTTGGTTTTGGTTTGACCTGGCTTGGATTTCTGGATACTCCGATTTTGGTTTTGATTCTGGTTTGGTGAAAACTGAAAAAGTGTGTGTGTGCCCTTTTTACTCATTCTTTGTTCTGTGGTGTGCGTGTGGTGTGAGCTTGGTGTTTTGTCTCGAGGAAACGTGGGTCAGACACAAAGTAAGCCTACTCTGCTAGGAACTATGATGAAAAATTTTAAGAAAGGATTTAATGGAGACTATAGGGTTACTATGACACCAGGGAAATTTAGAACTTTGTGTGAAATAGATTGCCCAGCTTTAGAAGTGGGTTGGCCATCAGAAGGAAGCCTGGGCAGGTCCCTTGTTTCTAAGGTATGGCACAAGGTAATTGGTAAGTCAGGACACTCAGACCAGTTTCCATACATAGACACTTGGTTACAGCTGATGCTAAACCCCCCACAGTGGCTAAGAGGGCAGGCAGCAGCAGTGCTAGTAGCGTAGGGACAGATAGCCAAGGAAGGATCGTGCTCCACCCGCCGAGGGAAATCAACACCTGAAGATCTGTTCAACCCAACAGCAGAACATGCATTGCAGGAGATGGCACCAGTGATCCCAGTGGTGCCCTCCCCTTACCAGGGAGAAAGGCTCCCCACTTTTGAGTCCACAGTGCTTGGGCCTCCACAAGACAAACATATCCCTAGGCAATCCAGAGTATACAAAAGAAGAGGTGAGGACTCGGGAGGAACCCCTCCCTTGGCAGCTCGTTTAAGACCCAAAACGGGGATCCAAATGCTCCTGAGAGAGCAGCGGTATACAGGGATAGATGAGGATGGTCATGTGGTGGGGAGGCGTGTTTCTGTGTACCAGCCCTTCACCTCTGCCCACCTTCTCAACTGGAAAAATAGTACCCCATCCTATACCAAAAAGCCACAAGCTCTAATTGATTTGCTCCAAACTAATATCCAGACCCACAACCCCACTTGGACTGATTGTCACCAGCTGCACATGTTCCTCTTTAACACAGATGAAAAATGGAGAGTGCTAGAAGCAGCAACTAAGTGGCTAGAGGAACATGCACCGGCTGATTACCAAAACCCCCAAGAGTATGTAAGGACCCAGTTACTGGAACCGACCCCCAGAAGGACCCAAATGAAAGAGAGGATATGCAAACGCTAAACCGAGACAGGGAAGCTCTCTTGGAAGGATTAAAGAGGGGAGCCCAGGAGGCCACAAATGTTAACAAGGTCTCTGAGGTCATTCAGAGAAAAGAAGAAAGTCCAGCACAATTCTAGGAGAGACTGTGTGATGCCTATGGTATGTATACACCCTTTGATCCCGATAGCCCTGAAAATCAATGCATGATTAACATGGCTTTAGTTAGTCAAAGCGCAGAAGACATTAGAAGAAAACTGCAGAAACAGGCTGGGTTTGCAGGGATGAACACATCACAGTTATTAGAAGTAGCTAACCAGGTGTTTGTAAACAGGGATGCAGTAAGCCATAAGGAAAACTGCAGAGAGAAGGAACGTCAGGCCCAGCGAAACGCCGACCTGTTAGCGGCAGCAAACAGAGGGGTCCCCCAAAAGAGGCAAGGGAAGGGGGGCCCCGGGAAAGAAACTCAGCC
Source organism: Homo sapiens (assembly GCF_000001405.40). Classification (NCBI taxonomy): domain Eukaryota; kingdom Metazoa; phylum Chordata; class Mammalia; order Primates; family Hominidae; genus Homo; species Homo sapiens. The sequence goes on along the minus strand of NC_000008.11, from coordinate 12,491,417 downwards.
TGGCTGTCAAAGGTTGCAGCGTAATCAGTGTGTTTATTGTAAAGAAATAGGACATTGGAAGAGCAAATGCCCTCAGCTAAAAAGAAAACAAGGTGATTCGGAGCAAGAGGCTCCAGACAAGGAGAAAGGGGCCCTGCTCAACCTGGCAGAAGGGTTATTGGACTGAGGGGGACCGGGCTCAAGGACCCCGAAAGAGCCTATGTTCAGGATGACAGTTAGGGGTAAAGACATTGATTTTCTTGTAGATACTGGTGCTAAACATTCGGTAGTAACCGCCCCGGTCACCCCCTTATACAAAAAGATTATTGACATCATCGGAGCCACAGGGGTTTCCGCAAAGCAAGTTTCTGCTTGCCCTGGACTTGTACTGTAGGAGGACATAAAGTGATTCATCAGTTTTTGTCCACGCCTGACTGTCCCTTGCCCTTATTGGGAAGGGACTTGCTTAGCAAACAGAGAGCCACTATCTCTTTTACAGAGCATGGCTCTTCGCTGCTAAAGTTACCCGGAACGGGAGTCATTATGACCCTTACCGTCCCCCGAGAGGAGGAATGGAGACTTTTCTTAACTGAGTCGGGCCAAGAGATAAGACCAGCTCTGGCTAAGCGGTGGCCAAGAGTACGGTTGGAAGACAACCCTCCAGGGTTGGCAGTCAACCAAGCCCCCGTACTTATAGAAGTTAAGCCTAGGGCCCAGCCATTTAGGCAAAAACAGGAGCCGGTCCCCAGAGAAGCTCTTGAAGGTATCCAGGTCCATCTCAAGCACCTAAGAACTTTTGGAATTAGAGTTCCTTGTCAGTCTCCATGGAACACTCCCCTCCTGCCTGTTCCCAAGCCTAGGACCAAGGACTACAGGCCGGTACAGGATTTGCGCTTGCTTCATCAGGCTACAGTGACTTTACATCCAGCAGTACCTAACCCGTACACATTGCTGGGGTTGCTGCCAGCTGAGGACAGCTGCTTCACCTGCTTGGACCTGAAAGATGCTTTCTTTAGCATCAGATTAGCCCCTGAGAGCCAGAAGCTGTTTGCCTTTCAGTGGGAAGATCCGGAGTCAGGTGTCACTACTCAGTACACTTGGACCCGGCTTCCCCAAGGGTTCAAGAACTCCCCCACTATCTTCGGGGAGACATTGCCTCGAGACCTCCAGAAGTTTCCCACCAGAGACCTAGACTGCGTATTGCTCCAGTAGGTTGATGATCTTTTGCTGGGACACCCCACGGCAGTCGGGTGCGCCAAGGGAACAGATGCTCTACTGCGGCACCTGGAGGACTGTGGGTATAAGGTGTCCAAGAAAAAAGCTCAGATCTGCCGACGGCAGGTACGTTACTTAGGATTTACTATCCGACAGGGGGAGAGCAGCCTAGGATCAGAAAGAAAGTAGGTCATTTGCAATCTACCGGAGCCTAAGACCAGAAGGCAGGTGAGAGCATTTTTAAGGGCTGTGGGGTTTTGCAGACTGTAAATCCCAAACTTTGCAGTATTAGCCAAGCCTTTGTATGAGGTCACAAAGTGGGGGGACCGGGAACTTTCTGAATGGGGATGCCAGCAACAGCAAGCCTTTCATGAGTTAAAGGAAAGACTTATGTCAGCCCCAGCCCTGGGGCTACCCGATCTAATAAAGCCTTTTCCATTGTATGTGTCAGAAAGAGAAAAGATGGCAGTTGGTGTTTTAACCCAAACTGTGGGGCCCTGGCCAAGGCCGGTGGCCTACCTCTCTAAACAACTAGACGGGGTTTCTAAAGGATGCCCCTTGTTTGAGGGCCTTGGCAGCAACTGCCCTGCTAGTACAAGAAGCAGATAAGCTGACTCTTGGACAAAACCTGAACGTAAAGGCCCCCCATGCTGTGGTGACTTTCATGAATACTAAAGGACATCATTGGCTAATGAATGCTAGACTCACTAAGTACCAAAGTTTGCTCTGTGAAAATCCCCGCATAACCATTGAGGTTTGTAACACCCTACACCCCGCTACCTTGCTCCCAGTATCAGAGAGCCCTGTCGAGCATGACTGTGTAGAAGTGTTGGACTCAGTTTACTCTAGCAGACCTAACCTCCAGGAACAGCCTTAGGCATCAGTAGACTAGGAACTACACGTGGCTGGGAGCAGCTTCATCAACCCACAGGGAGAGAGATGTGCAAGCTATGCGGTGGTAACTCTGGACACTGTTGCTGAAGCCAGATCGTTTCCCCAGGGCACTTCAGCTCAGAAAGCTGAACTCATTGCTTTCATTCGGGCCTTAGAACTCAGTGAAGCTAAGAATGTCAACATTTACACTCACTCTCAATATGCCTTTTCAACCCTTCAAATGCATGGAACATTATATAAAGAAAAGGGCTTATTGAACTCTGGGGGAAAAGACATAAAATATCAACAATAAATCTTGCAATTATTAAAAGCCGTATGGAGACCCCACAAGGTGGCAGTTATGCATTGCAGAGGACACAAGCGAGCTTCCACCTTGGTGGGTTTAGGGAATTCCTGCGCTGACTTAGAGGCTCGAAAAGCAGCATCTGCCCCCTTCTGGGCATCAATCACAACCCCCCTGCTCCCTCAAGCACCTGATCTGGTACCTACTTATTCTAAAGAAGAAAAGGACTTTCTCCAGGCAGAGAGAGGACAAGTGATGGAGGAAGGATGAATTCGGTTACCGGATGGGAGAGTAGCTGTGCCACAGCTGCTAGGAGCTGCAGTTGTACTGGCTGTGCGTGAAACCACCCATCTAGGTTAGGAATCACTTGAAAAGTTGTTAGGCTGGTATTTCTACATCTCGCATTTGTCAGCCCTTGCCGAAACGGTGACGCAGTGGTGTGTTACCTGCCGACAGCATAATGCGAGGCAGGGTCCAGCCGTTCCACCCGGCATACAAGCTTATGGAGCAGCCCCCTTTGAAGAGCTCCAGATGGACTTCACAGAGATGCCAAAGTGTAGAGGTAACAAGTATTTACTAGTTCTTGGGCGTACCTACCCTGGGTAGGTGGAAGCTTATCCAACACGAACTGAGAAAGCTCATGAAGTAACTCGTGTGCTTCTTCGAGATCTTATTCCTAGATTTGGACTGCCCTTATGGATCAGTTCAGCTAATGGGCCGGCGTTTGTGGCTGACTTAGTACAGAAGGCGGCAAAGGTATTGGGGATCACACGGAAACTGCATGCTGCCTCCTGGCCTCAGAGTTCTGGAAAGGTGGAGCGAATGAATTGAACTATCAAAAATAGTTTAGGGAAAGTATGTCAGGAAACAGGATTAAAATGGATACAGGCTCTCCCTATGGTATTATTTAAAATTAGATGTACCACTTCTAAAAGAACAGGATATTCCCCTTATGAAATATTATATCATAGGCCCCCTCCTATATTGCGGGGACTTCCAGGCACTCCCTGAGAGTTAGGTGAAATTGAGTTACAGCGACAGCTACAGGCTTTAGGAAAAATTACACAGACAATCTCAGCCTGGGTAAATGAGAGATGCCCTGTTAGTTTATTCTCCCCAGTTCACCCTTTCTCCCCAGGTGATCGAGTGTGGATCAAGGACTGGAAAGTAGCCTCTTTGTGTCCACTGTGGAAAGGACCCCAGACTGTCGTCCTGAGCACTCCCACCGCTGTGAAGGTAGAAGGAATCCCAGTCTGGAACCACCACAGCTGTGTAAAACCTGCAGCGCCGGAAACCTGGGAGGCAAGACCAAGCCCAGACAACCCTTGCAGAGTGACCCTGAAGAAGACGACAAGCCCTGCTCCAGTCACACCTGGAAGCTGACTGGTCCACGCATGGCCGAAGCATGAGGAAGCTCATCGTTAGATTCATTTTTCTTAAATTTTGGACTTATACAGTAAGGGCTTCAACTAACCTTACTCAAAATGGGGACTGTCCCCAGTGTATTTATCAGGTCACCGAAGTAGGACAGCAAATTAAAACAATCTTTCTGTTCTATAGTTATTATGAATGTATGGAAACATTAAAAGAAACTTGTTTGTATAATGCCACTCAGTACAAGGTATGTAGCCCAAGAAATGACCGACCTGATGCGTGTTATAGCCCATCTGAGCCCGCTGCAACCACCGTTTTTGAAATAAGAACTGGCCTTTTGCTAGGTGATACAAGTAAAATAATAACTAGAACAGAAGAAAAAGAAATCCCCAAGCAAATAACTTTAAGATCTGATGCTTGTGCAGCCATTAATAGTAAAAAGCTAGAAATAGGATGTGGTTCTCTTAACTGAGAAAGGAGCTAAAGAGTAGAAAATAAATATGTTTGTCATGAGTCAGGGGTTTGTAAAAATTGTGCCTATTGGCCATGTGTTATTTAGGCTACTTAAAAAAAGAACAAAAATGACTCGGTTTATCTTCAGAAGAGAGAAGCCAACCCCTCCTGGGCCGCCGGTCACTGTAACCCACTAGAACTAATAATTACCAATCCCCTAGATCCCCTTTGGAAAAAGGGAGAACGTGTAGCCCTGGGGATCAATAGGACAGGGTTAAACCCTCTAGTTGCCATTTTAATTAGAGGGGAGGTCCACAAGTGCTCTCCCAAAACAGTATTTCAAACGTTTTATGAGGAGCTGAATCTGCCAACACCAGAACTTCTGAAAAAGACAAAAAATTTGTTTCTCCAATTAGCAGAAAATGTAGCTAATTCCCTTAATGTTACTTCTTGTTATGTATGCGGAGGAACCACTATCGGAGACAGATGGCCTTCGGAAGCCCGAGAGTTGGTGTCTACTGATCCAGCTCCTGATATAATTCCAGTTCAGAAGGCCCAAGCTAGCAACTTCTAGGTCCTAAAACCTCAATTATTAGACAATACTGTATAGCTAGAGAAGGGAAAGACTTTATCATCCCTGTAGGAAAGCTTAATTGTATAGGACAGAAGTTGTATAACAGCACAACAAAGACAATTACTTAGTAGGGCCTAACCCACACTGAAAAGAATCCATTTAGTAAATTTTCTAAATTAAAAACTGCTTAGGCTCATGCAGAATCTCATTAGGACTGGACGGTTCCCACTGGACTATACTAGATACGTAGGCACAGAGCCTACATTCGGTTACCTAATAAATGGGCAGACAGTTGTGTTATTGGCACTATTAAGCCGTCCTTTTTCTTATTACCCATAAAAATGGGTGAGCTCCTAGGTTTCCCTGTCTATGCCTCCTGAGAAAATAAAGGCATAGTTATAGGAAACTGGAAAGATAATGAGTGGCCCCCTGAAAGGATCATTCAGTATTATGGGCCTGCCACAGGGGCACAAGATGGCTCATGGGGATACCAAACCCCCATCTACATGCTCAACTGGATCATACGGTTGCAGTCCGTCTAAGAAATAATTACTAATGAAACTGGCAGAGCTTTGACTGTTTTAGCTTTGCAAGAAACCCAAATGAGGAATGCTATCTATCAGAAAAGACTGGCCTTAGACTACTTGCTAGTAGCTGAAGGAGTTTGTGGAAAATTTAACTTAACCAACTGCTGCCTACAAATAAATGATCAAGGACAGGTGGTTAAAAACATAGTCAGGGACATGACAAAGGTTGCACATGTGCCTGTAGAGGTTTGGCACGAGTTTAATCCTGAGTCTTTATTTGAAAAATGGTTTCCAGCTATAGGAGGATTTAAAACCCTCATTGTAGGTGTATTGCTAGTGATAGGAACTTACTTGCTGCTCCCCTGTGTATTACTCTTGCTTTTTCAAATGATAAAAGATTTTGTTGCTACTTTGGTTCATCAGAAAACTTCAGCACACGTGTGTTATATAAATCACTATCGCTCTATCTCACAAAGAGACTCAAAAAGTAAAGATGAGAGTGAGAACTCCCACTAAAAAGTGAAAATGCTCAAAGGGGGGAAATATGGTATGAGACCACCACTTCTCCTGTTGTCCTTCCCAGTTTCTCCCCAACCTCCCCTTTTCCCTAGTTTATAAGACAGCAAAAAAGGGAGAAAGCAAAAAGCTGGAAAAAACAGAAGTAAAATAAATACCTAGACGACTTTGGCGCCACCACCTGGCCCTGGTGGTTAAAGTAACAATAATATTAACCCCTGACCAAAACTACTGTTGTTATCGGTAAATCCCAGACATTGTATGAGAAAGCACTGTAAAAACTTTTTGTTCTGTTAGCTGATGTATGTAGCCCCCAGTCACGTTCCTCAAGCTTCCTTGATCTATTATGACTTTTTCACGTAGAACCCTTAGAGTTGTCAGCCCTTAAAAGGGCTAGGAATTTCTTTTTCAGGGAGCTCGGCTCTTAAGACACGAGTCTGCCGACGCTCCCGGCCGAATAAAAAAACCTCTTCCTTCTTTAATCTAGTGTCTGAGGAGTTTTGTCTGGAACTCGTCCTGCTACACTAGCTCTCCGTGACTCATCCCAACCCTTTTCATTACACACAGCCGAAGTGCAGCGCTGTGCAGTTGAAATTCTTACACAAGGACCAGGATGGCGTCCTGTAGCCTTTTTGTCCAAACAACTTGACCTTACTGTTTTAGGTTGGCCGTTGTGTCTCCGTGCAGCAGCTGCTGCCACCCTAAGACTTTTAAAGGCCCTTAAAATCAGAAACTATGCTCAACTCACTCTCTACAGCTCTCATAATTTCCAAAATCTATTGTCTTCCTCACACCTGCCACACATACATTCTGCTCCCCGGCTCCTTCTGCTGTACTCACTCTTTGTTGAGTCTCCCACAATTACCATTGTTCCTGGCCCAGACTTCAATCCGGCCTCCCCCATTATTCCTGATACCACACCTGACCCTCATGACTGCATCTCTCTGATCCACCTGACGTTCACCCCATTTCCCCATATTTCCTTCTTCTCTGTTTCTCACCCTTACCACACTTAGTTTATTGATGGCAGTTCCACCAGGCCTAATTACCACACATCAGCAAAAGCAGGCTATGCTATAGTACAAGCCACTAGCCCGCCTCTTAGAACCTCTCATTTCCTTTCCATCGTGGAAATCTATCCTCAAGGAAATAACTTCCCAGTGTTCCATCAGCTATTCTACTACTCCTCAGGGATTCTTCAGGCCCCCTCCCTTCCCTACACATCAAGCTCAGGGATTTGCCCCCACCCAGGACTGGCAAATTAGCTTTACTCAACGTGCCCCGAGTCAGGAAACTAAAATACCTCTTGGTCTAGGTAGACACTTTCACTGGATAAGTAGAGGCCTTTCCCACAGGGTCTAAGAAGGCCACCACGGTCATTTCTTCTCTTCTGTCAGACATAATTCCTCAGTTTGGCCTTCCCACCTCTATACAGTCCGATAGCAGAACTAACTTTAGTAATCAAGTCAGCCAAGCATTTTTTCAGGCTCTTAGTATTCAGTGAAACCTTTATATCCCTTACAGTCCTCAATCTTCAGGAAAGGTAGAACAGACTGATGCTCTTTTAAAAACACACGTTACCAAGCTCAGCCACCAACTTAAAAAGGACTGGACAATACTTTTACCACTTTCCCTTCTCAGAATTCCGGCCTGTCCTTGGAATGCTACAAGGTACAGCCCATTTCTTGCGGGAAGTCAGGGACCCCAAACGGAGGGACCGGCTGAAGCCATGGCAGAAGAACGTGGATTGTGAAGATTTTATGGACATTTATTAGTTCCCCAAATTAATACTTTTGTAATTTCTTATGCCTGCCTTTACTGCAATCTCTAAACATAAATTGTAAAGATTTCATGGACACTTATCACTTCCCCAATCAATATCCTTGTGATTTCCTATGCCTGTCTTTGCTTTAATCTCTTAATCCTGTCAGCCGAGAAGGATGTATATCGTCTCAGGACCCTGTAATAATTGCGTTAAGTACACAAATTGTACAGCATGTGTGTTTGAGCAATATGAAATGTGGGCATCCTGAAAAAAGAACAGGATAACCGCAGTCGTTCAGGGAATAAGAGAGATAACCTTAAACTCTGACCGCTGGTGAGCCCGGCAGAACAGAGCCATATTTCTCTTCTTTCAAAAGCAAATGGGAGAAATATCACTGAATTCCTTTCTCAGCATGGAACGTCCCTGAGAAAGAGAATGCGCACCTAGGGGTAGGTCTCTGAACTGGCCCCCCGGGGCTTACCTGTCTCTTAAGGTCGAGATTGCAGAGGCGAAATAAACTGCAGTCTCCCATAGCGCTCCCAGGCTTATTAGGAAGAGGAAATTCCCGCCTAATAAACTTTGGTCAGACCGGTTGATCTCAAAACCCTGTCTCCTGATAAGATGTTATCAATGACAATGGTGCCAAAACTTCATTAGCAATTTAAATTTCACTTCGGTCCTGTGGTCCTGTGATCTCGCCCTGTCTCCACTTGCCTTGTGATATTCTATTACCCTGTTAAGTACTTGATGTCTGTCACCCACACCTATTCGTATACTCCCTCCCCTTTTGAAACTCCCTAATAAAAACTTGCTGGTTTTTGTGGCTTGTGGGGCATCATGGATCCTACCAATGTGTGATGTCTCCCCCGGACGCCCAGCTTTAAAATTTCTCTCTTTTGTACTCTGTCCTTTTATTTCTCAAGCCAGTCAATGCTTAGGAAAATAGAGAAGAACCTACGTGATTATCGGGGCAGGTCCCCCGATACCCCTTGGATCTCCTGTATAGACACTCCTTTTTGTTAGGCTCCAGTCTCATTCCAGACACAAGACCAACTTGGACTGTGCCCCAAAAAACTTGTCATCCCTACTATCTTCTGTCTAGCCATACTCCTATTCACCATTCTCAACTACTCATATATGCCCTGCTCTTGTTTACACTGGTGGTTTACACTGTTTCTCCAAGCCATCACAGCTGACATCTCCTGGTGCTATCCCCAAACCACCACTCTTAACTCTTAAATAATCTTTGCTGGCAAGGCTATGCTGAACCTCCTTAGGCACTCTCTAATTTGATGTCCTAGGTCTTCCCAATTCTTAGTCCTTTAATACCTGTTTTTCTCCTTCTCTTATTCCGTTTAGTTTTTCAATTCATACAAAACTGTATCCAGGCCATCACCAATAATTTTAAATGAAAAATGTTTCTTCTAACAACCCCACAATATCACCCCTTACCACAAAATCTTCTTTCAGCTTAATCTCTCCTACTCTAGGTTCCCATGCCACCCCAATCCCACTGGAAGCAGCCCTGAGAAACATCGCCCATTGTCTCTCCATAACACCCCCCAAAAATTTTCACCATCCCAATACTTTACCACTATTTCATTTTATTTTTCTTATGAATATAAGAAGACAGGAACGTCAGGCCTCTGAGCCCAAGCTAAGCCATCATATCCCCTGTGACCTGCATGTACACATCCAGATGGCCGGTTCCTGCCTTAATTGATGACATTCCACCGCAAAATAAATGAAAATGTCCTGTTCCTGCCTTAACTGATGACATTATCTTGTGAAATTCCTTCTCCTTGCTCATCCTGGCTCAAAAGCTCCCCTACTGAGCACCTTGTGACCCCCACTCCTGCCTGCCAGAGAACCCCCCTTTTTCCTTTACCTACCTAAATCCTATAAAATGGCCCCACCCCTATCTCCCTTCGCTGACTCTCTTTTTGGGCTCAGCCCACCTGCACCCAGGTGAAATAAACAGCTTTATTGCTCACAGAAAGCCTGTTTTGTGGTCTCTTCACACGGACGCGCCAGAAAAAGGGTGTCCTTTTTTTTTTTTTTTTTTTTTGAGATGGAGTTTCACTCTTGTTGCCCAGGCTGGAGTGCAATGGCATGACCTCAGCTCACTGCCACCTCCTCCTCCTGGGTTCAAGCAACTCTCTTGCCTCAGCTTCCCCAGTAGCTGGGATTGCAGGCATGCGCCAACATGCCCGGCTAATTTTGTATTTTTAGTAGAGATGGGGTTTCTCCATGTTGGTCAGGCTGGTCTCAAACTCCTGACCTATGGTGATCCACCCGCCTCGACCTCCCAAAGTGCTGGGATTACAGGCATGAGCCACTGCGCCGGGACAAAAGTGTCCTCTTATAAGGACACTTGTCTTTAGATGTACAGCCTACCTAAATTACTCCAGGATAATCTCGAGATCCTTAACTTAATTACATCTGCAAAGACCCTTTTTCCAAATAATGCCACCTCCACAGATTCTAGGCACAAGGATCTGGATATATATTGTGCAAAGCCACCATTCAGCTCACTACACTAGAAAGAGGAAAAACAACGAAGTAACAAAAGGCGCAGAAGAAAGAACAGATGCAGCTTGTGTGGCAGTGGCCATCGAGGCAGGATGGGGTAAAACTGTGTTAACAGAACCCCGAGATGGAACTCAAGTGTGGCCGTCTACTCCCAGCTACTCACAGAGAACGTTTCTGTTTCTGACAGCAGAGTAAGAGAAGGGGTGGGAAGAGAGATAGCCCATTCTTTGTTGGCCTAATTCCTAAGGAATTGTGCCTCTGCCTTCGGGTCATTCTCAAGTCTTGTTCAAGGACAAAATGATTTATTGATGGCCATAATTAAAAAGCAATGCCAACAGAAGCAGCCTCAGCATTTTTCATTTGTACTTACACATGAGCGAGAGCAGTTTAGGGAAACGGGTGTCTTCAGGTTCTGTTTTCTCCATCTAGAAAAGGGCTGCCTTCGTGGAATGCTGGTCCTGGGGAGAAGCCTCATTTCTATAGCAGGAATTGATAGAGTTTTAAATTCCGATTGGTACACGGAGCTACCCGTCCTCATTTCAAGCACTTCTGGTTAGTTCTGGGTTCAGTGGGTGAGCAATGAGTAGAACTCTGGGGAGGAGGATTTGGAGTGAGCGTGGTTTTGATCCCCAGAGGGAGTTGTTTTTCCATCAATGTCTTGGCTGTGATTCAGAATGGGCTTCTCCGCTCAAGATGGGAGTACTGGGCTAATTTAAGGCAGGTGATTGACTTGATTTGGTGGCTACTTTTATACTAGCTGGTTAAAGAGCTATTTTCTTCATTAGTTTCAGGCATATGAGCGTAATGAAGCACTGGACCTCCCAAATTACAAGGAAAATACAGATATAGCTTATGTGGTAGGTTCAAAGGAGTTAGTGAACAAACACAGTAGGGACACAAATTCTTGTTAAAGACATGAATGTATGAAAGTGTATCTATGTCCAAATGGACCCTCTGCAAGCATACTGTTCCACCTGAAAATTAGTACATAGAAATTCAGCAAATGCTTGGACAGGGGATATTCTCAGAAGTATTCTGACTCAATAGCATGGTTTATTTTCATATCACTAAAGTAATTTCTTCTCAAATTGACTCTGGACTAAATCTTATGATACCTACTTGTTCCGATTGTACTTAGCCACCTGCAAATAAGGTGGAGGCAGTGGTAAGAGGAGCTGTTGAATGAAATGAAACATTTGTTGGATGCCTACTGAAGATAAAGCCCTGTGCTTTGTGCCAGGGAGATTCCAGAATAAATGAGGCACAGACCTACTCTCAGGAAGCTTTTGCAAACTAATGGAGAAAACACATCTGCAGGCAATGACTTATGGTATAAGAGGAAATGGGGCCAGATACGGTGACTCACACCTGTAATCCCAGCACTTTGGGAGGCCGAGGTAGGTGGATCACTTGAGGTCAGGAGTTCAAGAGCAGCTTGGCCAACATGGCGAAACCCTTTCTCTACTAAAAGTACAAAAAGAAAAAAAAAAAAATGAGCCAGGCTTGATGGTGTGCACCTGCAATCCCAGCTACTTGGGAGGCTGAGGCACAAGAATCACTTAAACCTGGGAGGTGGACACTGTAGTGAGCCGAGATCCCACCACTGCACTCCAGCCTAGAAGACAGAGCGAGACTGTCAAAATGAAAAAAAAAGGAAATAAGATTGGTGTTGAATGGGAAATCTAAGGAGGATGGAATGACAGGAGAGCGCCCACTTGCCCAGCTCCAATAACACTTTTGACAGCCATGACAATATTGCAGGGACACCCATTCGTCATGGTATCTGAAGTCCCATGAAAGCTTGAGTCTGGAGGCTGCTTCAGTCTTGACTTTAAGATAAGGGGATACAATGAATGATTTTCATCTATCCCAAGCCAATAGTCCAGCCAAAAATCTAGGTCTGAGATGATGAGAAAAAGCAAGTCATCAACCATGTCAGCCATTTCATCATCATCATCATCATCATCATCATCATCATCATCATCAAAAACAAAAGACAGACCTGTAACCGTCTTGTGTGCCTGGCTCTCAGTTCACAATATAGAAGTAAATTCTATGGCCAGCGAACAATGAGCAAAATAGCTCTCATCACTCTTGTCTGCCACCATGTAAGACATTCCTTTTGCCTTCCACCATGATTTCGAGACTTCTTCAGCCACATGGAACTGTGAGCCCATTAAACCTCTTTTTCTTTATAAATTACCCAGTCTTGAGTAACAAAATAGTGGTTTGTCCACAACATCAATGAACGATGCTGTTACTTGTTCCAAACACGTATCATTTAAGAGGTTTGGATAAACAACATCCTAAAATAAATAAGCACTAAGCAAACTCAGGGCTACATAATCCCTGTGGTGAGCTAACTGACAATGGGTACAACTGGGACACTTTACCGTTAAATCACCTCTATCTACATGTGCCCAAGCAGTGACATACTTGGTTTTAATCCTAAAAAATCATGGTGCACATTTACTCCTGCCTTCCAACTGGGCTCTAATGTCACCTCCTCAGAGAAGCCCGCTTTTCTGTGCTTCCACTCTGCCTTTTCTCAGCATTTAGTAGAGCATCAGTCACCATCCATATCTGGGAACAATGATTGTAAGAAACAGAAACCCATTTGCATGAGCTTGAGGACAAGAAACACACCTTATCTCTAACAGGCAAACTCATGGGCACAAGAAACAAATGAGAGGCCATGAGAGAATGGAAACTGCAGTTACAGAAACCAAAATTCCTCTTTCTTGCTCTCAGAAGCCCATGGTCTCTTTTTTTTTTTCTTTTTTTCTTCTTTTTTTTTTTTTTTGAGACGCAGTCTCGCTCTGTCGCCCAGGCTGGAGTGCAGTGGTGCAATCTCAGTTCACTGCAAGCTGCACCTCCTGGGGTTAACGCCATTCTCCCACCTCAGCCTCCCAATTAGCTGGGGCTACAGGCACCCGCCACCACACCCAGCTAATTTTTGTATTTTTAGTAGAGATGGGCTTTCACCGTGTGAGCCAGGATGGTCTCGATCTCCTGACCTCGTGATCCGGCCATCCTGGCTTCCCAAAGTGCTGGGATTACAGGCGTGAACCACCGCGCCTGGAAGCCCATGGTCTTTCTTATCAGCCCTGTGGACTTTCTTATCTCTTCTTCTCACTCACAACCAATTTTCCCTTTTTGCTGGTGGCCCACCCTGGCAGCCAGCCGAGCCCACCGCCAGCTGATCAATCAGTTCCTGGATATCTTGGAGAGGGAGGGAGGGAGGGAGGAAGAGAGGGAGAGGGAGAGAGAGAGAGAGAATGACAATTGGGCTTCTGGCCCACCAATTGAGTATAGGGAGGGGAAGTACCATGGTACAAATATGGCTTCAAGACCTGCTTTCCAGCATGGCCAGTGAGTAGGGAAATTGAGGGAAGGTACCTTCAAACACAGCAGACATCTCAGAACATGCTCTCTGTTCTTAGTTCTCTCTCCTGCCTTCTCCTAGATTGTAAATATCACAAGACAATCTAGGATAGTACCTGGCTCAAAATATTTGAGAAAGAGGAAAAGGAAGACATTGCATCAAACTGTAGACTACATGGTTTCCTAAATTCACTCTGCAAGTTTTTGGGTTTTTTGTTTTTTGAGACAGAGTCTCGCTCTGCTGCCCAGGCTGGAGTGCAATGGGATAATCTTGGCTCACTGCAACCTCCACCTCCCAGGTTCAAGCAAATCCCCTGCCTCAGCCTCCTGAGTAGCTGGGATTACAGGCACGCACAGCTATACCAGTTAATTTTTGTATTTTTAGTACAGACGGGGTTTCACCATGTTGGCCAGGCTGGTCTCGAAATCTTGACCTCGTGATCCACCCACCTCGGCTGCCCAAAGTGCTGGGATTACAGGTGTGAGCCACCACACCTGGCCGACTCTGCAAGTATTTAAGTGAATGAATGTCAGTCCCTGAGAATCAGAATTTCTTCTGATTTAACGGCATTAAATCTCCCTTAGGTTTAATCCTGGTCAGCAGCTGTGGGGTGTCCTGGGTTTGGGATCAGTGGGATGAGGAACAAGCAGGTTCTCCAAACCACCACGCAGGGAGGGGAGGTGTTAAGTAGGCCAAAGATGATGGGTGGGGTATGTGCCTGGGTTTCAAACAGCTTATGCCAGGCCTAAAAACAGACGCTGAGGCAGAAACTGTATTAAGCAAATTGATGACACAATGGAGGAGGTCAAAAAGTTTAATATTGCTAAGAAGAATACAAATACTGATCATGCAATATGTTATTGTTATCACACCATCTCCTGCTACACGCCAGGTTTCCTTTACCATGAGATAGAAGAGATTTGTGGATCTGACCTAACCCTCCAAATTATAAGGTCTCTGAGAGTGGGCTCATGACATTCATGTTTTATAAATGTGGCATAAAGGTTAATGCTGGCTGCCATGTGACCCAATGCCAGTTTGACGCTGCATTCAAAGAACCATCGTTCCAGCATCCAAGCACACTTAAAGGCAATTGAAATGTTTACCGCCTTCCCTCAAGACAAACACCAAATAAAAATTATTTTCAAAATGCATAGCAACACTTCTTAAAATCTTATTTTCCCATCTCTTTCTCTCTCTCTACCACATTCCCAGGAGTTTCCCAGGAGCAAAACTGTCATAAAGACCCAGGAGCAAAATGATTAGTGACTTCACGATATCTGATTCTCATTTAGTTGGTTTAGAGTGGTGTCCGGGCATACGTATTTTTTAAAATCTTGCTGGGCACAGTGGCACACACCTGTAGTCTCAGCTACTCAGGAGGCTAAGGCAGAAGAATCACCTGAGCCCAGGAGTTTGAGTCCAGCCTGGGCAACGTAGCAAGACCCTGTCTCTGAAAAAAAAGAAAAAAAAGAAAAAACAAATCTCTCTCAGCTTCAGTCAGGGTTGATAACTAGTTGATCAAAAAATTGTGGTAGCCATCCTTCACAATGGACCTTAATATTCCCACCTCCTGGTGTTATTCACTGTGGAATCTGTCTTAGCTAGTCCTCAACTGGGTCTGGTATCCAGGCCCCACCTTGAGAGTCTAGTCCCACCTCCTACCCCACACATGGTTTTACACTTACTTTCAAGACTGGCCTAAAAATGTAAAATGTATTTGTTTTGACCTTGTTTCCAATGAAACAACTGTTCTAAACATTCCTTTAGGATGGTTAGGGAAATTTGAACACCGGCTAAATATTAGAAGATATTTGTTTCAAAATAACCCAGCTTGGTAATGAGATGATGGCGGCTGAGGCTGGTGATAGGCACAGAGGGCTTCATTATCAAATATAAACAAGTGGAAAAAACAGAACTTTTCCATAATACAAATATAAGGTAAACAAGAAAGTGTATTGAGTGCATAAAAAGAATCTATGGTCTCACAGGTATTAGCTTATAATTTGAACATCAAAAATAAAAGTGACAGCCGGGTGCAGTGGCTGATGCCTGTAATCCCAGCACTTTGGGAGACCTAGGTGGGTGGATCACTTAAGCCCAGGAATTTGAGACCAGCCTGAGCAACACAGTGAGACCCCCATCTCTAAAATAAATAAATACAAATAAAAGTGACTAGAATTGATTATAGAACATCAACTCGATTTGAGTCTATAAAGATTACTGGTGGAGGGGGGCAATGGGGAGAAGGAGGAAGAGAATATATTTGTGACCTAGATTATTTTCCTTAGTTTTGAGAGAATCTTCGGGTCTCCTGGGTCTTCTAGCCCAGTATTTATTTTTATTTTTTATTTATTTGTGTATTTTTTTTTTATGTTTTTAGATGGAGTCTCACTCTGCCACCAGACTGGAGTGCAGTGGTGCGATCTCGGGCCACTGCAACTTCCGCCTCCCAGGTTCAATCTATTCTCCTGTCTCAGCCCCCCAAGTAGCTGGGACTACAGGTACCTGCCACTTCACCCAGATAATTTTTTTTTTTTTTTTTGAGACAGAGTCTGGCTCTGTTGCCCAGGCTGGAGTGCAGTGGTGCAATCTCGGCTCACTGCAAGCTCCTCCTCGAGGTTCATGCCATTCTCCTCCCTCAGCCTCCCGAGTAGTTGGGACTACAGGAACCTGCCACCACGCCCGGCTAATTTTTTTGTGTTTTTAGTAAAGACAGGGTTTCATCGTGTTAGCCAGGATGGTCTCGATCTCCTGACCTCGTGATCTGCCCGCGTCGGACTCCCAAAGTGCTGGGATTACAGGCATGAGCCACTGTGCCCGGCCGCACCCAGCTAATTTTTGTATTTTTTGTAGAGATGGTGTTTCACCATGTTGATCCAGGCTGGTCTCAAACTCCTGACCTCAGGTGATCCGCCCGCCTTGGCATCCCAAAATACAAGGATTACAGGCATGAGCCACCACACCCTGCCTATTTTCCTTAGTTTTCAGAGAACCTTTGTGTCCCCTGAGTGTTCTAGCCCAGTATATCTCAAACTTTGCTGCATCAAGGACCTTGTTGAAATGCAGGTTCTCATCTGGGAGGCTCAGTGGGCCGGCAAATCTGCACTAGTTTAGGAAGCTCACCCTGAGTATCAAGCTTCAGTGAGGATCAGGCAGACCCCTGCCTACCAACCCCCTCTCAGCTGGGCTTAACTCTGGCTCTCTCCTGCCAGGGTTCCTCCTCTCAAAATAGGAGCTATTTTCAAAAAGTCTCTTGGAAAAAAAGCCCTGTTTTAAAATTGGGGTGTTCAGGATTGGCCATCTGCTCACCATGGGGTTTTAAGACCTTTGCCCAGAACCCTGCAACCAACTTAGAACTGACGTCTTTACTTTTGAAGGCCCCACTCCACACCATATTAAATTAATTAAAATCAACCCGCATTACAGGCATATCTCAGGCATCATGCCCTCAGAAAGGAGTTGCAGCTGATCACTTGACAATGTTGTAAGGCATTAAACATGCATTCATTTCAGCCTTGCAGTTTTCACATTTAGGAGCCAATTGTCTTAGGTCTAAAGCATTCATGCCGAAGCATTGTTATGGGCCCCAGACACTATGCTTCCCAACCTTAATGGCCTCTGCAATGCTGGTTCCTACTGGCCCACCCCTGGGTTCTGGCCGGCTAGCCCGCGCCACCTCACTGCTCCCCCATTCAAGTGTGCCTTAAATGTGTGGTTTCCAAACTCATCTACACTTTAGGGTCACCTGAGATTTTTTTTTTAAATCTTCCAAAACCCAGGCCACACCCAAGAACAATTAAACCTCAACCTCTGGAATGGGACATAGACTCCGTTTTTTGTTTTGTTTTGTTTTTGAGACAGGGCCTCGCTGTGTTACCCAGGCTGGAGTGCAGTGGCACAATCATAGCTCACTACAGGCTCCAACTCCTGGGCTCAAGAAACCCTCCCACTTCAACCTCCACGGTAGCTGGGATCACAGGCGGGCACCACCACGCCCGGCTAATTTTTAAATTTTTTATAGAGACAGTATCTCCTTATGTTCTCCAGGCTAGTCTCAAACTCCTGGGCTCAAGTGATACTCCCGCCTCACCGTCCCAAACTGCTGGGATTATAGGCATGAGCCACCATGTCTGGACATCAGCATCTGTATTTTTTGAAGCACAGACGAGTTTGGGAACTACCGCGCTAGACTGAGTTTCGATTCCTAGCCCTGTCTGACCGTAGGATTCGGCTGGGCTGCTTCTGAAAACAGAGCTCCCCAGGCTCCTTCCCAGGTAATTCTGATTCATTAGGTCTGGGGTGGGCCCCGGAATGTGCATTTTTTATGAGATCCCTCTGGGTGAATCTGGCTAAAGCCAGTTTGGGATCTGAGACCTTGGAGATCATTCCCCAGCTTCCCTCCTAACCCAGTTCCCGGCTTGGCCCACCTCACCCAGGCTGTGTCACGTCTGACTTCTCAGATTACACCTGAGAGGGAAGCCCCAGCCATCACAATGTGAGAACATTTTACAATGAACAGGATATGCCAAGTACATTTTAAGACTCATTCAGGATTAGCGTTCACCTTAAACTTGACAGACTCAGAGAATGGGCTGGCCACGTGCTGTGCACAACCCTTAGTGCCCTTCTGTGACTAATATTTGGATAATTGATTGTTGGAAGCTCAGGAAGCCTCTCTCAGAGGGGTTGAAGTTAACTTCTTTATTTCTGAGGTAGGGAAGAAAATGAGGATGTTCTGCCTTTTGCTAGACTGAATACTGTCTTCCAAAAATTCACATTCACCAGGAATCCCAGAATGTGACCTTATTAGAAAATAGGGGCAGGGCATGGTGGCTCATGCTTGTAATCTTAGCACTTTGGGAGGCTGAGGCAGGAGGATCACTTGAGGTCAGGAGTTCGAGACCAGCCTGGCTAGCATGGCAAACCCTGTCTCTACTAAAAACATAAAAATTAGCTAGGCATGGTGGCGTGCACCTGTAATCCCAGCTACTTCAGAGGCTGAGGCTGAAGAATCACTTGAACCCAGGAGGCAGAGTTGAAGCGAGCTGAGATTGTGTCACTGAACTCCAGCCTGGGCAACAGAGCAAGACTCCATCACAAAAAAAAGAAAAGAAAATAGGGTCACTGCAGATCTAATTACAAAGAGGTCATATTGGAATAGCGTGAACCTTAAATCGAGTAATAATGGCATCCTCATGGGAAGAGAAGAAGAGACAGAGACACACAGGGGAGAAGGCCACATGAGAATGAAGGAAGAGAATGGAATGATGTGGACACAAGCCAAAGAATGCCAGCAACCACCAGAAGCCAGAAGAGGCAAGGAAGGATTCACCCCTAGAGCCTTCAGAGGGAGCATGGCCCTGCGGGTTTCACACATCAAGCTTCTGGAACTGGAGAGAATGACTTTCTGTTGTCCTGAGCCACCCATTTGGGGAACTCTGTTAGAACAGTCACAGCCAGGTCATGTGCTCCTGGATGCATCTCAGGAATTAATAAGCACTGTCCTGGCCAGTCAGGGTTGCTCACCCCTGTAATCCCAGCACTTTGGGAGGCTGAGGTGTGTAGATCACCTGAGGTCAGGAGTTCGAGACCAGCCGGACCAACATGGAGAAACCCCATCTCTACTAAAAATACAAAAATTAGCTGGGTGTGGTGTTGTGCACCTGTAATCCCAGCTACTTGGGAGGCTGAGGTAAGAGAATCACTTGAACCCTGGAGGCAGAGGTTGCAGTGAACTGAGACTGCGCCATTGCCCTCCAGCCTGGGCAACAAGAGCAAAACTCCGTCCCCCCCAAAAAATAATAAGTACTGTCTTGACTGTGGTCATCAAAAATATTTGATTAAGGGTTAGCTAGAAAGCCTGACCCTTTCACAGACAGACGGAAGGGCCAAAAGAAAATAGATTGTTTGCAGTGGGGCAAGAAGGATAAGAATCCTATGGAAAAAAAAATAACAGAGGGATTTGTTTAGTGAGCGCTGGGGAGAGGCATTTGTTTTCTTGCTTGAAAAAGAAACACACGTTGGGTGCGGTGGCTAAAGCCTTAATCCCAGCACTCTGGGAGGCCAAGGTGGGTGAATCACCTAAGCTCAGGAGTTTGAGACCAGCCTGGCCAACACTGTGAAACCCCATCTCTACTAAAAAGACAAAAACAAAGAAAGAAAGAAATTAGCCAGGCACGGTGGTGGGCGCCTGCAATCCCAGCTACTCGGGTGGCTGAGGCAGAGAATCACTTGAACCTGGGAGGCAGAGGTTGCAGTAAGCCAAGATGGCATCACTGCACTCCAGCCTAGGCAACAAGAGTGAAACTCTGTCTCAACCAAAAAGAAAGAAAGAAAGAAAGAAAACCATAGTTTTAAGTCCACTCAGTGGAGTTTAAAAATACATTCCCATTGCACAGTGCTTTTGGAATCTTTTCTAAACTTCTGTTGCACATGGTCTAATTTGATCTTCATAGCAACTCCCTGAGGTGGATAGGGCAGGCCTTTCTGAACACCTATTTTCTAGTTTGCATTAAAAGAACGGAATTGGCTGGGACCAGTGCCTCATGCCTATAATCCCAAAACTTTGTGATACAGAAGGGAAGTGCTCAGAAGGGAAGAATGTGGTCCCTTTAAATGATATGGAAGTGAGGAAGGGAAGTACTGGGTAGAGGAGGGTGTGGTCCCTGGCTAGGGCTCCACCCCAGGGCCTGTGTCCACAGACCTAGGTGAGGACTGGCATTTTTGTTTTCCTGCCCAGATGTTGCATTTCCCAAGACCACCCTGGCTGCCACACCCCCATTCTGTGCCTATAAAAACCCTGAGACCCTAGCAGGCAGACACAGGCAGCTGGACTTTGAGAGGAGCACATCAGCAGAGGAACACAAGGGTGCTGGACTTCAACAGGAACGCACCAATGGGCACCGTCACACCGCAGGCCACTGACTGCAGAACAACGCAGAGTTTGGCTGGGATATTCGGAGAAGAGTCCGGCCACTCATCCAACTCCAGGGGTAAACCATCTCCCTTCTGGCACGCCCATCTGCTGAGAGATACTTCCACTCAATAAAACCTTGCACTCTCACGCCTGTAATCCCAGAACTTTGGGAGGCCGAGGCGGGCAGATCACGAGGTCAGGAGATCCAGACCATCCTGGCTAACACAGTGAAACCCCATCTCTACTAAAAATACAAAAAAATTAGCCAGGCGTGGTGGCGAGTGCCTGTAGTCCCAGCTACTTGGAAGGCTGAGGCAGGAGAATGGCGTGAACCCAGGAGTAGGAGCTTGCAGTGAGCTGAGATCACACCACTTCTGGTACACCAAGACAAGAACCCCGGGACAAAGAGAGCCCTCTCTCCTTGCAATAAGGCAGGGGTCTAATTGAGCCGACTAACACAAGCTACCTACAGACGGCTAAACTAAAAGAGCACCCTGTAACACACGCCCACTGGGGCTTCAACTATGAACATTCACCCCTGGACACTGCCATGGGTCTCCCTGCCTGTCTGCATGCTCTCCTAGAGGTTTGAGCAGTGGGGCACTGAATAAACGAACCACACCCGCATCGCATGCCCTTCGAGGGGGACAACAGAACTTTTCCCATTTCATCTGAGAGACCAAGGCAGGAGGATCGCTTGAGCCCATGTGTTTGAGACCAGCCTACACAACATAGCAAGACACCATCTCTACAAAAAAAAAAAAATAAGTAAACAAAAAAAAAGCATTAAAAATTAGCCAGCTGTGGTGGCACACACCTGTAGTTTCAGCTACTCAGGAGGCTGATGTGGAAGGATTGATTGAGCCCAGGAGATTGAGGCTGCAGTGAGCCAAGATTGAACCACTGCACTCTAGCCTGGGCGACAGAGTGAGACCCTGTTTCGACAACAACAAAAAGAATGGAACAAAATAACTTCTCAAATAGCTAGCAGAGGGAGATCTGGTTCTCAAATGCAGGTTTTCCAGGTTTCAATTCTTGTTTCTAGCAGTATTATGGAGAAACATGATCACTAATACATGAAGGAGAGGAGGTTTCAAGTTCTGATGAAAAGATGGTAAAGAGAGGAGTTAGTTGACTAGGAGCGACTAGGAATAGGAAGAAAACGCATGACACTACTTAGAGGAAAGAAGAAAAATAAGCATAGAGGTGACTGAGCAGACAGAAAGGACTTGGAAGAAGCGTGGCTGGCCCTGTCTCTAAATTTTTTCCCTTGCATTAGTAACTTCCCTGATGACTTGGATGAATCTTCTCTTCCAGGGTACCTAGTGCTCCCTTTCTGTCCACTTCTCCTTTCCCAGGGCCCATACAGTCTGGGAAAGCATGCTCTGCAGGCTTCTCATATCTTTCCTTCCTTAATCTGCCCCTAGCATCTCTACATAACCCATATACACCTGGAGTTCCACATGTTCCAGTCTTTGCACTGCAGTGAATTCAAAGAATGGTAGACTCTAGCTGGGCGCAGGGGCTCACACCTGTAATCCCAGCACTTTGGGAGGCTGAGGCAGGTGGATCACTTGAGCCCAGGAGTTCAAGACCAGGCCCGGCCAACATGGTGAAACCCCATCTCTACTAAAAATACAAAAATTAGCTGGGCTTGGTGGTACATGCCCAGTAGTCCCAGCTTCTAGGGAGGCTGAGGCAGAAGAATTGCTGGAACCCAGGAGGCAGAGG
The DNA here is from genome assembly GCF_000001405.40 of Homo sapiens. NCBI lineage: Eukaryota > Metazoa > Chordata > Mammalia > Primates > Hominidae > Homo > Homo sapiens. The sequence goes on along the minus strand of NC_000008.11, from coordinate 12,469,270 downwards.
TTGCAGTGAGCTGAGATCGTGCCACTGCACTCCAGCAGACTGGGCAACAGAGACCAGTCTCAAAAAAAACACAAAGACAAAACTAAACAAAAAAAAAAAAAAAAACGCGCACACACAAAAAAACAAAGGTAGACTCCAATAGGAAAAATTCACTCAAAAGCAACTCAAATAATTATTCAGTCAACCCAGTTCTATCTCAGTTCTTTATTATATATATAAACTTATTCTGTCCAGATTCCCTAGTTTTCTTTTTCTTATCTTTTTTGTTTTCTTTTGAGACAGGACCTCACTCTGTCACCCAGGCTGGAGTATAGTGGCACAATCATGGCTCACTGCAGCCTCAACCTCCTGGGCTGAAGTAGTTCTCCCACCTCAGCCTCCCAAGTAACTGGAACTACAGGTGCATGCCACCATGCTCAGCACCTTTTTGTATTTTTTGTAGAAACGGGGTCTCGCTATGTGGGCCAGGCTGGTCTTGAACTCCTGGACTCAAGAAGTCCGCCTGCCTCAACCTCCCAAAGGGCCAAGATTACAAGCATGAGCCACTGCATCTGGCTGATTCCTTAGTTTTCTTTTTCTCTTTGCCCATTGCCTGGATTCCATAAGCAGAAGGAAAACCCAGGGACTGACTTGTAGGCAAGACCCTTTCCTCTTCAAAACATAAATTGGCTCAAGTGGTACCAAAACTGAAACATGTTTATAACTTAACATCTTTTCTTCCTACCCCTTCAATCTCTTGAGCAATGAGAAAAGGCACTGGGCTCTTTATTTGTGTAGGGAAAAGAAAGAGAGATCCGACTGTCACTGTGTCTATGTCGAAAGGGAAGACATAAGAGACTCCATTTTGAAAAAGACCTGTACTTAAAACAATTGCTTTGCAGAGATGTTGTTCATTTGTAGCTTTGCCCCAGCCACTTTGCCCCAACCACTTTGACCCAACTTGGAGTTCACAAAAACATGTGTTGTATAAAATCAAGGTTTGAGGGATCTAGGGCTGTGCAGGATGTGCCTTGTTAACCAAATGTTTACAAGCAGTATACTTGGTAAAAGTCATTGCCATTCTCTAGTCTCAATAAACCAGGGGCACAATACACTGTGGAAAGCCGCAGGGACCTCTGCCCTTGAAAGCAGGGTATTGTCCAAGGTTTCTCCCCATGTGATAATCTGAAATATGGCCTCGTGGGATGAGAAAGACCTGACTGTTCTTCAGCCCGATACCCATAAAGGGTCTGTGGTGAGGTGAATTAGTAAAAGAGGAAAGCCTCTTGCAGTTGAGATGGAGGAAGGCCACTGTCTCCTGCCTGCCCCTGGGAACTCAAAGTCTCGATGTAAAACCCGATTGTACATTTGTTTAAGTCTGAGATCGGAGAAAAGCTGCCCTGTGATGGGAGGCAAGACATGTTTGCAGCAATGCTGCCTTGTTATTCTTTACTCCACTGAGATTTTTGGGTGGAGAGAAACATAAATCTGGCTTACGTACACGTCCAGTCATAGTACCTTCCCTTGAACTTAATTATGATATAGATTCTTTTGCTCACATGTTTTTTGTTGACCTCCTTATTATCACCCTGCTTTCCTAGTATATTCCTTTTTGCTGAAATAATGAAAATCATAATCAATAAAAACTGAGGGAACTCAGAGGCCGGTGCCTGTGCATGTCCTTGGTGTGCTGAGTGCCGGTCCCCTGGACCCACTGATGTTTCTCTATACTTTGTCTCTGTGTCTTATTTCTTTTCTCCGTCTCTCATCCCACCTGACTAGAAATACCCACAGGTGTGGAGGGGCAGACCACCCCTTCATCTGGAGCCCAGCGTGGGGCCCTTCTCTAGGGTGAAGGTACGCTAAGAACGTGAGCATTGAGGACAGCCGACGAGAGATTCCCGAGTACGTCCACAGTCAGCCTTGCGGTTAGCTTGTGTGCTGGGAGGAATCCAGGATAACAATGGGGCAAACTGAAAGTAAATATGCTTCTTATCTCAGCTTCATTAAAATTCTCTTAAGAAGAGGGGGAGTTAAAGCTTCTACAGAAAATCTAGTTACGCTATTTCAAACAATAGAACAATTCCGCCCATGGTTTCCAGAAAAGGGAACTTTAGATTTAAAAGATTGGGAAAAAAATGGCAAAGAACTAAAACAAGCAATTAGGGAAGGTAAAATCATCCCACTTACAGTATGGAGTGATTGGGTCACTATTAAAGCAACTTTAGAACAATTTCATATAGAAGAAGATAGGGTTTCAGTCTTTGATGCCCCTGAAAGCTGTGTAATAGATTGTGAAGAAGAGGCAGGAACAGAGTTTAAGAAAGGAATGGAAAGTTCACATTGTAAAAATGCAGTAGAGCCTGTACTGACTTGGTCAATGCAGAATGTTGACTATAATCAATTACAGGAGGTAATATATCCTGAATCATCAAAATTGGGGGAAGGAGGTCCAGAATTATTTGGGCCATCAGAGTTTAGACCACGATGGCCACCAACTCCTTCTCCCGCGGTTCAGATGCCTGTGATGTCACAATCTCAAATGCCAATCCAGGCACAGTATCCGCAATACCAGCCAGTAGAAAATAAAACCCAACCATCGGTAGTTTATCAACACCAGCCGCCAGCCGCATTTCAGTATCCGCCGTCTCCAGAGGTTCAGTATGGATCTCAGGCGGTGCGTCCTGTGGCAAATAGCAAGGCACTATATCAACAACCCACGGCGATGGCGTTTGATCTTACGGTACCACCTAGTGGACAAGATAGTGCACTGCATGAGACCATTGCTACAGCCAGAAAACAGGGAGATCTTGAGGCATGGCAATATCCGGTAATGTTACAACAGATGCCGGCCGGGAAAGGCAGTCAAGCAGGAGTTAAACAATATGGACCTAACTCTCCTTATATGAGAATATTATTAAATTCCATTGCTCATGGAAATAGACTTATTTCTTATGATTGGGAAATTCTGGCTATATCTTCCCTTTCACCCTCTCAGTATCTCCAGTTTAAAACCTGGTGGATTGATGGGGTACAAGAACAGGTACGAAAAAATCAGGCTACTAATCCTGTTGCTTATATAGATGAAGACCAATTGCTAGGAAGAGGTCCAAACTGGGACACTATTAATCAACAATCAGTAATGAAAATGAGGCTATTGAACAACTATAAGGGCTATTTGCCTCAGGGCCTGGGAAAACATTCAGGACCCAGGAACCTCATGCCCTTCTTTTAGTTCAATCAGACAAGGCTCTAAAGAGCCATATCCAGACTTTGTGGCAAGGTTGCAAGATGCAGCTCAAAAATCCATTGCAGGTAACGCCCGAAAAGTTATTGTAGAAATAATGGCTTATCAAAACGCAAATTCAGAGTGTCAATCAGCCATAAAGCCATTAAGAGGAAATGTTTCAGCAGGAGTTGATGTAATTACAGAATATGTGAAGGCTTGTGATGGGATTGGAGGAGCTATGCATAAGGCAATGCCATTGGCTCAAGCAATTACAGGGGTTGCTATAGGAGGACAAGTTAAAACATTTGGGGGAAAATGTTATAATTGTGGTCAAATCGGTCATCTAAAAAAGAATTGCCCGGGCTTAAATAAACAGCAAAAAAAAAAAAAAAAAAAAGAGCCACCTGGCCTGTGTCCAAGATGTGGAAAAGGAAAACATTGGGCTAAGGCATGTCGTTCTAAATTTGATAAAAAGGGACAACCATTGTCGGGAAACGGCAAGAGGGGCCAGCCCCAGGCCCCGCAACAAAGTGGGGCATTCCCGATTCAGCCATTTGTTCCTCAGGGTTTTCAGGGACAACAACCCCCACAGTAAATACCACCATTTCAGGAAATCAGCCAATTACAATACGACAATTATCCTCTGCCACAGCAGGCAGTGCTGCAGTAGATTTATGTTCTACTCAAATGATTTCTTTACTCCGTGGAGAGCCCCTGCAAAAGATTCCTACAGGGGTATATGGCCCGCTGCCACAAGGGATGGTAGGCCTTATTTTAGGAAGATCTAGTCTAAATTTGAAAGGAGTTCAAATTCATACTGGGTAATTGACTCAGATTATAAAGGGGAAATTCAGTTAGTGATCAGCTGTACTGTTCCCTGGAGTGCCAATCCAGGTGATAGAATTGCTCAATTACTGCTCTTGCCTTATATTAAAATTGGGGATAGCAAAACAGAAAGAACAGGAGGGTTTGCAAGTACCAACACTGCTGGAAAAGCTGTTTATTGGGCTAGTCAGCTCTCAGAGAATAGATCTGTGTGTACAGTTACTATTCATGGAAAACAATTTGAAGGATTAGTGGATACTGGGTCTGATGTTTCTATCATTGCCTTAAATCAATGGCCAAAAAATTGGCCTAAACAAAAGCCTGTTACAGGACTTGTTGGTGTGGGCACTGCCTCAGAAGTGTATCAAAGTGCCAGGATTTTACATTGTCTAGGACCTGATAATCAAGAGAGTACAGTTCAGCCTATGATTACTTCTATTCCAATTAATTTATGGGGCCGAGACTTATTAGAACAGTGGCATGCAGAGATTACTATTCCAGTCTCTCTGTACAGCCCCACGAGTCAAAAAATCATGACTAAAATGGGATAGCTCCCTGGCAAAGGACTAGGGAAAAATGGAGAAGGCATTAAAGTTCCAATTGAGGCTAAGGGAAATCCAGAAAGAAAAGGACTAGGGTATCCTTTTTAGGGGTGGCCACTGTAGAGCCTCCAAAACCCATTTCATTAACTTGGAAAACAGAAAAGCCTGTATGGGTAAATCAGTGGCCACTACCAAAACAAAAGCTGGAGGCCTTACACTTATTGGCAAAATAACAATTAGAAAAGGGACATATTGAGCATTCATTTTCGCCTTGGAATTCTCCTGTGTTTGTAATTCAGAAAAAATCAGGCAGATGACGCATGCTAACTGATTTAAGAGCCGTTAATGCAGTAATTCAACCCATGGGGCCTCTCCAACCTGGGCTGCCCTCTCCAGCCATGATCCCCAAAGACTGGCCTTTAATTATAATTGATCTGAAGTATTGCTTTTTTACCATTCCTCTGGCAAAACAGGATTTTGAAAAATTGGCTTTCACTATACCAGCCATAAATAATAAAGAACCAGCCACTAGATTTCAGTGGAAAGTGTTGCCTCAGGGAATGCTTAATAGTCCAACTATTTGTCAGACTTTTGTAGCTCAAGTTCTTCAACCAGTTAGAGACAAGTTTTCAGACTGTTATATCATTCATTATGTTGATGATATTTTGTGTGCTGCAGAAACAAGAGACAAATTAATTGACTGTTACACATTTCTGCAGACAGAGGTTGCAAACGCAGGCCTGACAATAGCATCTGATAAGATTCAGATCTCCACTCCTTTTCATTATTTGGGAATGCAGGTAGAGGAGAGAAAAATTAAACCACAAAAAGTAGAAATAAGAAAAGACACATTAAGAACATTAAATGACTTCAAAAATTGCTAGGAGATATTAATTGGATTCGGCCAACTCTAGGCATCCCTACTTATGCCATGTCAAATTTGTTCTCTATCTTGAGAGGGGATCCAGACTTAAATAGTAAAAGAATATTAACTCCAGAGGCAACTAAAGAAATAGAATTAGTTGAAGAAAAATTTCAGTCAGCAAAAGTAAATAGAATAGATCACTTAGCCCCACTCCAACTTTTAATTTTTGCTACTGCACATTCTCCAACAGGCATTATTGTTCAAAATACAGATCTTGTGGAGTTGTCATTCCTTCCTCACAGTACAGTTAAGACTTTTACATTGTACTTAGATCAAATGGCTACATTAATTGGTCAGGCAAGACTATGAATAGTAAAATTGTGTGGAAATGACCCAGATAAAATCATTGTTTCTTTAAACAAGGAACAGGATAGACAAGTCTTTATCAATTCTGGTGCAGGGCAGATTGGTCTTGCTGATTTTGTGGGAATTATTGATAATCATTACCCAAAAGCAAAAATCTTCCAGTTTTTGAAATTGACTACTTGGATTTTACCTAAAATTACCAGACAAAAACCTCTAGAAAATGCTCTGACGGTGTTTACTGATGGTTCCAGCAACGGAAAAGTGGCTTACACTGGGCCAAAAGAACAAGTCATTGAAACTCAATATCACTCAGCTCAAAGAGCAGAATTGGTTGCTGTCATTTCAGTGTTACAAGATTTTAATCAGCCTATTAACATTGTTTCAGATTTTGCATATTTAGTACAGGCTACAAAAGATGTTGAGACAGCCCTAATCAAATATAGTATGGATGATCAGTTAAATCAGCTGTTTAAATTGTTACAACAAACTGTAAGAAAAAGAAATTTCCCATTTTATATTGCTCATATCCGAGCACATACTAATTTACCAGGGCCTTTAACTAAGGCAAATGAACAAGCTGACTTGCTAGTATCATCTGCCTTCATGAAAGCACAAGAACTTCAGGCCCTGACTCATGTAAATGCAACAGGATTAAAAAACAAATTTGATATCACATGGAAACAAGCAAAAAATGTTGTACAACATTGTGCTCAGTGTCAAGTCTTACACCTGCCCGCTCAAGAGGCAGGAGTTAATCCTAGAGGTTTATGTCCTGATGCATTATGGCAAATGGACGTCACACATGTACCTTCATTTGCAAAATTGTCATTTGTCCATGTGACAGTTGATACTTATTCACATTTCATATGGGCAACCTGCCAGACAGGAGAAAGTACTTCCCATGTTAAAAGACATTTATTATCTTGTTTTGCAGTCATGGGATTTCCAGAAAAAATTGAAACAGGTAATGGGCCAGGATACTGTAGTAAAGCATTTCAAAAATCCTTAAATCAGTGGAAAATTACACATACAACAGGAATCCTTAATTTCCAAGGACAGGCCATAATTGAAAGAACTAATAGAACACTCTAAGCTCAATTGGTTAAACAAAAGAAGGAAAAAGTAAGGAGTATAATACTCCCCAGATGCAACTTAATCTAGCACTCTATACTTTAAATTTTTTAAATATATATAGAAATCAGACCACTACTTCTGCAGAACAACATTTTACTGGTAAAAAGAACAGCCCACATGAGGGAAAACTGATTTGGTGGAAAGACAACAAAAATAAAACATGGGAAATAGGTAAGGTGATAACATGGGGGTGAGGTTTTGCTTGTGTTCCAACAGCAGAAAATCAGCTTCCTCTTTGGGTACCCACTAGACATTTGAAGTTCTACAATGAACCCATCAGAGGTGCAAGGGAAGGCACCTCCGCAGAGACAGAGAACCCGCAATCGAACATCATCGACTCGCAGGGTGAACGAAATGGTGATATCAGAAGAACAGATGAAGTTGCCATCCACCAAGAAAGTGGGGCCGCCGACCTGGGCCCAGCTAAAGAAGCTGACACAGTTAGCTGAAAAAAGCCTGGAAAACACAAGGGTAACACAAACTCCAGAGAATATGCTACTTGCAGATTTAATGATTGTATCAACGGTGGTAAGTCTCCCTATGTCTTCAGGAGCCGCTACAGCTAACTATACTTACTGGGCCTATGTGATTTTCCCACCCTTAATTCGAGCAGTCACTTGGATAGATAATCCTATTGAAGTATATGTTAATAACAGTGCATGGGTACCAGGCCCCACAGATGACCGTGGCCCTGCCCAACCTGAAGAAAAAGGAATGATGATAAACATTTCCATTGGGTATCATTATCCTCCTATTTGCCTGGGAAAAGCACCAGGATGCTTAATGCCTACAATCCAAACTTGGTTGATAGAAGTACCTACTGTCAGTGCCACCAGTAAATTTACTTATCATATGATAAGAGGAATGTCGCTCAGGTCACAAATGAATAATTTACAGAATTCTTCCTATCAAAGATCATTAAAATTTAGGCCTAAAGGGAAACCATGCCCCAGGGAAATTCCAAAAGAATCAAAAGACCCAGTAGTCTTAGTTTGGGAAGAATGTGTGGCTGATACTGCAGTGGTACTACAAAACAATAAATTTGAAACTATTATAGACTAGGCCCCTCAATGCCAATTATATTATGACTGTATGGGCCAGACCCACTCATGTTCACAGGCTCCATGTGTCTGGCCCACTAATCCGGCCTGTGATAGTGATTTAACTAAAAGGCTAGACCAGGTTTATAGAAGGCTAGAATCACCCTATCCATGGAAATGGGGTGAAAAGAGGATTTCATCACCCCGACCAAATTTAGTTAGTCCTGTTTTTGGTCCTGAACACCCAGAATTATGGAAGCTCACTGTGGCCTCGTACCACATTAGAATTTGGTCTGGAAATCAAGTTATGGGAACAAGAAATCATAAGCCATATTAACTATTAACCTAAATTCCAATCTGAAAATTCCTTTGCAAAGTTGTGTAAAACCCCCTTATATGCTAGTTGTAGAAAACATAGCTATTAAACCAGATTCCCAAACTACAACCAGTGAAAATTGTAGATTGTTTACTTGCATTGATTCAACTTTTGATTGGCAGAATGCTATTCTGTTAGTAAGGGCAAGAGAAGGCGTGTGGATCCCTGTGTCCATGGATCGACCGTGGGAGGCTTCTCCATCCGTACATACCTTAAGTATTAAAAGGAGTTCTAATTAGATTTAAAAGATTCATTTTTACTTTGATTGCAGTGATTATGGGTCTTATTGCAGTCACAGCTACTGCTGCGGCTGCTGGAATTGCTTTACACTCCTCTGTTCAAACTGCAGAATATGTGAATAATTGGCAAAAGAATTCCTCAAAATTGAGGAATTCTTAGACTCAAACAGGTCAAAAATTGGCAAATCAAATTAATGATCTTAGACAAACTGTTATTTGGATGGGAGATAGGCTCATGAGCTTAGAATATCTTTTTCAGTTACAGTGTGACTGGAATATGTCAGATTTTTCTATTACACCTCGAGCCTATAATGAATCTGAACAGCACTGGGACATGGTTAGACGCCATCTACAAGGAAGATAAGATAATCTTACCTCAGATATTTCTAAATTGAAAGAACAAATTTTTGAAACATCAAAAGCCCAGTTAAATCTGGTGTCAGAAACGGAGGCAATGGTAAAAGCTGTTGATAGCCTCACAAATCTTAACCCTGTCACTTGGGTTAAAACCATTGGAAATTCCACTATTGCAAATTTTGTATTAATTCTTGTATGTCTGTCCTCTCTATTGTTAGTCTACAGGTGTATCCAGCAGCTCCGGAGAGACAGCGACCAGCGAGAAGGGGCCATGATGACCATGGCGGTTTTGTCAAAAAGAAAAGCGGGAAATGTAGGGAAAAGAGAGAGATCAGACTGTCACTGTGTCTATGTAGAAAGGGAAGACATAAGAGACTCCATTTTGAAAAAGACCTGTACTCTAACAATTGCTTTGCTGAGATGTTGTTCATTTGTAGCTTTGCCCCAGCCACTTTGCCCCAGTCACTTTGCCCCAACTTGGAGTTCACAAAAACATGTGTTGTATAAAATCAAGGTTTGAGGGATCTAGGGCTGTGCAGGACGTGCCTTGTTAACCAAATATTTACAAGCAGTATACTTGGTAAAAGTCATTGCCATTCTCTAGTCACAATAAACCACGGGAACAATGCACCGTGGAAAGCCGCAGGGAGCCCTGCCCTTGAAAGCAGGGTATTGCCCAAGGTTTCTCCCCATGTGATAGTCTGAAATATGGCCTCGTGGGATGAGAAAGACCTGACTGTCCCCCAGCCTGACACCCGTAAAGGGTCTGTGCTGAGGCGGATTAGGAAAAGAGGAAAGCCTCTTGTAGTTGAGATGGAGGAAGGCCACTATCTCCTGCTTGCCCCTGGGAACTGAATGTCTCGGTGTAAACCCGATTGTACATTTGTTCAAGTCTGAGCTAGGAGAAAAGCTGCCCTGTGGCGGGAGGCGAGACATGTTGCAGTAACGCTGCCTTGTTATTCTTTACTCCACTGAGATGTTTGGGTGGAGAGAAACATAAATCTGGCCTACGTGCAAGTCCAGTCATAGTACCTTCCCTTGAACTTAATTATGATATAGATTCTTTTGCTCACATGTTTTTTGTTGACCTTCTCCTTATTATCACCCTGCTCTCCTATTACATTCCTTTTTGCTGAAATAATGAAAATCATAATCAATAAAAACTGAGGGAACTCAGAGGCCAGTGCACGTACAAATCCTGGTGTGCTGAGTGCCGGTCCCCTGGACCCACTGTTGTTTCCCTGTACTTTGTCTCTGTGTCTTATTTCTTTTCTCCGTCTCTCATCCCACCCGACTAGAAATACCCACAGGTGTGGAGGGGCAGGCCACCCCTTCAATTTGGTGACACATGGCCTGTGGCCTCAAAGAACACTGACACCCCGGTAACATCCATTCAAAGGGGTTCTCCGTACCTCCCCTCCTTTATCCCCAAGGTCTCTGGGTCAGAGATCACTGAGTCATTCACAACATGATGTTTAACACCGAGATGCTCTGGAATTGCTCCTTCAAGACGACTCAGAAGAAGACCCAGTGCTGAGACAATCGTGTTCTCTCTCTCTCTGGATCACTGCCCAGAGACAAGGACTGCCAGAGACCCTGGCTTCCCCAGCTGCTGCCTCCCATTCCTGCGCCTGTGGGATGAGAGATCGAAGCTGTGTGACCTTGACCAAGTTACTTACCCTCTCTAAGCATATGTTTCCCTAAATGTGAAATAGGATGATGGTGATGTGTTTATTTCACAGATTTGATAGAAGGATTAAATGAGAGATGCATCAAAAGCAGTGGGCACAGGGTCAATGCTCAGTGAGCTTTCTCTTTTCTTATCAATAGACAGGTCTCCATGAGGACAGAGACTGGCTTCATCTTGACTGTAGCCTCAGGGCTGGCCACAGTGTCTGCACCCAGCAGGACTTCAGTAAATATCTGTTTATACACTAACCACAGACTTAGGCATAAAAGCCCTTTGGAAGAAAGTTGACCATTTCATGCACCTTCAGACTATGAAGAGCAATGATGACAACTTTAGCTCGAGAGGCTCTCAGTGCTCTTTCATCACCACTGTGAAAAGGCAGAAACCAGAGCTGTGTGTTTAACTCTCAGCCCCAAAACCTGTTGGCTTTGCTTTATCACTATGAACTTCCAATGCCATCCCTTTAGAATGAGACCTCTCTCTTCTTCCCCAAGGCACCAGCCTTCACCCTAGACCTCTCCTTATTAGCTGGTTCCTCCTGTCTGTACTCTGAGCCCATGCTGTGCTCGTCAGATAGCAACAAGGGAGAATACAGCAGCCCAGAATGCAGGCTGCAGAGTTAGATCCCCAGAACAGGATCTCAGCCGGCTCCATCCTTCCTCAGCTGGGCGACCGTGGCCATTGACTTCCTCTCTGTGCCTCAGTTGCTCCATCTGTGAAATGACGATTGTCATAGTCCCTGCTTCAAAGAGTCACTGGGAGGATTAACTGAGAAAATGCAGGGAAGGTGCTTGGAACTAAATGCTCCAAAAAAGTCCATCTGGCCAGGCACGGTGTCTCACGCCTGTAATCCCAGCACTTCGGGAGACTGAGGCAGGTGGATCACTTAGGTCAGGAATTCAAGACCAGCCTGGTCAACATGGCAAAACCCCGACTCTACTAAAAATACAAAAATTAGCCAGGCATGGTGGCAGGCACCTGTAATCTCAACTACTTGGGAGGCTGAGGCATGAGAATCTCTTGAACCTGGGAGGCAGAGGTTGCAGTGAGCCGAGATGGTGCCAAGGCACTCCAGCATGGGCAACAAGAGCAAAACTCTGTCTCAAAAAAAAAAAAAGTCCATCATTCTTATTAATGGAGGACAAATCATCTCAGTGCTTCTTTGGCTGATCAGTACCCTCAAAGCTAGTGTTATCCAATAGACCAGAGGTCCCCATCCCCCAGACCACAGACCAGTAGCGGTCTGTGGCCTGTTAGGAACTGGGCTGCACAGAAGGAGGTGAGCAGTGAGCTAATGAGTGAAGCTTCATCTGTATTTACAGCTGCTCCCCATGGCTAGCGTTACCGCCTGAGCTCTGTCTCCTGTCAGATCAGCAGTGGCATTAGATTCTGATAGGAGCACCAACCCTATTGTGATCTGCATGTGGAAGGGATCTAGGTTGTGTGCTCCTTATGAGAATCTAATGCCTGATGATCTGTCACTGTCTCCCACCACCCGAAGATGGGATTATCTAGTTGCAGGAAAACAAGCTCAGGGCTCTCACTGATTCTACATTATGGTGAGTGGTATAATGATTTCATTATATATTATAATGTTCATAACAATAGAAATAAAGTACACAATAAATGTAATGTACTTGAATCATCCTGAAACTTCCCCCAACAAGTACACGGAAACTGGTCCTTGGTGCTAAAAAAAAATTGGGGACCACTGCAATAGACTATTCAGTCATGGTCCAATCAAACATTCTGCAATGGTGGGCTTGCTCTACTCTGCACTGTCCAACATGGGAGGTGCTAGCCGCCCACATGGGCTGTTGAGCCCTTGAAATGTGGCTGGTGAGAATGAAGAACTGAATTTTCAATTTTCTCTTAATTTTTTTTTTTTTTTTTTTCAGACAGAGTCTCACTCTATCCTCCAGGCTGGAGTGCAGTGGTGCAATCTCATCTCACTGCAACTTCCATCTCCCAGGTTCAAGCAATTCTCCTGCCTCAGCCTCTTGAGTAGCCAGGATTACAGGAACCCGCCATCATGCCCGGCTAATTTTTGTATTTTTGTAGATACGAGATTTCACCATGTTGGCCAGGCTGATCTTGAACGCCTGACCTCAGGTGATCTGCCCAACTTGGCCTCCCAAAATGCTGGCATTACAGGTGTGCCACCATGCCTGCCCTTAATTCATTTCTAAATCACAAAATCTAAACAGTAAGTGGATAGGAGCTACCATAGTGTACAAGGCAGCTGTAGAATCACAGGAAATTGTCAATGACCCTGTCCTGCTTCAAGTTGACTTTTCTCCCTCATGGTGAGACTCTAGATTCTTTCCTCTTCTCTCACATTTTTTAGACTTTCAGGCTTAGACCATGAAAATAAGTTCTGTCCTTCCAAGAAAATAACGTTCATAACACTTACTGTATACCAGGCTGATTTCAGTGCTTTACATGTATTAATTTACAACAACTCTGAGGCACAAGCTGTGATTATGCCCATTTAACAGATGACAAAACTGAGGCACAAAGCAGTGCTGGAACTTCTCAAAGTCACACAGGTAGCAGGAGGCAGAGCTCGGATTTGAACTCACTTTGGGTTCAGCAACTCACAGCTCTCACCTATGACATAATATTACTTCTGTGGTTAAAACACTTAGACCTGGATTTTACAGGAATCTTGTGCTTGCCTGGCTGCTAGGGAGGTTTTCATCATCTTCCTTATCTCACAGTTCAAAACCCAGGGCCTCCAAGCTCTTGCTACGGTGGCTGTTCACTGGCAGGAGGCTTCTGGGAAGGTTCTCCTTTTCTGTCATTTTTCTTATTCGTCTTTTTTTGTCTCATTGGTGTTTATTCGCAGAACTTTGTTTCCTTCTGCTCAATTCATAATCAGAGTGCTTTTCCTCCTGGCTGAATTCATAAGTGTTTGTGCAAAAAGAGGTTGGCGCAGAGCCAGGCGACTGACGACACCCGGCTCATCTGGCAAGTGGATATCAAATTGTTGTATCTCGTTCTGCCATTCACAGCTCCTGCTGTGGGGCTGGGTCATCTGCCAGCTCTCCAAGGAGCTGGCGGGAAACCGCTGCAATCAGAGCGAACCCAGGGCCCGGGTGAGCCCGCCTCCGCACAGCACTCCAGCTGCCCCCAGTGCCTTTTGGGGACACATCTGCTTTGCCAGGCAGGGCTGTGGGAGGGCCGCCTGTCTCCTGTCCATCACAGGGAAAACCTACCCTTGTCCCGCGTCCCTTCCAGGCAGCCTGTGTGGAGCTTGCTGCATTCACCTTTAATATGGCTAAAATGTTTTCCTTCAATGACAGTAATGCTGCCAGAACCCATCAAGACACCCAGGAACTGATGTGCCTTGGCAGATGATGCTGGAAAAATGGGATTCCCGGCAGCCTTTGCATCCCTTGCTCACAGCCCACAAGCATCTCCACTGTCCAGCAGGTCAGGGCACGGTCTCTCTCTCTAGCTCTGTGTCTCTCTCTCACGGTCTTTCTCATGGTCTCTGTCTCTCACGATCTCTCTCTCTCATAGTCAGGGCAGAAAGAGAGAGAGTCCATCTGGAGCAGACTCGGATTTTAAATGAGTGTCACCGATAATTTAACACGATCAATGGCTGAGGTATTTCACCAAGTTCAGGAGTCCCAGTTCTCAGAGAGAGGCAGCCAGCCATGACTGTAAGACCTGGGCAAACCGTACAAACCAGACAGCAGGTCTCACCGCTCCCCAGAGAGCTCCAGAGAATATCAAAGAGTGAAACAGCAGAGGGATGGTCTGGGTGGGGTCATCGTGGCTGGCAAGGGCCTGTGACAGCACCTTGTTAGGCTACTCCCAAGAGGAAATTTGGAGAGAGGGTGGGAGGGCGGCTCTCAGTGCAAGCTAAGTCTCCTGGAAAGTAACTTCCAAGCTTTGGAGGATTGTGAGCAAGATGGGACCAACTTCTACCTAAAAGCAACTTCTACCTGAAAGAATGTTAATAGCAAGATAACTCATCCTAATGTTGGTCCAAGCTAGGTCTTTATTATGTATCATAAAGGCTCTGAGAATAACAATGTAACCTCCAAAAGGGCTGCGGGCTTTGAGGAATCTCAGGCAACTCGCTTCCTTCTGCTCAGTGACTCCCGTGGAGCACAGCAAAGCAAGGAAACACTTAGAGCCAAGCTTGAGTTCTGAATTTCAAATACAGGGAGTCCATCTCTTTCTACCCAATTGTTCCCTAGATGAGTAACTAACTCCTTCCCCATAACTGCACATATTTCCTACCAAAGCACAAGAGCGATGGGCTGTCCATGAGCCTCCCCAAAACATGTGCACCTTGTGACATAAATTCTGTCACCCAAAGAGACCAGACAAAATGTAAAACCAAAGTGGAGCCTTTCCTTGAATTATAGGTTCTAAAGAGTTTTGGACCCTCTACAAAACCCAAGAGTTAGGAATTGCCTGTAAGAAGCACCAGCTCTTGTTTTAAAGAGGCAATTTAAGAATAATAGCCATGCTGATGCCACACTATGCTAAGGGAGAATAATGAACCTAACAAAACAAGCGATTTTCCAATTGCCTTTGCTGCTGGAAACACTGATTATGCTAATTAAAGGGTAGAATAGTAAATAGCCACTCTTTTGCATCCAATTAAGTGTTCAGATTATTTCTCAGAAGTATTTGTTAAAAATAGCACTTCTGATAATCATGGGTCCCAAATAAACAGAGTCAAGTGCGGTGTGGTACATGTGTGAGTGTGTGTGTGTGCACACGTGTCTTTCTGGAGCTCATTTTATGGAGATCCAGCATAGCTCCCCAAATTCCTGTGAGAACAAATAAGAAAAATCACAGTCTTCTAAGACTACAGCTTGGGATATCTTTGGAAAAGGTGTGTATTGAGAACACAGCATATGGAAACTATTTCACGTTGGCAATGTCTGTGATTTAACATTGCAAATATTACAAATGAAACTGGTTCTTCAGAGTCACCTAAGTCCCTCATAATGGCAATATTAGCTTCTTCTAAATAATAAATTAGCCAGTCAAACTATGTTCTACAGCATGTTAGAAGTTTCATCCTTCTAGTCAATGTCACATTTCAAGACAAAGTCGATTTATATGTAAGTTAAAAGAAGTGCTGTCACTAAAAATTGAGAATTATGTCTAATGCCAATCAGAAATGGAATAAATAAGCATTAGAGGATTTGCAAGTGAAAGCAACCATAGAAATGCTATCATCAGGAAGGAAAATGTATTACCTGCAGAGGTTACAGATAAGACGTTAGAACCCAGAAGAGAAAGAATCTCTGTAAATATTTCCATTAAGTTAATCAAGAGTGGCTGGGTATGGTGGCTCATGCCTGTAATCCCAGGACTTTGGGAGGCCAAAGAGGGCAGATCACGAGGTCAGGAGTTCGAGACCAGCCTGGCCAACATGGTGAAACACTGTCTCTATTAAAAATACAAAAAATTAGCCGGGCGTTGTGGTATACACCTGTAATCCCAGCTACCCAGGAGGCTGAGGCAGGAGAATTGGTTTAATCCAGAAGGCAGAGGTTTCAGCTAGCTGAGATCACACCATTGCACTCCAGCCTGGGTGACAGATCATGGCTCCATTTTGAAAAAAAAAAAAAATAAAGAAAGAAAGAAAGTTAATCAGGGTGAGAATAGGATGAGTTTTTCACCCACAAAAAGACATGAGATTCATGCATTCTTTCAACATGCATTCCATCAATAGTGAGCACCTGCTCTGAGCTAGGCCCATTCCAGGTCTCAGGAAATGAGTAACCAACCAGACACGGCCCCTGATTTGGAGCTCACATTTTAGAGCAGCTAAATGGACAGTAAACAAGTAAGCAAATTAAGATCGTCTTAAATTGGGGGAAGTTCTTTAGAGAAGCACTTCCATAAAGCTGAATCGCATCATAGACTATGACTGCCAGGTGGTAGGGAAGGTAATATCTCACCTGCTTGTGGATAGCAGAGCTTCTGAGGCCTTGCAAAGTATTTAGTACTAAGATTTCTGTCTTAGGTCAAGTTCCCTAAAAGCAGAGACTGAGGCAGGGATTGAGTGCATGTAATTCATTCAGGAAGAAGTCTCAGGAGATAGGAGTAAGGAAAACAGGATATGGCAGGAAAGGAGCTAAGTGAGATGTGGTCTCAGCTGGAGACTGGCTCCAGTCTGATCTCACAGGGAGCTCCAGAGGATGAACTGCACCACCATGTTATCCCAGCCTAAGGTCTTTTGTTCTCCTGTGTCAGCCGGTCCTTGGCCAAGGGCTGCAGACTCTCTTGGGGCCCCAGCAGACCGGAGGAGAAGGAGCATGCTCTGTGGTCTACTCTTTTGTGCACATCCACCCACCACTTCCCCAGCTGACACTGCTGGAGGAGGAGAGGGAGAGATGTCATCTCCTTCTATGGCAACCTGTGGGGTGGCAATGGCCCTTTTCCTGTTGGGTGTAATCTGCTGCCATCTCCTGCTGTCTGCAGCCTGACACAGAAGGGTGAATGTCACCAGGTTCCACTGACAGGGGTCTTTGTCTCAAGCAGCAACCATAGGACCGAGGGTCCCTTGCAAGATTCAGCCACATTTCATGACTGTCTGCAACACACCCCATGCCTCTGATGGAAGGAACCCAATGCCCCATGCAGCACTCATTTCTGCCAGACTACAGTCCCTGATCTCAATTTCCCTCTGCAGTCCCCAACTCTGGGGTCTGCAGACAGATTTCAGATCCCTCCTTATACCTCCCAGGAGGCAGAAGCCAGAGGAAATAATCCTTGTCCCAATGCACCTGACCATGCCACCTCACTGCATGCTCTTTCTCCCTCTCCAGGAAAAATCAAGCTGGTTGAATACTAACCAATATGCCCACATGCATTTAGTCCCCATAACCACTTCTTGGGGCAGCATAACCATCCCCAAGTTACAGACGAGGAAACTGAGGAGAACATTTATATAACATGCATCTAAGTGGTGGACAAAGGATCTAACCAGGCCGTGTGGCACCAGAGCACACATTTTTGTTGTTCAGAGAGATGGGGTCTCTCTCTGTCCCTCAAATTGGAGTGCAGTGGCCTGATCATAGCTCAGTGCAGGCTTGAACTCCCAAGCTCCAGCAGTCTTCCCGCCTCAGCCTCCCGAGTAGCTGGGACTAGAGGCATTCACCACCAACCCAGCTAATTTTTAAAAAACATTTTTCTAGAGATAGGGTCTGATTCCAAACTCCTGACTTCAAGCGATCTTCCTGCCTCAGCCTCCCAAAGTGCTGATATTACAGTTGTGAGCCCCCGCGTCCAGCCCAGAGCAGATTTTTTTTTTTTTTTTTTTTTTTTTGAGATGGAGTCTCACTCTGTCACCCAGGCTGAAGTGCAGTGGCAAAATCTCGGCCCAGAGCACACTTTTAACCACCATATCATTCTGCCTCTGGGTAGGTTAGTCAAGCTCTGTAGCTGATCAGATGTCTGTAGAGAGAAAGAGACATCAATCTCCCCTTCTTCCAAACACCCCCAAATTTTACAAGTGATTTTCTCAGATCCCTCAGCATCAGGAATGGGGATGTGCAGGGCAGCCTGTCCCCTTCCCAACAGCCCAGCAGATATCCCAAGATTACATCTCATTGGCTCTGACTAGGACATGAGCCCAAAGCTGAACCAGTAGCTGTAGCCATGGCATGCAGCATCCTCGGTCCTCTGGCCAGGCCAGAGCTACATCCCACCTCTGGATCCCCGGGTTGAGTCAATAATCTCCAACCAGGCGCGGACTGAAGCTCAAGGGGGAGTCATAGTAATGTGACCCAGCCCACCAGGAAGTGGGTGCTGAGCAGGCAAGCATTCATCACCCACTGCACACACCAGGGAAGGCTTGTGGTGGCTTAGTCCCACCTGGGGGCAAAGAAAAGACTGCCTGCTCCATGCCAAAACGTGATGCCCAACACCGTATCTTAAAGCTAGCTGGCTTTGTAATCCCTGCTACTTGGAAGGCTGAAGCAGGAGAACCACTTGAATCCAGGAGGCGGAGGTTTCAGTGAGCCAAGATCACGCCAGTGCGCTCCAGCATGGGTGATAAGAGAGAAATTCTGTTTCCAAAAAAAATAAAAATAAAAATAAAAAAATAAAAAGCTAGCCTGCTTAATCCTCACAAAGATGCCATCTACTTTTTGGCATTCTAGATGTAGAAACACTGAGACGCTGAGAAACTCACCACCAGCCGGGAACGGTGTCTCATGCCTGTAATCCCAGCACTTTGAGAGGCTGAGGCAGGAGAATTACTTGAACCCAAGAGTTCAGGACCAGCCTGGGCAAATTAGCGAGACCTCATCTCTACAAATATTAAAAAAAAAAAAAAAATTAGGGCTAGGCGCGGTGGCTCACACATGTAATCCCAGCACTTTGGGAGGCCAAGGCAAGTGGATCACTTCAGCCCAGGGATTCGAAACCAGCCTGGCCAACACGACACAACTCTATCTCAACTAAAAATACAAAACTTAGCTGGGCATAGTGGCACATGTCTATAATCCCAGCTACTTGGGAGGCTGAGGCACGAGAATTGCTTGAACCTAGGAGTCAGAGGTTGCAGTGAGCTGAGATTGTGCCACTGCACTCCAACCTAAGTGACAGAGTGAGACCGTGTCTCAAAAACAACAAAAAAAAATATTGGTGTGGTGTCACATGCCTGTTGCCCCAGCTGCTCAAGAGGCTGAGGTAGCAGGATCACTTAAGCCCCGAAGTTCAAGGGTGCAATGAGCTATGATTGTACCCCTGCACCACAATGTATACATATATGTGTAGGTGTACACACACACATATACATGTGTATGTATATATGCGTGTGTACACACACACACATATACTTGTGTATGTATATATGCGTGTGTACACACACACACATATACATGTGTATGTATATATGCGTGTGTACACACACACATATACATGTGTATGTATATATGCGTGTGTACACACACACATATACATGTGTATGTATATATGCGTGTGTACACACACACATATACATGTGTATGTATATATGCGTGTGTACACACACACATATACATGTGTATGTATATATGCGTGTGTACACACACATATACATGTGTATGTATATATGCGTGTGTACACACACACATATACATGTGTATGTATATATGCGTGTGTACACACACACATATACATGTGTATGTATATATGCGTGTGTACACACACACATATACATGTGTATGTATATATGCGTGTGTACACACACATATACATGTGTATGTATATATGCGTGTGTACACACACATATACATGTGTATGTATATATGCGTGTGTACACACACATATACATGTGTATGTATATATGCGTGTGTACACACACATATACATGTGTATGTATATATGCGTGTGTACACACACATATACATATGTATATATGCGTGTGTACACACACACATATACATGTGTATGTATATATGCGTGTGTACACACACACATATACATGTGTATGTATGCGTGTGTATACACACACATATACATGTGTATGTATATATGTGTGTGTACACACACATATACATGTGTATGTATATATGTATGTGAGTATATGTACACATATATACATGTACATATGTGTATATATATGTGTGTATATATATATGTGTATATATATAAAAACACACATGCACAAATTCACCCCCACCAACTCAGAAATTACCGTCTCCTTCTATTCTAAGGAACTATTTTTCATATTGCCATCTCTGTAGTTGTAATACACCTTACAATCACTGGAATGTCACGGTCTCATTGACAGCATTTTTCTGCTCAGTAGCCCATAAAATAATAGTACATCTTGTAACTAACAGTGTTGTAGATGCTATGAGATCCTGGGGAAGCCCAGAATCTAACTCCACCCTGTCTGACTCCAAAGACCACATATTTCCTACACCTTTGGACAGGGGCACAGATGTAGACAACTCGAGCTTTGCTGATTGTGAGAAAGGTATGACAAATGGCCCTGATGGAATTTTCTTCTTGTACTTACAGGGGAACAGAGCGGCATCATTCCACTATTCCAGGGGAGGTGCTAAATATGAGGGTGAGGCTGTCAAGTGGTCCCTGGTGGATTCCTACACTCACCCAAGCAGCAACGAGACAGAGCGGAAGGAGAACATCGATATCGTCATGAACTGGTTCACCAAGGAAGACTTTGATTTTGTGACTCTGTGCTACAGAGAGCCAGATAACGTGGGACATCGATTCGGGCCAGAGGCAGAGAAAAGGAAGTTGATGATTCAGCAAATCGACAGGACCATCGGGTATCTGGTGGGAGCCACTGAGAAGCACAGCCTGCAGAGCACCTCAGCGTCATCACTACATGAGACCGTGGGATGACCACCGTAAAGAAGAGACCCAATGTCAACAAGATCCCCTTGTCCAACTACGTCAAGTTCAGGGACCTGGTCAAGTTTGATATTGTGCGCTACGGTGGCTTTGGGATGCCCCTGCCCAAGTTGGGGCAAGAGGAAGCCCTTTACCAGGCACTGAAGAATGCGCACCGTCACCTCCACGTCTACAAGAAGGAGGAGTTTCCAGAACACTTCCATATCGCTAAACATGACCGGGTTCTGCCAATCGTGATGTATGCCAACTCTGGTTACAGTATCAATGGGGTAAGTTCATTCTAAAATGAATAAAGTCACCTTAGATCTAGGAGACAACCATTAGGGAAGGGTGGTTCTGCAAAAATCAAACATTAGTGCACAGCCAGGCACGGTGGTTCACGCCTATAATCCTAGCACTTTGGGAGGCTGAGGCAAGTGTATAACCTGAGGTCAGGAGTTTGAGACCAGCCTGGCCAACATGGTGACACCCCAGCTCTACTAAAAATACAAAAATTAGCCGGGCGTGGTGGCGCGCATCTGTAGTTCCAGCTGCTCTGGAGGCTGAGGCAGGAGAATCGCTTGAACCTGGGAGGCAGAGGTTGCAGTGAGCCAAGATCATGCTACTGCACTCCAGTCTGGGCAATAGAGTGAGACCCTATCTCAAAAAAATATAATATAATATAATATAATATAATATAATATAATATAACATAACATAACATAACATAACATAACATAACATAACATAACATAACATAACATAACAAAACAAAACAAAATAAAATAAGTGCACACACTATGAGTTGTAGCCCACAGGGTCCTAAAGGTTCCCCACCCCCCGCCCAACCAATGCTGCGCCAAGTTACCGTTATACAAGATTAATGACCAATTCAACTTGATAAGGCTGATTTAAAAATAAAAATAAGGCTGGCCATGGTGGTTCACACCTGTAATCTCAGTGTTTTGGGAGGCCAAGACAGGAGGATTGCTTAAGGCCAGGAGTTCAAGACCAGCCCAAGCAACAAAGGGAGACGTCATCTCTACAAAAAACTAACAAATAAATAAATAGCCAGACATGGCGATGCATGCCTGTAGTCCCAGCTACTCAGGAGGCTGAGGTGGCAGGATTTCTTGAACCCAGGAGGTCAATCCTGCACTAAGCTGTGATTGCACTACTGCACTCCAGCTTGAGCAACAGAGCAAGACCCCGTCTCTAAAAAATAAATAAACAAATAATAAAAAATAAACACCAACTTCATTATTCAAAACTGTGCACAGCGCTTCACTAAACATTGAACAGCAGTTCTTTCATTTTTGTCGTCCCAACAACCCTATAAAATAGATGCTCTTAGTTCCGCCATTTTAAAGAAGAAATCAAAACGTAGAGAGAAGTGACTTGAGATTAAAAATGTAAGGTTGGGCTGGGTGCAGTGGCTCACACCTGTAATCCCAGCACTTTAGAAGGCTAACGTTGGTACATTGCTTGAGCCCAGGAGTTTGAGACCAGCCTAGGCAACACAGTGAAACACCATCTCTACGAAAAATGCAAAAAATGTAGCTGGGCGTAGTGGCACGTGCCTGTGGTCCCAGCAACTCAGGAGGCTGAGGTGGGAGAACTGCTCGAGCCCGGGGGTGTTGAGTCTGCAGTGAGCCATGATCACGCCACTGTGAGATAGGAGGCAGGACTTGACGACACAGGCAGGGCTTGGACACCAGACCAAATTAAGGACTACCTAAAACAGGGCTGGGGCAGAAGAAGCTTTCCATCAGACATGCCCACCAGTGTGCCATGTGAGTTTACTATTGCCAAGGCAACACCAGGGAGTTACTGCCCCTTTCCATGGCAATGACCCAATGACTCAAAAGTTACTACCCATTTTCTAGAAATTCCTGCATAAACTGCCCTTTAATCTGCATGCAATTAAAAGTGAGTATAAATGTGATTGCAAACTCTCTGCCGCTACTCTCTGCCACCAGGGTAGCCCTGCCCTACAGGAGCAGTCACAGGGCTGTAATGCTGCCTCTTCAATAAAGCTGTTTTCTTCTAAACCTCCGGCTTGCCCTTGAATTCTTTCCTGGGTAAAGACAAGAACCCTCAAGTGCTATTGAGAGGTGACAGCATGCTAGCAGCCCTCGCGCTCACTCTCGGCGCCTCCTCTGCCTGGGCTCCCACTTTGGTGGCACTTGAGGAGCCCTTCAGTGCACCGCTGCACTGTGGGAGCCCCTTCCTGGGCTGGTGGAGGCTGGAGCCGGCTCCCTCAGTTTGCGGGGAGGTGTAGAGGGAGAGGCGCGGGCAGGAACTTGGACTGGGCACGGCGCTTGTGGGCCAGTGCGAGTTCCGGGTGGGTATGGGCCCACTGGGCCCTGCACTCGGAGTGGCTCACCGGCCCCGATGGACCCGGGCAGTGAGGGGCTTAGCACCTGGGCCAGCAGCTGCTTTGCTCAATTTCTCACTGGGCCTTAGCTGCTTCCCTGCAGGGCAGGGCTCGGGACATGCAGCCCGCCATGCCTGAGACTCCACCCAACCCGCCGTGGGCTCCTGCGCGACCTGAGCCTCCCCGATGAGTACCGAGCCTCCCCGACGACCACAGCCCCCTGCTCCAGGGCACCCAGTCCCTTCGACCACACAAGGGCTGAGGAGTGCCAGCACAGGGCACGGGACTGGCAGGCAGCTCACCTGCGGCCCCCATGTGGGACCCACTTGCTGAAGCCAGCTGGGCTCCTGAGTCTGGTGGGGACTTTGAGAACCTTTATGTCTAGCTAAGGGATTGTAAATACACAAATTGTCACTCTGTATCTAGCTCAAGGTTTGTAAACACACCAATCAGCACCCTGTGTCTAGCTCAGGGTTTGTGAATGCACCAGTCGACACTCTGTATCTAGCTAATCTAGTAGGGATTTGGTGACCTTTTGTGTCTAGCTCAGGGATTGTAAATGTACCAATCAGCACCCTGTCAAAACAGACCAATAGGCTCACTGTAAAATGGACCAATCAGCAGGATGTGGGTGGGGCCAGAGAAGGGAGTAAAAGCAGGCTGCCCCAGCCAGCAGTGGCAACCCATTGGGGTCCGTTTCCACACTGTGGAAGCTTTGTTCTTTTGCTCTTTGCAATAAATCTTGCTGCTGCTCACTCTTTGGGTCCACACTGCCTTTATGAGCTGTAACACTCACCTCGAAGGTCTGCAGCTTCACTCCTGAAGCCAGCGAGACTATGAACCCACCGGGAGGAACAAACAACTCCAGACGCCCCACCTTAAGAGTTGTAACACTCACCTTGAAGGTCTGCAGCTTCACTCCTGAAGCCAGCGAGACCACAAAACCACCAGAAGGAAGAAACTCTGAACACATCCGAGCATCAGAAGGAACAAACTCTGGACACGCAGCCTTTAAGAACTGTGACACTCACCGCGAGGGTCCGCGGCTTCTTTCTTGAAGTCAGTGAGACCAAGAACCCACCAGTTCCGGACACACTATGCTCCACTTCGGGGCTCCCCTGCCCTGCGTCAACTGCACTCTGGCCTGGGTGGCAGAGAGAGAGACCCTATCTTTAAAAAAAGAAAGAATGTAAGGTTAAGTGCTGCCCCCAAGCCTGAGTGGCTGATCATTATACAGAGTACACGAAGATCACCAAAAACGTCACCACAGAGGCCCCCTGCCGCTGGTTCTCATTTGCCCATATCAAAAAATATGCAAGTCTGTTCATACAAAGACACACACAGATGCTCGTAGCAAAACTATTCATAATTATCAAAAGGTGGCAACAACGCAAATGCCCATCAACAGCAGATGAATAAGCAAACAAGTACAGTCCACCCGTGTGATGGAACATTAATCAGCCACAATATGGAATGAAGGGCTGATTCATGCTACAACCTGGATACACCTTGAAACCATTAGGCTAAGTGAGAGAAGCCAGACAAATATTAGATGATTATATATATATTATACACATATATATATATATATATATATATATATATATATATATGCCCAGAATATGAAAATCCAAAGAAACAGAAAGTAGATTAATGGTTGCCAGGAGCCAGGGGTGGGGATAGTCGGGGGAAATAAGGGGTGACTGCTAATGGATACAGGGTTTCTTCTGGGGTAATTAAAATTTCTAAAATTGATGGTGATGATGGCTGCAAAACTCTGAGAATATATTAAAAACCACTGAATTATGCACTTTATTTATTTATTTAGAGAGAGGGTCTGGCTCTGTTGCCCAGGCTGGAGTGCAGTGGTGCAATCTCTACTCACTGCACTCTCCACCTCCCAGGCTCAAACCATCCTCCCACTTCATCCTCCTCAGTAGCTGGGACTACAGACACACACCACCATGCCCAGCTAATTTTTTTGTATTTTTGGTCAAGACAGGGTTTTGCCATGTTGCTCGGGTTCATCTCAAACTCTTGGGTTCAAGCTATCCTCCCACCTCAGCCTCCCAAAGTGCTGGGATTACAAGTGTGAGCCACCATGCCCGGCCAAATGATACACTTTAAATGGGCAAATTGTATGGTATGTGAATTATCTTTCAATAAAGCTGTTATTAAAAAGCAGCTTTAAGGGCCAGGCATAAGGGCCATGCCTGTAATCCCAGAACTTTGAGAGGCCAAGGCAGGAGGATCACTTGAGCCCAGGAGTTCAAGACCAGCCTAGACAACATGGCAAAACCTGGTCTCTACAAAAAATTTAAAAATTAGGCTTGGCGTGGTGGCTCACGCCTGTAATCCCAGCACTTTGGGAAGCTGAGGTAGGTAGATCACTTGAGGTCAGGAGTTCAAGACCAGGCTGGCCAACATGGTGAAACCCTGTCGCTAATAAAAATATTTTTTAAAAATTAGCCAGGCATGGTGGTGGGTGCCGAGGCTGAGGCAGAAGAATGGTTTGAACCCGAGAGGTGGAGGTTGCAGTGAGACGAGATTACGCCACTGCACTCCAACCTGCTGGGTGACAGAGCGAAACTCCATTTCAAAAAAAAAAAAAAAAAAATTAATAATTAAAAATTAGCCAGGGGTGGTGGCTCCTGTTTGCAGTCCCAGCTACTCAGGAGGCTAAAGTGAGAGGATTGCTTGGGCCCAGGAGGTTGAGGCTGCAGCGAGCCAAGATTGTGTCACTGCACTCTGGCCTCAGCAACAGAACAAGACCCTGTTTCACAATTTTAAAAACAATTAAAAAACAAGCCTAAAGAAAACACAAAAACCAATGCTAACTGTGAGACATAAATGAGGTGGTCTATTTTTTGTTAACTACCAACTAACAATTCATGGCAGAAACAAAGTTTAAATGATGCTATAGCCGGGCGCTGTGGCTTATGCCAGTAATCCCAACACTTTGGGAGGCTGAGGCGGGTGGATCACCTGAAGTCAGGAGTTTGAGACCAGCCGGGTCAACATGGTGAAACTCCATCTCTACTAAAAGTACAAAAATTAGCCGGGCGTGGTGGCGGGTGCCTATAATCCCAGCTACTCGGGAGGCTTAGGCGGGAGAATCGCGTGAACCCCGGGGGGGCAGAGGTTGCAGTGAGCCAAGATCGCGCCATTGCACTCCAGCCTGGGCGACAGAGCGAAACTCCGTCTCAAAAAATAAATAAATAATGAAATAAATGATGCTATAAACCTCATGTGAGGGAAGACTGTCCCAGGTACAGCTTGAAGAACCCTGGCTGTGAATAAGAGCCAAATGCGATAATTCTGTTTGCAACTTGCTTGTTAGCTTGTTGCAACTCCACAGTGTAACAGGTATGAGAAAACTCATGGGGTTACTGTTTAGTGTTGGTGGAAATATTCACATTAAAATACAACAGTTTATCACCTAAGGTATATTTTATCCCTCAAGTGGCCCGGAACACTGTGATTACTGCACACCAATCGCATGCCCATAGCTAAGGCCTTGCCAAGGAGAAATTCCACAGTCACCTGGCCTATTTGTAAACCTGGTTTATGATGTTTTGTAACTGGATATCTTGACAGTAGCATGAGGACATTTAACGAGACAAGAACATTTCCCACTGACCAACCAGACAGTTTGAGGGAACAGGATGCTGTGCTCAGTTTAATCTTCTGCTGAACCGACCATTAGGCAGAAAATCCTTTGGGTCAATGCCTGTCACTGAATCCACTTCTCATCCTGTCCACCTGCCTGCTTTGCAGTGCAGAGTAAAGTGGGCCTTCCTTGGCTCTCTTCAGGGACCAATGTGCTTGAGGCCATCATGAGGACATTCATTCTTTTTTTTTTTTTTTTTTTTTTTTTTTTTTTGAGAGAGTCTCGCTCTGTCGCCCAGGCTGGAATGCAGTGGTGTGATCTCAGCTCCCCACTGCAACCTCTGCCTCCCAGGTTCAAGTGATTCTCCTGCCTCAGCCTCCTGAGTAGCTGGGATTACAGGCACGTGTCACCAGGCCCAGCTAATTTTTCTATTTTCTGTAGAGACAGCGTTTCACCATGTTGGCCATGCTGGTGTCAAACTCGTGACTTCAAGTGATCCACCTGCCTCGGCCTCCCAAAGCGCTGGTATTACAGGTGTGAGCCAATGTGCCTGGCCAAGGGCTTTCATTCTTCATGGACTGCTCCATAGCCTCAGAGACAGTCAGACTGGTTTCTTCAACCAGAGCGGAGCAGACAGGCAATTTCTCCATCCACCAGGCCAAATATTAGACCAACTCTTCAATGTACAGAGAACATCACATTTCTTATATGGTAGAATACCTGTTGGTCTAAAATATAAATAAATAGTATTGTAGCCAGCCACAGTGGCTCATGCCTATAATTTCAGAGCTTTGTGGGGCTGAGGCAGGAGGTTCACTTGAGGTCAAGAGTTTGAGACCAGCCTGGGCAACATAGCAAAACCGCCCGCCCCTCACCGCCACCTGCCATCTCTACAAAAATTAAAATAATTAGCTGGGCATGGTATTGTGGGCCTCTAGTCCCAACTACTTGGGAAGCTGATGTGGGTGGATTGCTTGAGCCCAGGAATTTGAGGCTGCAGTGGGCTGTGACTGCATCACTGTACTCCAGCTAGACCTTCTCTCAAAAAAAAAAAAAAAAGTGTTGCAACTGACATTACTTTATCATTTGAAAAGAAGGACAGACAAGAAAGGTATTTGGTATTTACCAAGCAATTACCCAGAATCCTCATCCCATCCTACACCCACCCTTCCCCTAAAAATATATGTATATGTTTGTATAACATAAAAAATACATCTATTTGGCTCTGGAACCAGATTGCTTGGGTTCAATTACCTGATCTAGCATTTGCTCCTGATGACTCAGTGCAGACAAGCTCTGTAACTCAGTTTCCCCAGCTGTAAAATGGGGAATGGCGCCTTTACTGGGCTGTCATGAGGGTAAAGGAGGTAACATATATTTATAAAGCATTCAGAACAATTCATGATACATAGTAAGCTCTATATATTTGAGCTTATTATTACTGTCAGTACGATTATCATCATCGTGCTGTTTCCAATGGGTACGCTTTCTACATTCTCTTTCTTAAAGACCTTTAAATCCTTGGTATTCTCTCCACCACCACAGAGAGCAGTGTCCTTGTAGTTTAAATTTTCAAAGACTTCATGGATCCAATAAGCATGACATTAACTAAGGGACAGTTTTCTTTCAGTGGCTTGGAATCTAAAAAGGCTTTTTTATTGTTATTATTGGCCAGGCTGGTCTCGAACTCCTGACTTCAAGTGATCCCCCCACCTCACCCTCCCAAAGTGTGCTGAGATTACAGGCATGAGCCACCACGCCCGGCCCTCATTCTCTTCTTTTATAAGGACACCAGTCATTGTATCTGCCCCCTCACCAGCAGCCCCCAATCCAGGATGACTCATTGTCACTTGATTACATCTAGAAAGACCCTATTTCCAAATAAGGTCACATTCCTGGGTACTGAGGATTAAGATTTCAAATTTTTTCCCTGACTCAATTTTTTTTTTGAGTCAGGGCCTCACCCTGTCACCCAGGCTGGAGTACAGTTATGTGATTATAGCTCACTGCAGCCTCAAACTCCTGGGCTCAAGGGATCCCCTGACCTCAGCCTTCCAAGTGGCTGAGAATACAGGTGCACACCATCATGCCCAACTAATTTTTTTTTTTTTTTGTACAGGTTAGGTCTCACTCTGTTGACCAGGCTGGTCTGACCTCAATCGATTCTCTTGTCTTGGCCTCCCAAGGCAGTGGGATTACAGGCGTTATCCCATGCCTGACCCTCTTTCTACATCTCAATCATTGTATCATTAGCCTGAGCTGCCCATATTCCTTATTCTGCCCATCCCTGATCAATCTCCTCCTTTAACAGAACTTCCATCTCGATATCATGGGGCCTGCTGGGCACTGCAAACAGCCTAAGGAAAGTGGAAATTTTACTTCACCTGAAATTATATTACAAATTCCACATTGAACTTAATTTATATTTGAACTATAAAAATTTTCTGTAAGTTGAAACATGACCTATAAAGGTCTCTACACCCTGAAGCAACGTTTTAGAAAGAAATCAATTGGTCCTTTTCTGCAGAAACCATTAACCATAGGAGAGATAAAGGAAAAACTTCAATGCACTGATTGAACTTCCATGCCCATAGCTTAACTTCTAAAAGGTAACCATTCCATACTGTTAAACTGCCTTAGGTTGTCATTACTGTTCTTAAAGAGACCCTCAAAGCCAGCAGTTGAATCTTGACTGTAGCACTTGCACGTACACGCACACTCTTGCAACTGAAACCACTCAGATTGTCCTAATGCTGCTCCCCATAGCAACACCACCTGGAATTTTACATTTGTTTTTAAGCATCAGTCGTAATCTTCACTTGCACCCAAACACACCGCACCTGTGAGAGCCACGTGACATTAAAAAAATCCCTTCAGTGAGGCCGGGCGTGGTGGCTCAAGCCTGTAATCCCAGCCCTTTGGGAGGCCAAGGCAGGTGGATCATGATGTCAAGAGATTGAGACCATCCTGGCCAACGTGGTAAAACCCTGTCTCTACTAAAAATACAAAAATTAGCTGGGCCTGGTGACGCGTGCCTGTAGTCCCAGCTACTCGAGAGGCTGAGGCAGGAGGATCCCTTGAGCCCGGGAGGCAGAGGTTGCCGTGAGCTGAGATTGCGCCACTGCACTCCAGCCTGGCGACAGAGGGATACTGTCTGAAACAAAAAAATCCCTTCAGTGCCTTGATCCTTCCAGATTCAGATCCAAGAGAGATGACATTTGTCCCTCACCAGACACTGCACACCAAGATAAAGATTTCTTCTGGCCAGGCGCGGTGGGTCACGCCTGTAATCCCAGCACTTTGGGAGGCAGAGGTGGGTGGATCACCTGAGGTCAGGAATTTGAGACCAGCCTGGCCAAGGTGTTCAAACCCTGTCTCTACTAAAAATACAAAAGTGGCCCGGCAGGGTGGCTCACGCCTGTAATCCCAGCTCCTCGGGAGGCTGAGGCAGGAGAATCGCTTGAACCTGGGAGGTGGAGGTTGCAGTGAGCCGAGATCGCGCCATTGCACTCCAGCCTGGGCAACTAGAGAGCAAAACTCCGTCTCCAGAAAAAAAGAAAAAAAGATTTCTTCTGTGTGCATGGCTCAGCTCTGTGGTCCACTAGCGTCCTTCCTCAATCTGCTTCCAATCTGTGGACTCAGGAAAGACTGAACCAACCTAGATTTATTAATATTTTAGTATAACATAATACAGTGTTACTTACTATGGCATTGACCGTATATGCCCTTTTGCTCCTTGGAGGAAAGACAATAGCTATTATGTGAGTTAATAAAATAAGCCCAGGATTTATCAGTATAACTAACCTGTTCCCGTTGGTTTTTCTTGTCTCCTTCAGGCAGAGAGCTGATCAAAACAGCAAAAGCAAAGCAGTGCCCCTGGCCCAGTTCTGAAGCCAACCTTCCTTAATCACCCAGACCCATCCCTGGTTAGGACTTGCTGTGGATTCTCAGGTGACTCCATCTCAGGATACAGGGACTGAGAAGGTGTATGCAACATCTCAGACCCAGAAACCGTTGATTCTGTCTAAAAACACAGCAATAACCACATCCCATCCTCTTGATTTAAATGAAAGTGTTTGGAGGAATAAAAGATGAACCTTTTTTTTTCTTTGTCAGATCTTGCGCTCATTTGGTTCTGGTGGGGAACAACAGCTATAAGAGAACAAGTGTATTCAATTAGAATTAATTCCCCTCTCTTATTCTCATAGCTGAGCAGGGCTCAAGTGCCTCTCATCTGAAAGAGGTAATAAGATTTTATCTGTCTCCTCATCTACCTTTTGCAAGTATACTTAACAAATTAGCTCTCGGGACTCTTCCAAATGGAGTTTGATGAGGAATTTGCTAAGGTAAACGTTTTAGACTTTGAACACAGTTCAGATTTCAGGGGCAGTACTGAAATCTAAGCTGTGTTGCTAACTGCCCTGCCTTTCAACTCAAGACACAATAACTTTGAACTAAAATAATTATATTTTTGTTGTTTTCCACTCTGTCCCCACGTCTATATCACCACCACCCCCAATCCCACCCCGCAGGAGTTAACTCCTCCTTCCTGTCCCTGCAAGATCAAAACTCCTCCTGCAAGCCCCGCTAGCTCTGTCTGCTCACCTTCGTGGTAGATATCGCTATCGTACTTTTATCCTCATTTGTGTGATAAGTACTTCAATGTCCACTTCTTCCACGAGCACCTGAGCCCCTGAAGGGCCTGGACCACACCTAGTTTTTCTCACCGTTACATCTCCCTTGTCAGGCACATGGTAGGCGCTTAAAAAGTATTTGATGAACGAATGGCTTGTTTGGTGACAGTCCAAAGGCTGGGGGACAGAGGGAAAGCTCCCTCCTTTCGGGCCCCAGACGGGTGGCGCTGATGGAGAGGAGGCTAGGATAAGGCCTCCAGGACCGAAGCATGCACCCGTAAGGCCCCTGCTGAAAAGACCTTCCTGAAGGCGGAGGAACTGCGAGAGTGCCTACGTTAGCCCAAGGCCTGACCCGACGATCCCAGGGACAGTCGCCCTAACTGGCCCCGCCTCCCGGGCCCCAAACCTGGACTCGGCCCCGCACGAAGCTCCGGATCCTGGGGCCCGCCCCTGGCCCCGCGTCGGAAGACCATGGGCTCGCTCTTGGGCCTGCCTCAAACCCTCCGCAGGTAACGCCTCCCGAACTTGAGCCACATTCCGATCCCCTCCTCAAACCCCTCCCCGTTTCCCACACCCTGGACCCCTCGCTCCGTCTCGGCCCCGCCCCAAGCCCAGCTAGGTCTCGGCCCCTGAGCCCAGCCCCAACCGGCCTCCCAGTCCCTGGGTCCCTCCCAACACCGGCCCCTCCCTAAGCTCCGCCTCCCAGGGCCCGCCTCCTGAGCGCAGCCCAGCCCGGACTCGGCCCCGCCTCCCGGGCCCTGGGCCCCTCCCCAAGTGGGCCCGTCCTAAGCTTCGCCTCCCAGAGTCCGCGCACCGCCTGGCCATGTGCTACGACATAGTCAACGCCCCGCCCCTGCCCCGCCTCCTGAGCCCTTCTCTGGGCCTGGCCTTAGCCCCGCCCTAAGACCTGTCTCCTGGGCTCTGCTCTGGGTCCCGCCTCCTGAATCCAATGGCGTTTATCCGCGCCCTAATGCCCGCCTCCAGGACTCTTATCCTGCCCCCACGCAAGGCATCGCCTCCAGGACGCCACCAACCTGGACGCTTCCGAAGCCCAGCTTCCAGGATCGCCCTATCCTGGCCCTGCCCCAGGAACCGCCAACCTGGACTCTACCCAGGACCTGCCCCGATGTCGCTTATCTTGGCCCTACCCCAGGCCCCGCCCTCCTAACGCTCATCTTGGCCCCGCCCTAGAGTCCGCCCCCAGGACGCACCTCCTGACCCTATCCCCAGGCCCCGCCCCCTCTCTGCCCCCGCGCACTGCCCTCGGCCCGCCCCCTCTTCAGTCCAGGCCCGGCTTCCTCCAGGTCTCCCGGCAACGGCTGCGGCCTCGCCCACGTTATGGCGCCCGAGGAGAACGCGGGGACCGAACTCTTGCTGCAGGGTTTTGAGCGCCGCTTCCTGGCGGTGCGCACACTGCGCTCCTTCCCCTGGCAGGTGGGCGGCGGGGCGAGCGGAGAGGCCCGCGGGGGTCGCGGGAGTCCAGGGGCAGACGGGATGGGTCTCCGTGCTGAAACCCCCGGCGCTCCGGCCACGTGAGTTCCTGGGCTCTCCTCGGTCAGGGCCGCGAGACCCGGTCCCCGTCCCTGGGGCCTGGCCAGAGTCGCTCGCACCCCTTCTGCCCCGCGAGCTGGCGGCGGAAGCTGGGGGCGTCTCCACCGCCTTAGGGGGTAGACGCGCGCTCGGTGTGGGGTACGGTTCACGATCATTTTCACGACTTTTTAAAGGCAGTAATCGTTCTGGTCACTGGGACACAGCTGCACTCGCCCATTCTAAAAAGTCAGCGCCCTCAGGCCCGCGGGTAACCACCTCCTCCTGAGCGTGGTGACCAGGTCACAGGCTGTCCCTCGTGCCTCAGTGTTCTCATCTGTATGTCGAGCACTGCACAGAATCGGCTCATGCGCTGAGGCTTTCACGCCTGTGATGGAAGAGACAGAGAAGGGGGTGGCCTCTCCTCTCCCTGGGGACCTGCCATTCTCAGCACAGGCACATGGCAGGCAGCAGCCTCCCTTCTGCCAGCAGAGGGGCTTAATGCACCCCGTTCCATTTGTAATTCATGTGCATTGAGCTCACTGGATGAGTCAGTTGGGATATATATTCCTCCCTGGGTCTGCCCCATTTTATGGGGTGTTGCTTAATCATTTGCATTATTCCATTGACATAAAATATTTAGCACTCAGAGATCATTTCTGGTCAGGAGAAATGTGTGCATTTTTAACCCAAAATAGAAACCTTCATAAAAGCATCATAGGTCTCCATTCAATATTGACTATAATTGTTCACATGCCCACACTGAATGCTAACTTGGGCTCACCCTCAACACCCACCAGGTGGGTACTATTATTATCACTCACATTTGACCAGAGGGATTGTTTGATTAGGGTGAAGTAGTTGAGAGTTCAGACCCAGGAGACAGCCTGCCTGCTTCGAATCCTGGCCCAACCCCTGGCCCTGTGTGACCTTGGGCAAGTGACTGTATCTCTCTGTGCTATTGTTTTCTTATTAATAAAATGGGGGATATAATGATACCTACCTCTTAGGGTTGTTCTCAGCATTGAGTACAAATGCCTGCGGATCAGTGCCTGGCTCATGGTAAATGCGTGTCGGTGTTAGCTAGTGTTTTCTTCAGTCTCAAAATGTTTAATAAATGCCTTCCGTGAGCCAGGCACCATGGATCGGCAGTACCCATGATAGATGAGGCTCTGCTTGCATGGGAGAGCCAGAGAATAAATGAATAAACAAGAAAAGACCAGATGAGAGTGGCTTTAAAGCCAATAAAACAGGGAAATGGTGAATGGAGCAACTGGGGAGAAGTGTCACCAAAGTCAGGGAATCAGGGAAGCCTTCCCCAAAGAGGTGGCATTTGAACTGGGGCCTGAGTGGTGAAGCAGCCAGCCATGGGAAGGGTTTGGGGAACAAGATATGCAAAGGCCCTGTTGTGGAAATAAGCCAGCTGTGGTTGAGGAACAACAGCAAGGCAGCCAGTGTGGCTGGAGTGGAGTGAGCAGGGTGGGCCAGTGGTGAGGGAGAACAGGCCAGAGAGGGGGATTAGCAGCAGGCCTTGTAGGGCCTTTTATGGCATAGAAGGAGCTCTGAAGCAATGAAGTGCCTTGCCATGTGTCACATACCAGCCGAGACAGTCTGCCTAACTCGGGAGCCAAAGCTCACTGCTGGGCTTGAGGCCCCTGTAAGAGGACAATGTAACCCAGGCTGGTATGGGCACATTCTGCATTTCCACTTAAACTCAGATGGCAAGCCCATCAAACCTTGGTGCCATGGCTGCCCTGGTAATTCCTGGCTGACCAGTGTAACCAGGGAGCTGGCCCATGACCTGGGTGGCAGCTGAGTAGCCAGGACTAATGCGACCAAGAGTCAGCCTTCTTCCTGTGACTCATCCAGGTGCACCCTGCGACATCTGAAGGTCAGGCTTTCAGCCGCTGTGGCTTCCACTTCCAACTGGCTCCACGTCCCCAGGGAGGGATCACATAGAGCTTTGCCAACACATTCTATTGCGTGTTTAATGTTCCTGTGAATGGGCCCTTGAGATTTCTCTCTCTCCCATCCACACAGAGCTTAGAGGCAAAGTTAAGAGACTCATCAGATTCTGAGCTGCTGCGGGATATTTTGCAGAAGGTAAGAATCCCAGAGTCCCTGGGACTCATGATCCTGCCTCCTGAATCTCTCCGGAAGACCTGAGAGAAGCAGCACAGGTGTGCTTGTACCCTTTAAAAACAGCCCTCTTCAAAGAACAAAACCATTGAGTCAGCACTTCAGAAGGGTGTCAGCACCTCCGACAGCTCCTACGGTTTCGTTTTCTATGTAAGACTTAGAAAAGACATCAGAATATACAAAATTCTGCAAGAGGGGGGAAATCTAGGGAATGTTTTTTAAACCATCCACAGCAAAAACAGAGATGACAGGTGCAAAACAGCTTCTAGCATTTGGTAGATGCTCAGAGACTTTCTTTTTTGCATTCATGAGGCCTGTCCCGCCCACTCCTGTCTCTTCTAGACCTAAATGGGCCCTTGCTTTGCCCAGGGTGGGGTTTGGACTCAAGTGCATCTGCATGCAAGTGAGAGCCAGGATCACCACCTGGCCCAGCCACAGGCTGACCTTGGCATTGAGGGCCAAGTGCAGATCACCCTGCATCCTGGGTCTTCACCTTCAAAGGGCCATGAGCCCTTCTGAAAAGACAAAGCAATAGACTCCCTCCCAGAAAGAAGTGCACCAGAATACATTTTCCATACAAACTCAGGGGAGGCAGACATCCTCCACGCCCACCCACCCAGCCCATCCTAGGAGCCCCGGTGAAGAATTCCTGTGCTAGAGATGAACCAAGATTATCCACGTGGAAAAGATGCAGCACAGCAGGGAAGACTTTCGGGGCAATACAGTAGGTCAGGGCTTCGAGCATGGAGATACCTGAAGTTATCTCGCACCTTGCTCTGAGTTTCACCCTGAGCCTCACTCTCATAGGTGGTGAAGCATGAGATGTAGGGAGAGCTGCTTTAAAACCCAGCACAAGGCTGGTTGTACTGGCTCACACCTGTAATCCCAGGTCTTTGGGAGGCTGAGGTGGACGGATCACCTAAGGTCAGGAGTTCAAGACCAGCCTAGCCAACATGGCAAAAACCCATCTCTACTAAAAATAAAAAAAAATTAGCTGGGTGTGGTGGTGCACGCCTATAGTCCCAGCTACTCGGGAGGCTGAGGCAGGAGAATCGCTTGAACCCAGGAGGTGGAGGCTGCAGTGAGCCAAGATCGGGCCACTGCACTCCAGCCTGGGCAACAGAGCGAGACTCTGGGTCAGAACAAATGAAAAACCAGCACCAGCATGAAGAGCCTGTGTATTGCCTGGGGTACTTTGCTGCCCTTGGGCAGAATCTGCATCCCTCCCAGCCAGCAGGCGCTGCGGACGGTCTCCTCCCTCTCCCTCCAGGCTCCTGTTTTCCCGCCGTCCCCACTCCTGCTGCACCAGTCCCTCTGCCCTCCGTTCCAAGTGCCAGCCCGTGGCCACCTCAGAGCTTGCACAGGCTGTTCCCACTGCCTGGAACTTGCTCATCCTGCACTTGGCTTCTCTCAGCTTTAGTTGGAGTCACCCTGAGCTTCCCCTCCCCTCCATCCTGTCCCCAGGGACACACGCTCCCAGAGAGCAGTTGCTGAGTGGGCCTTCCCGCCTCTTCCATAAAGCCAGATAGTTGGCGACTGACCTTACTGCAAACCCTGGTTCACACTGGCTCCCCTGGGAGGGAGGTGGTTTGGGCCCACATGCCCTGTGTTCCTGCTCAGAATGGGCATTAGAAATGCTGCCATAGCCTGTGCCACTGCAGTGGAAGCATTTTTAGGAAACGGCTTATATCTTAAGACAAACTTCAGATGCATGGGGCCAGAACGCTGTGTCCATCTGCATCTTTGCTGAGGGATCGGGTAGCCTGGAGTTTGCCCTCTGCTGTGTTGGCTTGAAGCTCATAGGAGACTTAAGACGGGCTCTCAAGCAACCAACGTTCTGTCCTTTGCCGTAGACTGTGAGGCATCCTGTGTGTGTGAAGCACCCGCCGTCAGTCAAGTATGCCTGGTGCTTTCTCTCAGAACTCATCAAAAAGGTCAGTTATAGGCAGTGTCCGCCCAGTAGCTGGACAGCATAGCCACCGGCGTGCTGCACACTCCGTCCTTCCCAGGCCCTGGGCCTGCTTTGCAAACCCCAGCATGGCAGGGCCCTCCCCAGGCAACTGGCTGCAGCTGAGTGTGACCCATGGGAGACAGTGCAGGGTGGGAATAAGGGGAGGCCAGCATCTCTCCCTGAGTCTGCCCTCTGGGGTTTCCACAGCAGCTGCTTCTCTGGGGCCTCAGCTCCTAGCATATGGATTCTCATTCCTACCAGGCTGGACCAGCCCACAGCACTGGAACCATCACCCACACCCTCTGTCCTGCCCACCAAAGGGTTTGGAGTTTCCTGCTCTTGTCCGTCTCTGGGTTGCCCCACGGACCCCTGTTGGAAGTTTTAGCTCTTGCCATACCTTTGGAACTAGTTCCTCTGGTGAATTCTCTGCATTGATCCTGCTGGAATGAGCTCTTTCCTGACTGATATAGGATGGATTTTATTTTTTACTTATTTATTTATTTATTTATTTATTTATTTATTTATTTATATATTTTTTTTGAGACAGAGTCTCACTATGTTGCCCAGGCTGGATTACTGTGGCACAATCTCGGCTCACTGAAACCTCTGCCTCCTGGGTTCAAGCAGTTCTCGTGCCTAGCCTGCTAAGAAGCTGGGACTACAGGCACATGCCACCATGTCTGGTTAGTTTTTGTATTTTTAGTAGAGACAGAGTTTCACCATGTTGGCCAGGCTCATCTCGAACTCCTGACCTCAGGTGATCCGTCTGCCTCGGCCTCCCAAAGTGCTGGGATTACAGGCATGAGCCACCGCACCTGGCCTAGGATGGATTTTAAAGATGGGCCCGAACATGCAGGGTTTGACATGAGGATGTCGAGAGGCCATTCCTTAGTAGGCAGTAGCAGACCTGCTGAGTGAAAGGGCCACACTTTTAACAAATAAACAATCCCCTGCTTCTCCAATACCTGCTTTCTCCCTAGTTCTCCCCAAAAGGGTGCATCTCTGGTCACCAGCAGGTCTGCCCTGTGCCACCACGAGAGGGCAGCAGTCACCCAGTGTACCCTGCTGCTGCCCTGTGAATCCTAGGACTGGGCCAGCTGTGGAGAAGCAGCCTGCTGACAGCCACAGCCTGCAGCATGGGCCGCCCTCACAGTTCTGCCTGGGCTCACTTAAAAGCACCTTTTGTTTTCCTCCTCTCTGTGTTTGATCCAAACACAGAGCTCTCTGTCATGGTCATGTGGCAGCTCTCACGGAATCCTTGTCTCCTGCCCTAGACTACACCTAACCCTACCCTCTCAACACCTCTTGTTGAAGGCCCTCCCATCCAGGTTTCCCTACCAAGTGGAATAATTTTTTTTTTAGAGACAAGATCTCTGTTGCCCAGGCTGTCCTCGAACTCCTGGGCTCAAGCAGTCCTCCCACGTCAGCCTTTAGAGTAGCTGGAACTATTCGACACACACCACCACGCCCAACGAAGTGAGTATTTTATATACCAGCTGGCCGGTATTACACCATTCCATCCCAAATCTCCCCTCCAAACTTGGTGAAAATCATCTGGCCATTTTTACAGATTAGAACGAAAGCAAACAAGCTCTCACTCTGTCTGCCCCCAGCACGAGGCTGTCCACACGGAGCCTTTGGACAAACTGTACGAGGTGCTCGCGGAGACTCTGATGGCCAAGGAGTCCACCCAGGGCCACCGGAGCTATTTGCTGGTATGAGAAAGGCACCCTCCTCCCCCTCACAGCCCAGATACCCTTCCTGCACAGACAAAGTGAAAACGTGGGTGTGGGTTCAAATCCTGACTCACCCATTCTGCAGTCTTAGACATGAGGTCCATTAACCTTCTTTAGCCTCAGTTTCCCTGTCTGTAAATCAAGCACTTCAACAACAACAGCATGTCTCGTGGGGTTGTTGGGCATTTGTCCAATAGGTGACACACACTACCTGCTTCACAAGGACCTGGTGCCCAGTCCTCAAAGAATACTTGACAGGGCTGGACATGGTCTCTCATGCCTGTAATCCCAGCACTTTGGGAGGCCAAGGCGGGTGGATCTGAGGTCAGGAGTTCGAGACCAGCCTGGCCAATATGGTGAAACCCTGTCTCTACTAAAAATACAAAAATTAGGCCAGGCGTGGTGGCTCATGTCTGTAATCCCAGCACATTGGGAGGCTGAGGCAAGGGGATCACCTGAGGTCAGGAGTTTGAGACCAGCTTGGCCAACATGGTGAAAATCCATCTTTACTAAAAATACAAAAATTAACGGGGTGTGGTAGTGGGCGCCTGTAATCCCAGTTACTCGGGAGGCTGAGGCAGGAGAATCTCTTGAACCCGGGAGGTGGAGGTTGTAGTGAGCCGAGATCGTGCTATTGCACTCCGGCCTCGGCAACGAGAGTGAATCTGTGTCTCAAAAAAAAGTACAAAAATTAGCTAGACATGGTGGCACACGCCTGTAGTCACAGCTACCTGGGCAGGTGAGGCAGGAGAATTGCTTGAACCCAGGAGGCAGATGTTGCAGTAAGCCAAGATCGTGCCACTGACTCCAGCCTGGGTGACAGAGCTCAAAAAAAAAAAAATGAGATAAAACATAGATACAGAAAACCACAAAGGAAAAACATAGCATATTGAATCATCACAAGGCAGCCACCTCTTCATAGCCACACCTGGCCCCTGGCCACCACTGACCTGTGCTCCATCGCCAGAATTCCGTTGTCTCAGGAATGTTCAATAGATGGAATCCTGTGTGGCCTGAGATGAGTGTCTTTCATGCCGCGTGACACCCTTGAGGCCCGTGCAACTGTTGGTATGTCAACAGTTAGCTGCTTCTCATTGCTGAGTGGCGATTGGTCCTGTCATGGTTTATTCAGCCATGTGGTGGATGGCTACTTGTCTTCTAAGCCACTTGCCTTCTGATCGCTGGACTGACTCTCTCGCCCTCTCTTGGTGCAGTCCTCAGGAGGCTCAGTCACACTCTCCAAGAGCACAGCCATCATCTCCCACGGTACCACAGGCCTGGTCACATGGGATGCCGCCCTCTACCTTGCAGAATGGGCCATCGAGAACCCGGCAGCCTTCATTAACAGGTGACCTTGGGGCACAGGGCAGGGCACCGAGGCAGGCTTACCCTGGTGCAGTCGAAAACACGGTCCCCTTTCCTCCCGCCAGGACTGTCCTAGAGCTTGGCAGTGGTGCCGGCCTCACAGGCCTTGCCATCTGCAAGATGTGCCGCCCCCGGGCATACATCTTCAGCGACCCTCACAGCCGGATCCTCGAGCAGCTCCGAGGGAATGTCCTTCTCAATGGCCTCTCATTAGAGGCAGACATCACTGGCAACTTAGACAGCCCCAGGGTGACAGTGGCCCAGCTGGACTGGGACGTAGCAATGGTCCATCAGCTCTCTGCCTTCCAGCCAGATGTTGTCATTGCAGCAGGTAATGCCCAGCCCCGGGCATCCTGTGCAGGCGGTGTCCTTGCAGCTCTACCCAGCTCTTGGCTCTGGGAAAAGGGAACAATGGACACTGTCGGGCATGGACGTGATGGGGCTTCCAGAAGAGTTACTCTGGGCCTCCAGGGTGACATCAAAGGACAGGGGTGCCTCTTAAGGTGACCTTCAAGCCACAGCCCTGTTGTTGGAGACAGGCATACTCCCGTTACAGTCGTCACCACATGGCTCTGTCCCAGAGCCATGCCCTGTGTCCTTCAGAGACCGCAGGAGGAAAACAACCACTTCTGGTACGAGGTCAGGGCCCTTGAGAGAAGGTGCTGTTTGGCTGGGCCACCGAAAACCCCTCACCCCTGTGAGCACACTCAGTCCCCTCTCTGGTGGAACAGAACTCTGCCTGTAGTCCTGGGTCCCAGCCCTGAAACCCACAGGTCCAGCGGTGGCCAGGGACACAGGCCCACCCCTGCAAGCCAGCAGACCAATCGGCAGACACCTGAAACACGAAGTTCACGGCAGGGTCAGGCTTTCTGTCATTGAAAGCCCTCTAGACAGGCCGAGAACCAGAGCTGGTTTTTTAAGGACACCAGTGAGTCTGGAGATTTTTTTCTTTTGCTTCGGTCTTTTGCAGCTTTCTCTAATAAGGGTTCTCCTTTTTCACCCAAATAATTGCCTTTCCATCTAATGGCCCAAATGGTCAAATGGCATCTAATAGTCTCATATGACCGCTGCCTCTCTGGCCTCGCCCTGCTGCTGAGGTCAGCATGAACTGGAACTTTCCACTTGTCCCTTTCAGTAACCTGAAACTTTCACCGTAGACGTGCTGTATTGCCCAGAAGCCATCGTGTCGCTGGTCGGGGTCCTGCAGAGGCTGGCTGCCTGCCGGGAGCACAAGCGGGCTCCTGAGGTCTACGTGGCCTTTACCGTCCGCAACCCAGAGACATGCCAGCTGTTCACCACCGAGCTAGGTGAACCCCCACGCCCACCCGGGCCTACATGGTGCCCGAGCTGTCCCTGCAGGACTCCAGTGGAAGTGAAAGAACTGGGCGCTGGGGAAAAGCTAGGATGCTCCACACTCCCACACTATGCGGGGAACTCGGGCAGAGGCCGGTGAGCAGGGTGGGCTCGGGGCGTGGGGGGCTTGAGGCAGGAGGAGGACACCTCAGCACAGGGAGGGAGGGTCTGAGCCCAGCAGCCCTACTATGTGCTTCAGAGCAGGGTTCCCTAAGCCCTTGGGCCTCGGTTTCCTCATCTATAAAATGGAGGTGGCGAGAGCGGCAGTCGGGGTCAGGGCTGGACACAGCTGTGGACTGCAGGACGCTGGAGCACAGGCTGTACAGGCGGATCCACCACGCCACTGTCCTGAGCACCCAGTTGATGGAAGACGAGCAGGGTGACTATAGAGAAGGGAAACTGGCCCCGTAGTGGGCCAGCCACTGTCCTCAGACCTGACATTTGTCAACCCCCAGCACCTGTGAGGGTGTGCTGTCATTGTCCCATCTCACCGACAAAGACACTAGGACACACAGAGGCCAAGTGACCCCCGAGCTCCCGCAGACTGCAGCCCGGCCACCTGGCTCTCGTGCCTCCACACTACACCCAAGCCCCCCATTGCCACCAGCCTCTGCCCCAGCTCCCCCTGAGCACAGCCCCTCCTGGCAGCCATGTGCACAGATGTACCCGCAGCAGCCTCTGCCTGTACACAGAGACATGGATGACCCAGTGCCTGTCCACGTGGGGCAGCCCATTAACTACAGAGTCAACAAACAAGCCAGCACATGAAGGCATACTGGGTTCCATGACAGAGTCCCACACAACCTCGCACAGGAGGCTGGCCGGGCGCGGGGCTCAGGCCTGT
This sequence comes from Homo sapiens, assembly GCF_000001405.40. NCBI lineage: Eukaryota > Metazoa > Chordata > Mammalia > Primates > Hominidae > Homo > Homo sapiens. The sequence continues at coordinate 12,426,766 of NC_000008.11, read as the reverse complement.
CATCCCAGCACTTTAGGAAGCTAAAGCAGGAGGACTACTTGACCCCAAGTGTTCAAGACCAACTTGGGCCACATAGTGGGACCCCATCTTCACAAAACATACAGAAACTAGCCAGATGTGGTTGCACACACCTGTAGTCCCAGCTACTCGGGAGGCTGAGGTGGGAGGATGGCTTCAGCCCATGAGGTGGAGGCTGCAGTGAGCCCTGATCTCACCACTGCACTCCAGCGTGGGTAACAGAGCAAGACCCTGTCTCAAAAAAGCAAAAAAGCAAAAAAAAAAAAAAAAAAAAAAAAAAGGAAGTCTTTCTTCAGATACTTACGTGAAAAAAAACCTGCAATATCTTTTAAGTGAAAAAAACAGTGCCAAGCAGCACACATAGTATAAGCCTCAACCAACCTTTTTTTTTTTTTGAGACAGAGTCTGGCTGTGCCCGGCCACTTTCTAAGCTTTGTGAAGAGTGAGTTGACTGAGCAGCCAGGGAGATGTGGGTTCAGATCTCTGCTTCTGTCCTGCTGTGCCAAGTGCTGGGGCAGACGCAGGCACAGAGTGGACAGCGGCATGGTGCCTGCTGCTAGCCATTTCTATGCAAAACCAGATTTCTGGTCCCATCCTGGAGGCGAATTCTAGGTATGTGGGTGGGCCTCCGAACCTGTGAACCAAGTAAACTGACTTAGACACCCCCCACCCCGCCAGGCCTGTCCTAGCAGCCCCACACAAAACGCTCATGTCCTGTCCCCAAACACCGCCATCCTCAAACACGTGCTTTGTTTCCAGGCCGGGATGGGATCAGATGGGAAGCGGAAGCTCATCATGACCAGAAACTGTTTCCCTATGGAGAGCACTTGGAGATGGCAATGCTGAACCTCACACTGTAGGACTCACACATGACTCCAAAGGGATTGTGAGAATCAAGTCACTCTCGTGGGAAGAATTTTTATATGGGAAAGTGGATAAAACTTTCATTGGACTGGAATGTTTGGAGATTATTAAACTCCAAATCAGGAATCAAAACTGCCCTCTAATAAGACATTAGCTGTCTAGGCGTGTGGGTGCCCCCTTTCTGCCAGCAGTTCTGGTTCTCAAGAAAATCATCATAAATCAGACATGAAAATTCTAGCTCCAAAAATAGCATTTTCTTTCTGCAAATAAAAACGTGTGTATCAAGGATGACGTTCCCCCAACGTGGACACACTCAGTTCCTCAGAAAGCCAAGCCCGCTGCAGCTGCCACATCCCTGGACACACTCGGTTCCTCACAAAGCCAAGCCCGCTGCAGCTGCCACATCCCTGGACACACTCGGTTCCTCACAAAGCCAAGCCCGCTGCAGCTGCCACATCCCTGGACACACTCGGTTCCTCACAAAGCCAAGCCCGCTGCAGCTGCCACATCCCAGGGCTTATGGTGCAGCAGGCGCTTTTTTCAAGACAGGAATGAAAGTGTTAGGAACACGGCAGAAAGGTGACACCTGGAGACCAAATGCAGGATGAGGAGTACTGCAGAGGTCACAGGGAAGTCACAGAACAGTAATACGCTAGCAGGGGCATGGGGCATGAAGAACAGAAGACAGGAAGCATTTCAGAGACTCCAAAGAAGAAATCAGGGCCAACCACAGCTTCCCGGGTCATTCACCAGGTGACACCACTGCCGTCATTTCAGCTTCTGGCCACTGGGAGGCGCTGCTCGAAAGGCTTTGCCCTGAGACCCCAAGAAGCTGCGGGAAGGACAGCAGGGGCCCTGGGGTTTTAGCCTCTGGCCCAGGAGTTATGTGTCCATAACCAAAGGGAGCACAGTCTGCACCCAGCTCTCATCCCATCAGAGCTGCTGAGACTCTTGCAGGTTCTTCCAGAACTGGTTTAGCTTGCCTGCAGGATCAGAAAAGTTTGAGAAAAGCATCTGCAAAATGCTAAAGAGCAGAGCTTAACTCATTGCCTGTCCCCACCCCATCCCAGGTCACCACTTGGCTGACCCCAGGTCCCCGACCCAACAACAACCCCTCCCAAGTCCCTAACTCCCTCACTTGGACTTGAGACCCTTCACAACCCAGCAGCGCTCCACCTCCAACTTGACATCATGCTTTCTGGAAACTTCCCCGTATGTCCCACTTTCCCACACTTGGTGCCCTGGAGCACCTTCCGGCCTCTACATGCTGTACGTTCCCCTGTGAGCACCCTCCTCTCGGCCTCTGGCCAACACAGTCCCACCCATCTGTGGGTAACAAGGGGGTGTGGGTGTTCTTTTCAGCCTTGCTAAACTGTCTGAATCAAGGATCACAAACTACAGCCTGCAGGCCAAATCCAGCCCACAGCCTGTGTTTGTAAATAAAGCTTTGTTGGAACAAAGCCACACCCCTTAATCTACAGATGATCTGTGGCTACTTTCACACCACAACAGAGTACCATGGTTCTGACAGAGACTGGGGTACCCTGTCTAAATGACTTCTGACCTGGACATTTACTGAAAATCCTCCCAATCATTCTGTTGACAAGAATGATGTATTACTTTTTGCAATAAGAAACAAGTAACCTTTGCAGAATTCCACCCATCTTTCAAGGCTGGTCCCAGAAGTTCCCTTTGCCCACGCACCTACCTGATCCGATCACTTCCTAAACTGCAGCCCGGCCCACCCGGCTCCAGCATCATTTATGGAGTGTCAGCTCCATAAATCCAGAGGGCAGGTGGGGTTGTGTCCTAACTTTCCCGAGCCTACTGTACCGAAATGGGACAGCAGAGTAGGAGGCCTCTGTGACTTCTGCTCCCCCACTAGCTTTTCCACCAGACCCCCCATGGTCCCACCCTGGCTGTGGGAAGCAGGGATCAGGGAGCGTGGCTCAATGCCAGTCTCCAGAACCCTGCCCACCCTGGCGTGGTGGCAGACATGGCTACCTGCAGCTGAGCTGCCAGTTCCTCTGACTCCTCAAAGATCAGGCCATTTTCTACATGTTTCACCAGCTCATGTAAACTGCAGACAGAACCAAGGGAGCCTGAGAGCTGCCTGGGGAAGACACCAGACTCCTGGGGTGCCCAGCTGGGATCCCACCCACCCCACGCTCAAGCCAGGCTGGGGTTTGGAACAGGGGGTGTGGTTTCTGGGAGCTGGTTCTTAGATTTGGCATCTGAAGGGTATAAAGGCCTGGGGGGGTGCACATCAAAATGACCAAACCGATTTGAGGAGGGAGCCTTAAGGAAGGTTTGTACCTTCTGTGCTGGATGCTCTTCAAGTACTGAAGAATTACTTTTGCATGTTTTTCTTAATTCCATGGCCATGGAACAAGTAAAGGCAACCCCCTGGGGACTGGTTCAGCACATAAAAGATGACTTTTCTAGGACACCAGATTTGATCCCCACATTCCCTGAGCTCAGCTCACACGAGGGGCTCGCATCCCTGAATCCCATCCAGGAGCCGGCTGCTGAGCAGGGGCCAAGGGCTCAACTTGTGCTGGGGCTACTGCTTCTAGAATCTCCTCTAACGCCACCCTTCCAAACACCCGTCTATGCTGGGTGGAGTGAGGCCACAGCATGACACTCATTTAACTCATTCAAACCCACCATGTGAGCTTGGCCAAAAGGGACATGGTGGGAGAGAAAAACAAAGAAAACCATGTAAGCCTGCAGGCATTTCCCGCCAATTCTACTCTAGGAGCAAAAGCCCCGAGTGGAGTTCTAGTATTTAAGGTGCTTTATTTTTTTTTCATATTGGGTTGGTGCAAAAGTAATTTTCAGTTTTAATGGCAAAAACCGTGATTACTTTTGTACCAACCTAAATATAGCATGAGCTCTAAATGGAAGCACCTACTTCAGTGAGGCTCAGCCCAGCCACAGTAACCGCAGGGCTCCTCCTCATGGCCTCCAGTGTGTGCTGGACTGACCAAGGGGCAGGGCCTCACTTTGGGCAGCTCACTCTGCACTGCTTCCCCGTCAGCGGTGGATCTGTGAAGCTATCCCCAGAAAGATTCGGGTTCTGCTCCTACCACTTGAAGTTCACGGCACACGCAGGCAAACAGCACCTGAACATGTCCACCAACTTCATGGGCAGGTCCAGGCCACTGGAGGATGTGTCCAGAGAGACACCCAGGTCCACCAACCCTGCTAGGCAAGAGGGGTGGGGCAGAGTGCTGGTCTCTGCCCTGGGAACACAAATCCTCCCAGCACAGTGAGACAACATCCCCCGAGGGGAGTGAAAATTGGATAAGGCCCCCGACAGCCCCAAGCACAAGTGGCTTAAGCTGGCCAAGCAGCCACACGGCCTGGCTGGGACATCTGAAAATGTAAGTTGACACTTCTACGTAACCACAATTTGTTTTTTTGTTGTTGTTGTTTGTTTTGTTTTGAGACAGAGTCTCACTCTGTCACCCAGGCTGGAGTGCAGTGGCACAATCTCAGCTCCCTGCAACCTCCACCTCCCAGGTTCACCTCCCGCCTGTAATCCCAGCATTTTGGGAGGCCAAGGCGGGTGGATCACCTGAGGTCAGGAGTTCAAGACCAGCCTGGCCAACATGGTGAATCCCCATCTCTACTAAAAATAAATACAAAATTAGCGATGCTAATCCGTGGCATGTGCCTGTAATCCCAGCTACTCAGGCGGCTGAGGCAGGAGAATCGCTTGAACCTGGGAAGGCAGAGGTTGCGGTGAGCGAAGATCGCGCCATTGCACTCCAGCCTGGTCTACAAGAGCGAAACTCCGTCTCAAAATAATAATAATGATAATAATAATAATAATAATAAACCATAACACACCCACCACAAACCAGCTGTCAGTGTGAAAATAAAGCCAAATAGCTTAACATTTCTAAAGACTACCTGGGGCCAGGCATGATGGGTCACGCCTGGAATCCCAGCACTTAGGGAGGCCAAGGCGAGAGGATCACTTGAGGTCAGGAGTTCAAGACCAGCCTGGACAACATGGTGAAACCCTGTCTCTACTAAAAATACAAAAATAAGCCAGCTGTTGTGGTGGACTCCTGTAATCCTGTAATCTACTTGGGAGGCTGAGGTGGGTGAATCGCTTGAACCCAGGAGGCGGAGGTTGCATGAACTGAGATCGTGCACTCCAGCCTGGGCAACGGAGCAAGACTGTCTAAAACAAAGACTAGCTGGAGAATCCTGCCAGGAAAAGGCCCTCAGACTCCAACTGCTCTGCTCACTCGAAGCTGGAAGATGCAGCTCTAGAGACGTATCAGGACCAAGCCATGACTCCCCACTTGGAGAAATCAATGGGGAAAGAGACGGAGGCAAAGGAGAACCATCTCACTGGGAGAGGCGATGCTGTTTGACACATCGTCCCTGTTCCTCCCAAAGCCACTGCCCTCCCCCACCTGGGCAACAGTGGCCCCAAACCCAGGCCCAGCCCTCCTGGAGGAAGGAAGAGGATGCAATGGAGGGCGTGGCAGACTGAAAGGACGTGGCCTCCTCAAACCCCTTGGTAAAGGGCCTCTGGGGCGACCTGGCAGGGAGGGGCTGGCACACCAGGAAGTAGCCTCCTCCCGGGAGTTCAGCCAGAGCCCAGGTCCTGTCCCCAAGTGGCCTCCAGAGCCACCTTTTCAGAAAAAGTACATCATGCCCACCCCTGCTCCCCCTGCTTAAGGCCCCGCCTCCTCCCTGAGCCTCCTGCTGGCCTCTCACCTAGAAGCGGGGGTAGTCCTTGGCCCTGCAGTCAGGGGGTGCAGACCTGGATCTGCTGGAAATGCTTCTGGTGGATGAGGCGGCTGTAATACTCCCTCAGAGGCTTTTTGCCTTCACAGAGAAGAGCAGACACTGCCATGGACCCGTCTCTGTCCCTGCCACGTGGCCCCAGGCCCAAGACACTCCCCCTAGGAGGGATCCTTTCCCCAGAAGCTCCACCCCTCTGCAGCTCCAGTCAGGTCCCATCTGTGCCCTTCCAGAAGCAACCCAGGAGCCCCGAGACCTGCAGGGATGTGTGCACCCTGACCCCTGACGCCTAGTCCTGCACCTGCAGCCAGCTGGCCTCGGGCTGCAAACATGGCGGGGTAAGCACTGGCCTGGCACCCGACCGCCCACTGGGTGGACCCAGCCTTCTGTCTGTGTTGTGCGCAGGGGACACGAGGACTCCCCCTGCCCTGGCACAGCCCCCAGAGCACATGGCGCAGGTTCCAAGCTGCCCCTGCCTTGCCACAGCCCCCAGAGCACATGGTGCGGGTTCCAAGCCGCGCCTGCCTTGCCACAGCCTCCAGAGCACATGGCGCAGGTTCGAAACCACTCCTGGGAGCCTAGAGGCCAAAGGAGGGAGGAGAGCAGGACCAGCAGCTGGCCCAGACCCCGCCTCTTCCCACACCACTTCCGCTTTTCTCCCTCCTCACTGACTCACCTTGAAAGGGCTCAGCAGCCGTAACTGAGGGACAGGGGCTCTTCCGTTTGAAAAATTAAAAGAGGCTTGGTTAAGGCACCAATGACATGACCGGGCCCAATGGCTCATATCAATAATTCCAGCATATTGGGAGGCCAAGGCGGGTGGATCACCTGAGGTCAGGAGTTCAAGACCAGCCTGGCCAACATGGCAAAACCGTGTTTCTACTAAAAATACAAAAATAAGTTGGGTGTGGTGGGCACCTGTAGTCCCAGCCACTCGGGAGGTTGAGGCATGAGAATTGTTGAATGTGAGACGTCGAGGTTGCAGTGAGCTGAGATCACACCACTGCACCTCAGCCTGGGCACAGAGATTTTGTCTCAAAAAAAAAAAAAAAAAAAAAAAGACACCAACGAAGAAACAAGAAAAATAAAAGATGCTTGGAAACTACTGAAAAATTAGAAAGTTTGGTATCTACAGATTCACATCTGGGCTCCCTGCCCTGCTGTGAAACTCTCTGAGCCTCAGTTTCCCACATGTAAAGCAGTATAAGACTCTATGGCAGAGAACTGCAGTGAGGATTAAGGAGACAAGATCGTGGCAAGCACAGGGTAAAGGCGACGTACCCCTCCCTGGACTCCAATACCTGGAGTCGCAAGACGAGCTGAAAAAGGAGCCAGGCACTGCAGGACAAAGCGGTGTTGACTTTGTTCATCTGTGTTTCCCAGTGCGGTCCAATTGACGGTGGTTTCCAAGCGCCTCCTGGAGGAGAAAACACATGAGGGTGTGGTCAGGGTTCTCTGCTGACAGACCTACCGTGGGGAAGAAAGAGAAACTCTGAAGATGGATCATGGCCATGACTGCATGTCAAGGAGAATCTCCTTGAAGACACTGAGGCCTACGTCGAGGTAGAGTAAATATGGTCCAATTAAAAGGTGTCTATTTTACCACATTTTTTAAAACAAAACAAAACACAAAAACAAAAAAGATGGAAAAAAAGACAGGGGTACAGGCACCAGTGTTACATGTCTGACGGGGAACATCTATTCTTCAAAGCTTGCAGCTGTACACGTAGGTTTTAGAATGTCTGTCAGCAGTGGACATGATCTTAGAGTGGGCTGTGCAGATAGACCTTTCCGGGTCATGTAATTGGATTAAGTTAATTGCAATTAACTTACATGTAACTGATTAGGTTAGGGTACGTTCCACGTCAGGTGACCAGAGGCAGTATAAAAGGCAGCCTGGAAAGCAGAGGTCCCTCTCTGCCCCTTCCTCCGTCGTCCTGGATGCTGCATCGCTTCCAGCCGGGCTGCTGCAGCACCTGCCCATCTCAGCGCCAGCCGGGGAAAGAAAGTAGACGTGTAATTTCAGGTTAGTTTCACTGTACAGTTGTTTTTTTCACGCAGTCCCTGAGGGGTGGGTGGGAAGAGACAAAGGACGCCGAGAGAAACCGATCACACTGGGCCTTGCTGATGGGGTAGGATGTGTTCTCGTTACTAGTAATTCTTGGAACAGAAAACGAGAAAGCATTTCCGTCTCCACGTGTGGGAGAAGACCAAGATGGGAATGTGAAAAGAAATGTACTGCAGCATGCTGAATTGGTGGGTAAATGGAAAAAGGACTTTGGAAAAAAGGGTGGTTTGCCCTTCAGCGGTGTAAGACGTCGATACGATATGGCACTTATTCACCGTTTGTTTAGATGAATTCGTGTGGCACGTGTAAAATACCAGAAAAATAAATAAAGAGGGGCTGGAGCTAAAGCCAAAAAGATAGAACAGGAAAGACCATCACCTGCTAGTGTGGTAGAGAGGAAGATAACTTCTCTCTATGAATTTGTGTTTGGAAGTCGCCTAATGAAATGGCAAGAGTAGCGATTCAAGTTGTGACAGGAAGCATCCCTTATCCCAGATTTCAAACAGACCTGCCAAAGGGTGACAAATGCCATGCCCTGTGGCTTCGATCATTCTGTCCGTCAAGGGAGATAGAATCATCGTGTCTTCTACCGGAGTGAATCGTAATAGACCTAAGTCCAGTCTCCAGAATCAGTTGTTAGTTTGGAGTTGAAAGCTCAACTCCCCATACCTAGGCCACAGGCCCTGTGGCAGGCGAAGTTTACTCTTGGACTAGGTAATCATGGCAGAGGAACACACAATATCTGAGGATGCGCACAGCACATTGTGTTCCACAGATTTGACCGACTGGTGGTGAGGTCTCCTCATGACCACACCGGCAAGGAGTTAGCGGGGGGCTTCCTGTGGGTGTGTGAATATCCAACGTGCTTAACCATCCACATGTGTGTGTTTGTGTGTGTTTCAGGTGGCCCAACAGTCAACCCCTGAAAAAGGCGGTCACAAAACCCCCAGGAGACGAAGATGACGGCACGTCGTGACCCCAAACCTGGGGCAAAGAGACTGGTGAGAGCCCAGACCCTCCAGAAGCAGCGGAGGGCCCCAGTTGGGCCAAGGGCTCCCCCGCCCGATGAAGAAAATCCCAGGGTAAGTCTAGCCCTGGATCTCTTGGGTATCGGGGTGGGGGTGGGGACGGGGGGAGGGGCTGTCACACGGTCCTCAGAGACTGGGTTGGATTCCAAAGAGTTCTGTCACCACCACCCAGGTTGCTTTTCCCATCCAAGGTGGGCGTGGCTTGGGACCTCCTCCGCGGCCCGATAGGCCCCTTGAGAGACTCTTGGGGGCAACCTCCCTTTCTGTTTAGAGTCCTGTGTAGCCACGTTTGGCTGTGCTGTTGACATCGGGTTCACCATCGTGCCCCTTAGAACCTTGAGTCCTGCCTTTTAGAGTTCCTCTGTCACATGGGCTTTGGGAGGGAACATCGCATCCGAACTCTCCCAGCACTTAATGGCCCCCATGCTGGTGTCCCCTCTTTGGAATCCTTATTCAGCTCTGAATTCACAATCCGTCCCAATGTTGACGTGGGATCGCTGCCTGTGGCTTCAGCTCACTCACTGACATCACTTCCTTTCCACCCACAGCTCAAGTACAAAAACTGCAGGGCCCTTGGCCACACGGTCAGAAGTACCAGGTGCCCCATGAAGTGCTGGAAGGCAGCCCTGGTTCCACCGACCTTGGGGAAAAAGGAAGGGAAGGAAAACCTGAAACCATGGAAGCCCCAGGTTGAAGCCAACCCGGGGCCCTTGAACAAGGATAAGGGAGAGAAGGAAGAGAGACCAAGGTGAGCAGTGGGAGGGGTTTTCACCACTCTTAGGGTACTGCCTCCTAAGGACATGGTGTCTCTGCACCTGCACACCGTGTGCCTTTCCGTCTCCGGGCCAGGGAAGGAACGCTGCAGAGAAATAGGCCGGAGCTCCGTGTCCTCCGGGGTTCCACACCCAGGAGTTCCTTTGGCTCTGGGAGATTCAGGGACGGGGAGAGGCGGGGGTGCTTCGTGCAGATTCCCCACGACAGGGGGAAAAGCGATGGAATCCAAATCACAGTCCTTAGTTAGGAAGCCTAGAGGGCCACCTGGAGGATGGGAAGGTTGGCACGTGAGGGAAGGTGCAGAGGCGGAAAGGGCACCAGATGTCCATTTCTGTATCACAAAACACGGAATGGGACTGAGCCCCAGACAGGGTTCTCCCTGTCTCCTGGGGAAAACGAGGGGCCATGGCCTGACCTTTTTCTGTTCTGCAGGCAACAAGACCCGCAGAGAAAGGCTCTCCTCCACATATTTTCCGGGAAACCTCCAGAGAAGCTGCTGCCAAATCGAAAAGGATCCACGGAATCTTCTGTTTTTCTGAGGGTGAGTGTCACCCTGGGCCCCTGGTCTTTTTGTCCTCTAGGTCACCCTGGTTGATTTCCTTTCAGCTTCCCGTCTGCGGGAGGGAATCGGGGAACCCCTCTTTCTTGCCTTCTTGGGGTCAGGGACTTCACGATCCTTCCAGGTCAATTTGATTCCAGGCGAAGGCATCTGAAGATGCCGTATTTCCTGTTGCTTTCTTTCTGTCCAATTATGGCAAGCCTGCCAACAACATGTTCCTAGCGGCATGAGGAAATTTGTCCCTCAGAGGCCCCAAACATGGAGAAGGCTAAACTCTGGAACATGCATGTGTTCAGAGAAGACGTCCTGAGTACCCTTGAGCCACCAACCTGCCTTCGGAAGGGCATTAGTCTGTTCCACTTCATGGAAGGCTGAGTGGAGGCGCTTTGATCCAGTTAATGCCCAAGACGCGATCTTTTGAACAATGGTGTGCTTAGATCAGCTACACATAGCTCGAGAGCGCATCGTTCATGTGTCTTGTCCTGATCAGCACTCAGGTGGAGGGTCTGTCTCTACTTCCAAGGACCGCCTGTCGATACTGTACTAAGAATTTCATGGCGTGTGCACCTTGTCTTTGGATGTGCTTGATTTTCACGTTGGCTCCATGCTGAGGAACTTCTAACCTGTGTTGTTTCCTCTCTTTCAGGTTGCAAGCCGGCCAATGCCGGTCCACACAACAAGTAAGAGGCCGTGCGTGGACCCTGAACTCGCTGATCGCTCAGCTACCGAAATGTCTGGCAGAGGCTCCGTCTTGGCTTCACTGTCTCCCCTCAGAAAAGCCAGTCTGAGATCCTCCTCAAGTCTTGGACCAAAGGAAAGACAGACAGGTGCTGCGGCCGACATCCCTCAGCCTGCAGTCAGGCACCAGGGCCCCGAGCCTCTCCTCGTGGTGAAGCCGACACACAGCAGCCGTGAGGGTGGCTGCCGAGAAGTTCCCCAGGCTGCCTCCAAAACCCACGGCCTGCTCCAGGCCGTCAGACCCCAGGCACAAGACAAACGTCCTGCGGTGACCTGACAGCCCGGCCCACCAGCCGCCACACACAGCTTGGGCCTAGGCTCCAATCTCAGCTTCAGACCAGGAGCCAAGAGACCTGCCCAGGCTCCGATTCAGGGTTGCCTGAACTTCCCCAAGAAACCGAGACTGGGTCCCTTCCAGATCCCCGAAAGCGCCATCCAGGGAGGTGAGCTGGGGGCCCTGGAGAATCTCCAACCTCCGCCAGCAGCAACCGAACTTGGACCAAGTACGTCGCCCCAGATGGGCAGGAGGACACCCGCCCAGGTGCCCGGCGTCGACCGGCAGCCTCCGCACAGCAGACCTTGCCTGCCCACTGCCCAGGCCTGCACCATGTCCCATCACCCAGCGGCCAGCCATGATGGGGCCCAGCCTCTCAGAGTGCTCTTCCGGAGACTAGAAAACAGACGCTGGAGCTCCAGCCTCCTGGCGGCCCCCTCATTTCACTCTCCTGAGAAGCTGGGAGTCTTCCTCGCTCAGAGCCCTCATGTGTCAGAGAAGTCTGAGGCTCCCTGTGTTCGTGTCCCACCGAACGTCCTCTATGAAGACCTTCAGGTTTCCTCCTCCTCAGAGGACAGCGATTCTGACCTGCAGTGAGACTGCAGGTGGCAGGGGCTCCTTGGCCTCCAGCTCCCGTGACTTGGAGGGGACTGTGGGACTGAGGAGCGCAGAGCAGAGAGCAGACTCTGTGCGGTGACTCCGAAGCTCCCCGGCTGTGGCGCTTCTGTGGATGTGGGAGCCCAGGCCAGGCAGGGAGCAGATGCAGGGACTCTGCCTCATTGAATTCTGGTGAGGGACGTTGTAGTTCGCGTGGTTCTCCGGAAACGCGCCAGGAAAAGCTTCCGTGCCAGAGATTCGTTGCCTCAGAAACTGCGTGACGCGCAGGAGTCAGACTTCCGCTGGGACGTCAATAGGAAACTGGGGAATTACTGTGTATTTGCTCTCTAGATGACTGAATAAGGGAAAAGTTAGGGAACCCTGAGAGGTGCAGCCCTTCCGCTGTGCCCCGCCCTGAGAGCAGTGTTTCGGACGCTGGGAAGCGTGCTGTGCGAAGCGCTCTCGGGGTCTTTCCTCAGCCTCGAAAACTGGGCTCTGGAATGCCTTTGTAAACAGGTGTGTTGAATTTGTTTTGAAGTGAATAAAATTCTCAAAAAGATGATGTATTGTCTTTTGACTCTCATTCCGTGTTTGTGTGTAACTGATTTTCCAAGTGAAGGGGTGGCCGGCCCCTCCACACCTGTGGGTGTTTCTAGTCGGGTGGGATGAGAGACGGAGAAGAGAAATAAGACACAGAGACAAAGTATAGGGGAACAACAGTGGGTCCAGGGGACCGGCACTCAGCACACCAAGGACCTGCACCGGCCTCTGAGTTCCCTCAGTTTTTATTGATTATGATTTTCATTATTTCAGCAAAAAGGAATATACTAGGAGAGCAGGGTGATAATAAGGAGGTCAACAAAAAACATGTGAGCAAAAGAATCTATATCATAATTAAGTTCAAGGGAAGGTACTATGCCTGGACGTGCACGTAGGCCAGATTTATGTCTCTCTCCACCCAAACATCTCAGCGGAGTAAAGAATAACAAGGCAGCATTACTGCCAACATGTCTCGCCTCCCGCCACAGGGCAGCTTTTCTCCTAGCTCAGAGTTGAACAAATGTACGATCGGGTTTTACACCGAGACATTCAGTTCCCAGGGGCAAGCAGGAGACAGTGGCCTTCCTCCATGTCAACTGCAAGAGGCTTTCCTCTTTGACTAATACACCTCAGCACAGACGCTTTACGGGTGTCAGGCTGGGGGACAGTCAGGTCTTTCTCATCCCACGAGGCCATATTTCAGACTATCGCATGGGGAGAAACTTTGGACAATACCCTGCTTTCAAGGGCAGAGGTCCCTGCGGCTTTCCACGGTGCATTGTGTCCCTGGTTTATTGAGACTAGAGAATGGCAATGACTTTTACAAAGTATACTGCTTGTAAACATTTGGTTAACAAGGCACGTCCTGCACAGCCCTAGATCCCTTAAACCTTGATTTTATACAACATAGGTTTTTGTGTGCTCCAAGTTGGGTCAAAGCGGCTGGGGCAAAGTGGCTGGGGCAAAGCTACAAATGAACAACATCTCAGCAAAGCAATTGTTTAAAGTACAGGTCCTTTTCAAAATAGAGTCTCTTATGTCTTCCCTTTCGACATAGACACAGTGACAGTCTGATCTCTCTTTCTTTTCCCTACATCCAAGGACTTGAACATTTCTTGACTTGTTAGCAATCCAAATCGTTATGTCTCCGAAACAGAGTTGACTGAGGGGACCGCAGGGCTGGGCAGGACCTTTGACTTCCTATACATCCACAGGAGCAAGAAAACCTCAGCCCCGCTCTACCAACACGCACCTAGTAAAATTCCGCCAATTGAATCTCACGCACGCTAACACGTGGGGAGCGTTGCTTGCACCACGAGTCCCCATTTGGCTCAACCGCCGATGCCAAGTGTGTGGTTCCGGTTGCGACGGCTCCCCGTGAAGTGGCTTCCGGATGTGCGAATGAACCAGGCAGAGTTTCGCTGGCCAAGTAGACCCCAGCAAAGCTGAAGTTAACTCCCACATTTGGGATGTACTTCAGAGGTGAAACATTCATCCCTCTTCTTTCCGGATGTCTGACACCGGGCCTTTCCATGGTTCTCCCCCTGATCCTAAGAGTAGCTGAGGTAGAGACTCACTGAAAGATCTAGGCAGGGATATCCCATCATGCACAGGCTCTCTCCATTCTCTGACCTGGGAACAACTCTCAGCAGGATTGCATACCTAGGCGGCCTCGGAACTCAGCGGGATTTGCTGAGACACACCAAATGGCTGCTCCCTTTCCGCCGCTTTTGAGGGTCGTTATCTTGATTATCCAGATCACCTACAAAGTATCCGTATCCAGAATCAATAAGATCAACTCTCTGCTCCTCTGACAGCAGAAGGAGCAGGACCACAAGGAACCAAAGAGGGTGGAAGGAAACGATGTGACCGGAAAGCTCGGAAAACGGCCACAGGGGGTCGTCAGCAGGCCTTCCAACCTGAATCATGAATAATTAATGAAGCACAAATCAAAGGGGACTCGAGTTTCAGCAGATGCAATTCATCCAACGGGAGATCGCCGGAGGGCCAACAAGATTGAGAGACTGGGAGTCGGGTGCAGTGTCAAAGGGGACGCGACTGGTTCCAAAGCTCAAGAAGACCATGGGGTCACTTGGGCTACATGAGAAAATGCCCCAGTGTGCTGGTTCATCATTCCGACTCCTGCCTGTCTCTTCCCGTCCAAGGAACATGGACCCTAAGTCGTGCAGGTGCAGATGACCATGGGCAGAATTAGGGGACATGTCACAAAAGTTGAGGGACACGGGAGTTCCACAGAAGGTCCGGTTAATCTTCGCAAATCCAGAGACATGACAATGGGACCCAGGGAATTAGAGCCTCACAGGCGTCCAGGAGACTTTTCAGGCATAATGCCTGGAGTCGCAAGACGAGCTGAAAAGGGAGCCAGGTACTGAAGGACAAAGCGGTGTTGGCTTTCTTCATCTGTGTTTCCCAGTGCAGTCCAATTCACTGTGGTAGAATTCATGTATTTATTTTCCGTCGGCTTGTAGTTGCAAACTTTTGATGTTATTGATTTTTGGTTGGAGAGTTTTGGTTTGAAAAACTAGATATTCTGAAGATGGAGGTTGTCCAAGATTGTATCTCAAGGTGAGTCTACTTGATGCCAGCGAAGCATACTTTGACATATAATGCATATGTTTGAATTATATTTTGTCTTTTTTACCATATTTTAAAAAATCACTTCGTGAAAAATGTCAGAGTTAGATACACCAATGTTAAATTTCTCATCACATGTCCAGAGGCAGTGTAAAATGCAGTCTAGAAGGCAAAATTCCCAGCCACTTCTATGTGGAACTTTCTGCAGAGTGGGATTGTATCCAGCGTTTTCAGGGGGCGCAGGTGTGGTAATAGCTGGTCCTTGGCTTCCTGCTGAAGTTGGAATCCTGCAGATTGCTTAGGGGCGGTTTCAGCCTGTCCCTTCTTTCCAGGTCATCACTAACCTTTCCTGAGCCCCCATGGGGACTCAGAACTTATCTAGAGTCACAGGCCGGCCTGGGATGCTGCCCTTGAGCCTTTGTGCTGTCCATGATGGTTCCATGCCACTGATCTGCTGGGACACATTCTGCAGAAGGATGGGCTGGCAGGAGCTGTCCCTGCCTTTCTGAAAATCACAGAGATTTCTGCTGTCAGAAGCCACAGAGAAATATCTTTGGAGTCTCAGGTAGGCCAGGGATGCCATTCACAGGCTCCTGTTCTTCCTCTTAATGGTAGCAAGAGTGATTTCTGAGTTTCCTAATTGACTTCGAAATAATTTTGTTGATTTCGTTGTGACAAAGACCACTCATCTTTCTGTGGCATCCAGTTCACCTGTAGTGTTTTTTGGGATTATGTGGAAACTCTTGCATTTTTCCAGAGCCTCACTTCATCCGGGATGTTCTCAGGAATGCACGAGCTGATCCCTGCCTTGGTGGCATCTTGGAACATTGAGGGAGGCCCCTTAGGTCCAGAAGGCACTAGGAGGTCCATCAGGAATTGAGAGGGCATGTGTCTGCCCATCTGTAGCTGGAACTTCTATTTGTCTTCAGAATGCAGATTCTTCCTGAACTAATAAATTATCTTCATCTTGGTGTAAGTAGCTACAATATAATAATTCACAGTAACTCTATTAATAAAAATAACTGAATATCAACAATGAAGATAATAATGACAATGTTAATTGTTATAATATTAATAGCAAAAATAAAAGAAAGTCATTAGGGATTGGAGATTCCCTTAAGTGAAGGACAATGTACAGATATAGGGACACTTGAGTTGTTTGGACTCAGAGTCAAATGAAACGTGTTCCTCAAAGGCAAAGGACATGCAGCATAAGGAAAACACAACGTTCATGGATGACCACATGGGGTACCTTGGAACTCATGTGGAAAGACTGCAGGCAAAGTGTACCTGGTACAGGGACCACCCACCAGCCAGCACCCACCCACCTTCATGAGGTAGGACAGCAAGATAATGGGGAAGGGGTCCATGCAAGGGATGCAAGGCTCGTGTCACACCTGATTCAAAGAAGCACTGCTTCTGACAGATGTTTATCTCCTAACACTGTGTCACCTCTAACTGCCTGGCTGCAAGTCTGCCAACTGTTCTTCTTAGGTCACAGGAGGGACAGACATTACTGTCCACCTATCTGCATACAGAGCCATTGGAGGCCATTACCCTTGTTGCTTCCTCTTTGGAAAGGGGCAACATACCTGGCAGATGCCATTCTCTGTCTCTTTGGAAAGCTTTGTCAGCACATTTAAGGTTTTCTTCAGCCACAGAAAGCCACCTGCTTCAAAGTCTCATCCTCCACAAGTGGCAAGCACACAATCATTAATGGAGGCAAGGGGTACATAGGCTTTGCCATTTGATTCAGTTGGGACAAATAGGGGAGGACTTCTTAGCTCTACAGCTCTGTCCGTGTGGCCAGGTGACAATGTCAGGCTGCACTGCCATTAGACTTGTCCCTTTGCACATAAGGCTTCCCTCCAATCCTTTCCACAGATGTGGATCCTCACATCACTTCCTAATAAACATCCTGCACACTAAACTTTATCTATATCCAGTTCCCTGGGAACCAAACCTGTGACAAAAGTGAAAAGTTTCTAGGGAAAATAGGGTTTCCTTATCAGACAGGAATCAAATTCTGCTGAGCTAGAAAATAAAGTAAAGTCTGACGCCATCTCGTGATATTTTTTTATTAGGACATTACCACTGCCAGCAAGAATTATGTGCATCAATTTGTGGGGACAAACATCATACTGGAGTGGAATGAGGTTGTTGTGAGTTGAGGAGAAATGCTGATGAATGGACTTTACCCTCAACTTGGATTCAGGAGAGGACATAAAAACAGCTGGAAATAAAAGGTGTCCGAAAACATTTTTCTGGTTTTTCAATTTCAGGTTGGGAGACACTCTATGTTTAAATTCTAAAGAGATGTAGCATACTGAGAAGAAATAACTGTAGACAAATTGTCCATTTTATGAATAATACAATTTATGGTATGACAGGAGACCAAGGGACATAACACAAATTTGGAGTTAAAGAAATTAACAGACATTCTCTATAATTCCTCCGCTATTATGGCAGAGATGCTGGAACAATGGATGTCCATGTAGCGTACTTTTTTTTTTTTTTTTGGCGGTGGGGGACGGAATCTCACTCTGTAACCAGGCTGTGCTGCAATGGCGCAATCTCAGCTCACTGCAACCTCTGCCTCCCGGGTTCAAGCAATCCTCCTGCCTCGGCCTCCTGAGTAGCTGGGACGACAGGCACACACTACCACACTCAGCTAATTTTTGTATTTTTAGTACAGATGGGGTTTCACCATGTTGGCTAGGATGGTCTCAGTTTCCTGATACCGTGATCCACCTGCTTTGGCCTCCCAAAGGGTTGGGATTACTGGTGTGAGCCACCATGCCTGGCCCTTGTAGCAGTACTTTTGAACTTATTGGCTGAAAGCATCCACCTGCAAACTTACGTATTATATCTGCAAAAGAGTACAAACCATGTGATGAATTTTAAAGGGAAGACAAGCCTGTGGGAATTCAACAGCCATGGCAATGTTTTGAACTTCTTTTTATTAAACATGTAAGAAGTAAGTGAAGTTCAAGACCTAATAGAATTGCCAGGAATTATCTGAGGAATTACCAAGATGACCATAGACACTATGAAATCCTTACGATGCCCTCTGCTGGAGTTTCCTCCTACAGCCAGTGATTTTAAGCCAGAAGCAAATGTATCTGCAGGCACAAGAATTCAACCCAAATGTGCTATTCAATTTTAAATGAGATGACAATGAAATTATGTGCTATATAGCAACAACTTTTTTTTTTCTTTCAGACAGAGTCTTTCTCTGTTGCCTAGGCTGGAGTGCAGTGGGGCACTCTTGGCTCACTGCAATCTCTGCCTCCTGTGTTCAAGTGATTTTCCCACCTTTTTCACAATGTATCCTTATCCTCAAACTCATCCTCCTAAGTAGCTGAGATTATAGGCCTGTGCCACCATGTCTGGCTGATTTTTGTATCAGCAAAATTATTTCTGGGGTGGAGAGTTAGGAATCTTTTTCTCCCACACCCATAACATGTTCTCCAAATGATCTGTCATGAAGAAGGTTCTCTTAATTTTCAACACAAGTTATGGGCTAGGCACTGTGCTAGGTGCTACAGATACGCACTAATATACCCACAATAGTTTTGCCTTATTGCCTTCTATGTTCTAATAATGCACCAAAAGAAAAGTATAGATTAGCTTTTTATTTTTTTGAGATGGAGGTTAATTCTGTCACCCAGGATGGAATGCAGAGGTGGGATCTTGGCTCACTGCATCTTCTGCCTCCTGGGTTCAAGTGATTCTCCTGCCTCAGCCTCCTGAGTAGCTGGGATTACAGGCACGTGCCACCACACCCAGAAAATTTTTGTATTTTTCAGGAAGACAGCTTTCATCATGTTAGTCAGGCAGGTCTCAAACCCCTGGCCTCAAGTGATCCACCTATCTTGGCCTTCCAAACTGCTGGGATTACAGTCATGAGCCATAGTGCCCAGCCAAAGAGAGTAGCTTTAAATAGAAAATATGAAACTAAAAGAAATGTATGCTCATCAGTTTTATACTGTATTTGGCCAGGTGCAGAATATCGACATGTAGTAATGTAAGGGAATAAGGTCAATTCACATCTAATTGTTTGGAGAAGTCACCAGAAATCAAAAGTTGGAGGAGTTGTATCTTTTGAGGTGGGTTGCACAGGCAAGCAGCAAGTTGCTATCTCTCCAAAGTCCTAAACTGTTCTATTTGTCCTACTGTGGAAAAATGAGTCTTCAACTTGATTTCAATTTATATAGGAAAATGCTCAATAAAACTAATAAGGGCTACATTCCAGGACACAGCCAGACCACCATATACTGAACCTTGATTCTAGAGACACCTCCTGTTCAATGTAATTGGATTTTCAAGACAACAAATATATAACCCTGACACAATATTGGAGAGCCAAAAGGAAAGGACATTTTGGGTTGAAATTTTTTCTTTTAAAAATGTGTCCTTGAGTTCTATTAACAATAGCTGAAGCCTGGGAACAGCTCAAATGTCTATTGAGAGGAAATTGATAAATTATATGCATATTATGGAGTAATATTTATCAATAAATGGGAATAATCAACTCTATGAATCGACATCATGATCATGGATCAATATAATCTTTCTAACCCCGAGTGGGGAAAGCTAAGCTAAAAAGTGTCCTATAATATAAATAAATGTATACAAAATTCTAGAACAGACAAACCTAATATAAGCTAAAAAAGTTCAGAAAAGCCAGGTGCACTGGGTCATGCCTGTTATGTCAGCACTTTGTGAGGTGGGTGGATCGCATGAACTCAGGAATTCAAGACCAGCCTGGCCAACATGCTGAAGCTACCCCATCTTTACCAAAAATATAAAAATTAGCCCAGTGTGGTGTGGTACGCAGGAGCAGAAAACCAAATATTACATATTCTCATGTATAAGTGAGAGCTAAACATTGGGTTATACACTGTTCAGCTCTCACTTATATGGAAACAACAGACACTGGAGATTCTTAGAGGGAGGAGGGAGGGTTGGGTGCAAGGCCTGAAAAACTACCTATTGGGTATTATGTTCACTACATGTGTGATGAGATCATTCATACTGTAAACCTCAGCAGCACACAATACATCCATGTAACAAACCTGCACATGTATCCTCTGTGTCTAAAATAAAAATTAAAAACATAAAAATGAACAAAGATATATGAGCAAGCATTTGTCGAAAAAGGAGATACAAATGGACAACATATATATAAACAATTCTTACCCTCTCTAGTCATCACGGGAATGCAAATGAAAACAACCAAGAAATATCACCTCACACCTGTTAGAATAGCTATTATCAAAAAGATGGATGATAACAAGTGTTGGTAAGGATGTGGAGAAAAGGGAACCTTTGTATACTGGTGGTGGGAATGTAAATTAGTATGGCCACCTTGGAAAACAGTATGGAGGTTTCTCAAAAATTAACAATAAAAATACCATTTTGTTCCAGCAATCCCACTTATTTTATATATAATATATATATCATATATATAAATATATATATATGAAGTCATTGAAATCAGTATGTGAAAGAGATATCTGCGCTCCTATGTTCCTTTCAACACTGTTCACAATAGTCAAGATCTATGAAGAAGACATACATGTTATCATTCATTCATGAATGGCTGAATTAATGTTATACATATATATATATATATATGCACAATGGAATATTATTCAGTATTATATAATAATGAAACCCTGTCATTTGTGACAACATTGATGCATCTGAAGGGCATGAAGTCATGTGAAATAAACCAAACACAGAATGACAAATACTGTATGATTCCACTTGTATTTGAAATCTCAAAAAAACAAACTCAGAAGCAGAGGGTAGACTGGCCAGGAGCTGTGGTGCAGGTAAGTGTGTAGGTGTGATTACAGTACAAAGTTTTAGATATACCACATAAATAAGTTCAGGAGGTCTAATTTACAGCTTAGTGCTTATAGCTATGAATACTGTATTGCATACTTAAAATATAATAGGAGGGTGAATTTTATGTTAATTATTCTTACCAATAAAAATAATAATTAGAATGGGAGGGAGAACTTTGGGAGGTGATGAATATGTTTATAATCTTGATGGTAGTGATGCTTTCACAATGTATCCTTATTCTCAAACTCACTGAGATATACACATTAAATAGGTACAGCTTTTTGAATGTAATCATGTCTCAACAAAGTGTTTTTAAGGGGGGTTGGTTAAAAAATTTAAAAAGGAAGGGTAGATGTTCCTTTGCCATTCTCTCATGCCTTTTTTCTCCCTGCTGTCTAGAATTCAGAAATAATAGGTGGGAATTTAGCAGCCAAACTACGACCTTTTCTAAAGTATAGCAGAGCAAAGAGCTGGAAGGGACCTGCATCCCTAATGATATAAGAAAGAATCTGTACTAGCCCTGAATGGTATAACTACAGGTTAATTTTAAGTGAAAAAGAAATCAACTTCTGCCTTGTTTAAGCAAACTTATTCAGGCATTAATTTTATAAACATGTAGAGAATACATACTCCTTATGAGCAGAAACAATGTTTATGCCATATGCTCCATGATGGGTATTCAATAATGTGTGACGATAATAATGAAGACAATAGTGATAAATAAAAGAAAATAAAAAGCAGTGAAACAAAGTGGTTTAATAGCTATACATAGATATTTTGTTGAAAGATTCTGCTGCTAATATTATTCAATATTTTTGTATGCTGGTGCAAGTAAGGAAAATTACATTGTCTAATAAAAATTATTTATCAATTTATAAAACAGTAAAAATTTCATAGAATGGGGCTAAGAATCTGCATTGCAAACTAACTCTTTCAGTTGATTTATGCACAGTAATTATTGAGAATCCCCTTATCTAGATCCAACGGATCTGGACCTACATAGGTGCTATCAAGACTTAAGGAAGAAAATTTTCCTGACTCTATCCATACCTCCAGTTAGTAATAGATCTAGAGATTTAGAACTGAAATCCAGACCTCCTGCTTCCATGTGCAGTGACCTTTCACTGTCCTGTTTTGCTTCACTTGATGAAGAGGATTTGAGAATAAATGACCACTTGATTCAACTCCTCCTCAACTCTGAGGAATATAGCCCTGTCCTGGCAAACAAGAAACTCCTGCAGTAGTAGAGGAGGCAAATATACGTTCACTAATCTAACATACAAGGCAGTAGGCACTGTACCATAAACAAGGCACTGTGGGGGTTCAGACCAGCGGCAAAGTGGGGATTAATAGGGCTAGTAAACTCTGGGAAGGTTCACTAACAAAATGTCTAATCATTAACTAAACTAAAAGGTTTCTCAACATGGCCTAATTAATTGTAACTTAACATAAATGGTTGTTTGTTCATAAACCTTAATCTTTTGCCAAAATATTGGTAGCTTATGTTCCCATTTAACAAGGTTTTCTGGTCAAAACTGTGCACCCACATCATTCTAATGAACTTAGTGTCCAATAAAACATGGACTCTCAGTCATCCTATGAAGGTTATTTTGTGTGCATAGTACATCTCTGTGAATATGCGTAATGAGGTATGGAAGGACACTTATTATCCAAACAGAGATATTCCACTGGTGCTAGAGAGCCACAGACGGAAGTTTTCTCTGTCTACTGGAAATAAAGCCAAGCTTTCTTCTTTCCTCAGCCGTGAGGATTGCTGTCCTCCTCTTTATCATTCTCGTTTTTTTTTTTTTTTGTTTTTATGAGCCAAGCTCCACCAAATAACAAGATAAACTTTGTGTAAGACTTGGTAAGAGTAGAGTGTCTGACACCTTATTGTGCTATAACACTCAAAGCAAAAGCAAAATCGCCTATGACCAGAAAAGGGAGTCACATAGGAAATCTAGAAGACCTATTGGCTGAGAGACCTGCAGCCTCATAGTTCATTAGCTCTCCATAGCAACTCTCACATGAAATGAAGTCAGTGGTGTTTCAAGTGGTTGAAACCCTCTTTACTCTACTTCTAAATGTGAATTAATTAGGCAAGTTTACTAGCAGTTACTAGACCTCAAAAGCAAAATAATCAGGCATTATTCTATTAAATATTGGTCTCCATAACTCCTCTATTTTCTTTTGGAAAAGTTAGTTAGTCTAAGACATTTGGCATAAAGGCTATGCCAAAGCTTTGGTGGGGTCAGCCAGGAAGGATTCGTGGGGCCTCCTTGAAAATATTGCAATAATCTAAGAAATCTTCAACCTATTGCCCCTCAATACTGTTGGTCCCTTGTACTGGACTTTTCCCCTTAAGTTTGATTCCATTTCCTAACATTATCCTTCCCTCTTCCTCCTCAGCAACTAGTCTTCTAAATTAGAACTTAAACACAATGACCAGATATGACCCTGCAACAGAGCACGCCCTTCTGCATTGAGCATGCAATCATGAATCACAGGTATAAGACCCCTTGAACAGACATGGTTTTGGTGATTCTGTGTAAGACTTATTGCTTTTACCCAAGAAGATGATCAGGCATTCTAAGTAGATCAGAAAATTTTCTGGAGCTCTTGAATGTGTGTAGGCAAGAAAGATTAAGCAACCTGTTGCCTTATATGAGGCAAACTGTCTTCTCATATTTTCTTTTGAATTCAAGATTTCAAGGTTGGGGAAGGAGTGGGAAAGTAGCCATGGACATGTGAGAATGTGGATGATCCTTGTACATTGTCAGGGATGGTCAAATTCTATGCTTCATGTTGTTTGCTAAAAGACACTTTCCAAAGTTTTCAACAGAAAATATGGTGGCACACATGCCTATTCTTCGTGAACCCAGACATTTCTATCTAGTCTGTGATAGTAAATTTAAAAGGACGGCTTAGGGTAAATGAATCCTTCAAGTTATAAAGATGAAGGGCAGTTTTTGGACAATTCCCATTTTGCTGTAGGAAAACTAATCTGGAAGAAGTAAAAGGGAAAGATTGAAGTGGAGAGAACGGAGATAGAAAATGAGTTCAGTTGATCAAATTTTTGTTAAGCGCCCACTGTATGTGGGACCCTTACAAGGAAACAAGCAGACAAAGAAAAAAAAAAGCATGTGATGGCCTTGCTCTTAAGAAGCCAGAGGCCAGTCACTGGATTGCTACATATCAGGAAGATGTCAACAAGCCCCTACAATACAGCACTGGCATAGGATGAAGAAGAGGTTTCTTTCTATGAGATAAATAGCACACAACCAAAAAAGAAAGCCAAAAGATACACAAGGCTCGAAAACCTAAGGCACCAACCCTTAAGAGATCTGATTGTTGGTGGTAACTTTGGAAGGAAAATTATTATTAGGATTATTTTAGTACTAAGAGTTTTGAGCTGTCTATCCAAGATTGTCATCTGCACCTCTGCCTTAGGTAATACTGTGTGTGTGTGTGTGTGTGTGCGCGCGCGCGCATGTGTGTGTGCCTTTGCATGTGTTTGAAATATATTCTGTATCCCACACTCCACATAGGTTTGGGGCTGATCTGAAACTATACTCTTAGGGATGGGGTTAAGCTACTCTGTCACATTGTGAAGAGTTGATATGTAAGAGACTCTTAACCTTTTATAAATTACCTTTAAAATGTTTCCTTTTCTGTGAAGGGAAGAATAACAATTTGTAAACAAATGCAAAAATAACTTTAACTAAACAAAAGAACAGTTCGTTAGCCTTGTTATGATTAGCAGAGAGGATAGCTGCAGACACTGTAAAATCACTCAGCAACAAGATTTGACAAAACCTTAAATATGGCTCTATTTTTCCTGTTTTATAGAGGAAAATATTAAGGCTCTGGGAACTGAAGTACTTTTCTCAACAGTGGAGTAAGTGTCAGAGTCAAGGCTGGGTTTTACATCCCAGCTTTCCCTATACATTCCACCCTATGGTTCTGTTGTGCTGTTCCTTTGTGTGACTCCGTAAAGCCTGCTTAAAGGTGATACCATATCAAATTGTATTAACTCAGTAGCACATAACGCCAGGGAATTGATTTATAAGATGTTTATCCTTGTGGCATTGCTGAAGACCCATCTGATTAGTAGTTATCAAGTAGTCATCCTGGATAAATATATGGGTTTGATTTTTAATTTTGAAAATGAAAAATATTTTAAAATATATGTCTTACATCCATATCCCAGGAAATTCTAATCAAGTTTTAAAACTTCCAAATTTAGATAAACTAATGGTTTTTTGTTTTAATTTTCTCTCAATGAAAATAGAAGAAACTAATTGGATGGAACAGCACAGCAGAAGCATTACTTATAGCCAAAAATGGGATACAACAAGACTGAAGAAGAAAATGCAAGACAGTGCTTAAAAAAGCAGTCTAATGAAAAGTGAGGTCTCCTCTGGATGTCCTTAGGTAGACATTGCAGCAGAACTGTAAAGTTTTTCTGGAAGGCTGGGGAAGAGAGGAGGAAACAGAGAAGGGGCAAGAGGAGAAAATAGAATGAGGCTCAGAATACCAAGCCTTAGTGCTGTCCCTATCGCCTTCCTCGCTAGATCACTGGGTGATCCTGCGCAAGTTTCTTCCTTTCCCTCAGCTCATTTCCTCATCTCTAATGTAAGTGACTAGACAAGATAGCCTATGCTGTTCATTGTAACTCTAACTTTTCTTCCCAAAGCAAATAGCTGGAAAAGACACTGTGCTTACAATATGCAACAAATAAAGACAAAAGATTTTTAGAAACCCCTAGTGTAACTTGAATTCTTACAAATAAGCAATGGTACATCATAATTTTACAAAGCCCTTTTGTGATTTCATTTTTAAAATCACGTCAAGTTTTATTTTACTTCATAATAAGATAATGGGAGATAAGTGTTAAATGGGTTCATGAAGGAATGTTTGTAAAAGACACAATAATCCAAAATAGGTAATTGTTATATTAGTAGTTCCCTTTACTGGGGGGGAACAGATAAAAGAGTGTTAGGAAAAGCTTCATAAAGTGGATTATATAGAATGTGCTTTAAAAGAGTTTGGTGTTTTATTGAGTGGGGAAAGAGCAATATGGGGAGTTATTGTTCAAGGGTTAAAGCTATACAAAATGAGTCAATTACAGAGATAGGCTCCAAAACATAGTACCTATAGTTAACAATGAGGTATTTTGTATTTAACAATTTGTTAAGAGGGTCGATCTTAGGGGTTCTGACAACAACAACAACAACAACAAAGGGACGTAGGAAACATTTGGAGGTGATGGATATATTATTACCTGGATATTGGTGTGGTAACAAGATAATATATATGTGCAAACTTGCCAAACTATATCCATTAATTATGTACTGTTTGTGTATAACAATTTTACTTCAGTTCCTACTATATTGCCTGGCAAACGATAGATGTATAAAGTGAGATCAATTATTATTGCATGTGCATTTCAAAAATAATAAAGAAAGCAGGTGACAATAAAGACATCCTGAATCTTTGGGAAATAAATAGCATTCACCTGCTTTCTCATCCATTGAGATATCACCACATTTATGTACTTGTGTGTCCCTGGAAGTTTCCTGTGGGAGATTTAGTTATTCTCTTTTCGTTAGGCTCTACTGACCAAGAACAAATCACAGACTCAGAGAGCATCATAAAAAGGCCTAGACCCACGATGCCCAGAGACTCCAGGCTCAACCCACATTGATGCTGGCCCTTCAGCCATGAGACTCCATTTGCTTCTCCTTATTCTCCTTCTTTTTTAAATTCTCTTATCCCCAGGTAAGTTGGTAGCTGATTACTATAAGGTTCTGCAGATCAGAAGGCTATATCTCTGGCCAGACAAGATACTAGAATCAGTCCTGTGGGTTCAAGAACCTAATATTTACAGCTTCACTAGGATTATAATAGGGAAAAATAGAAAAGGGACTCATTTAGCAGTAGCTCCTGTTGATAAGATTCCATCCATGTCTTTTGACCTAGTGAGTGGATATAATAATCGATGCTGCTGAAATTCAATCCTATCAGATGAAACTGCCTACATGTAAATTTCCATGCCCCACCAAGCACCTCAAGATACAAAGTAAAGATACAACAGAATGTGACCTCAATGAGATGCCTTTGCGGGACATGGAAATTTATATGTAGGCAGTTAGATCTGACAGGATTGAATTTCTGTGGCATCTATTATTATATTCACTTACTAGGTCAAAAGAGATGGATGGAATCCTATCAATAGGAGCTACTGTTTAATGAGTGTTGACAAATCTGAAGGTTTTATTCGAAGAGACAAACGGAAAAATTATAATCCTAGAATAAGTGAAAATTATATGAGAGACTTTTCAAAATAAATTATGTTTTATGCGGTTATGAATAAAAAATGATTTGCAAAGTGAAAGTGAAAAGTAGAAAGGAGAGTTAAAGGAACTTCAGACAAGTGAATTAATAAGGAGCAAAGACACCAAGAAGTGCTGCTCATGGTATATTACAGGTAACCACACAGAAATGGGTAACATAACTTTCGATACAAAAATGGCTAAAATTTAATGGGCTAAGCATGCATTTTGGGGGCTTCTGGGAAAAAAAACAGCATAATAACCCTAAAGAAGATAAAGGGAAAATTATAAATACAAAATATAAATTAATGAAACAAATGAGAAAAAACTAGTATTTTTAAAAATGTTTTTCAAAAAGTCTAATACACTTTATAATAACCTGGCAACACTGAACAAGAGAAAATGAGAACATGCTTAAAATAACTATTGCAGGAATGAAAGGTTAATATCAAAACAGATGTTTCAGAGATCCAAATAATTTTTAAATTTGTGTATTATATTCCCTCTTCGCTGTGTACCTGGGGATTTTCCTGTTGCAGTTCACTATATCATGACCGTGTCATTAATTTTGATGCTAGTAAATTATTACCATCAGCATACAAATATGCTGTTGTTTTTCTGATCTAAGAAAAAGAATTTCCTTGCTTTTCTTCTGATGCCAGCTGTCATCCCATTTTTTGCTCTACTTTTCAACAAAACATCTTAGAATAGTTGTCCATACTCTCTGTCTTCAATTCCTCTCCTCTCATTGTTTCTTAAATATATCCCAATCAGGCTCTTTCTCCCTTTTTCGATCATGATATTGACACCACTTTTGTCAAAGTTACGAATAATCTCCACATTACTAGATCCAATGATCATTTTTCACTACAACTTTAATCGGCCTATTAGCAGCATTTGACACAAATAATCACTTCCTTCTTCACAGTATACTTTCTTCAGTTGGCTTCCAGGATGGCACATTCACTTGAGTCTCAGCCTGTCTCACTGGAGCTACCACTTCGGCTTCCTTTGTTTCTTCCTCATCTTTTGCATCACACCTCCTATAGGAGAGCTGCAGAGCTCAGTTCCTGGTCCTCTTCTCTTCTCCCTCACCACACACTCTTTGGAGGGGCTCAGCAAGTCTCATCCCTTTCAATTCTCCTTTTGGACCTCCTTTTGAACTCCAGGCTTAAATAAATTATCCAACTGCATAACTGGTATATCTACTTGGACACTTGATTTCAAAAGTAATATATATCCAAAACCAAACTCACGATTTTCCCTCATAAACCTCTACATACACATTTTTTCTCTTCTTGCAGAGTGCCATGGTCAGCATTGGAGCCTCTCTTAGCTTTTCTGTCCACTTTCATCCTCAGCAAGCCTCTATCTCTGCACCTCAAGAATCTCTCAGGGCTTCCATCCCTTGCCCAACCTCGGGCAGTAGCTGCCTCACACTCAGTGAAAGACCAGAGAATCTACTTCTCTCAGCTACCTGTCCTGCCCTGCCTTCAGACCTCATCAGGCCTCTCTTCTTATGCACCTGTGAGAACAGAGAGTGAAGGGGGTTTCTCTCTGCTCCCCAACCCACTCCCCAGTAACAGAGGATTTTCCCCGATTCTCACAGTGCGACCTCTACCTTTCTTTGATCTCTAATTGCAGCAGTTCCTACATGCCTGTCCCTCAAAAGTGTCTCAGGTAGTTCTCCTGCTCTCCATCTGATCTTACCTAGGAGCACACAAGATAGGTCATGAAAAAACAATTAGTGGGGCCGGGCGCCGTGGCTCACGCCTGTAATCCCAGCATTTTGGGAGGCCGAGGCACTGTAATCCCAGTACTTTGGGATCACGAGGTCAGTGGCTAACACGGTGAAACCCTGTCTCTACTAATACAAAAAATTAGCAGGGTGTGGTGGCACGTGCCTGTAGTTCCAGCTACTCGGGAGGCTGAGGCAGGACAATCGCTTGAACCCTAGAGGCGGAGGTTGCAGTGAGACGAGATCGTGCCATTGCACTCTAGCCTGGGTGACAGAGTGAGACTCCGTCAAAAAAAAAAAAAAGGAAGAAAGAAAAGAGAGAAAGAAAGAAAGAAAGAAAGAAAGAAAGAAAGAAAGAAAGAAAGAAAGAAAGAAAGAGAAAGAGAAAGAAAGAAAGAAAGAAAAGAAAAGAAAAGCATTAAAGCATTAGTGAGTGAGTGAGTGTGTTTGGGCCCCTACTGCTGCTAAACTATCACAAGCCCACATTCAGCCTTTCAACATTTGCTTGAGGTTCACTTGTTTCCTTCTTATCTCCATCAAGGGCAGCTTCCTCCTGTTTCTGCTGCTGCAACTCAGGTACACACAAATCATCTGTGGATCCGTTCTTTTTTCAGTAGGCTTTCATTACTCTGAATTTAAGTTAATTAGCTTTTTTTGAGACCTCAGCTCTGTCTTTTAAAATGAAATCTATGATCTATAGATTATCCAGCTTATTCTCTTGGTCAGGGCAAGAGCATTTTTCTATAACTTTCTAAATTCTAAACAAAAGTAAAAGTTCACTTCTTTTCAGGATCCCCCCCATGTCAGAAAGTATTACTATTATCATCAGTTTAGTGATATTTATGGAATTCCAAGTTGACTCTGAGATCAGCTTTTGGGTTAAATTCTTTCTTCCTGATATATAGCCTTTGAAATTTTATTTGCTGCAGATCTCTTGATAGTGAACAATTTTAGTTTTTATCTGTCAATTTCATATTTTTATTTTTGTTCTTGAAAGACAGCATTACTGAGTACCCAATTCTATACTAACAGTTATTTTCTCTCAACATTTGTTGATACTAGTTTACCCATTTTTAGTTTTTGCTTTACTATAATAATCAGATAAATATTATTTCATGATAAATTGTCCTTTTTTCAATGTTTATATGGTCTGGTGTTTAGTTTTAATGTTTTATAATTTATAATTTAACTAATGTGAATTTATTTTTATATCATCTGTTAGAAATACGTTCTTTGAATCAATGGATTTATACTTTCTCCTAATTTCTTTTTGAGAATCTCTTGAAACGGTGAATCCTCTTACACTTCTCTCCCCCCATATTTGAATTAAATAAATGTTAGACCTTGTGTTTCCATGCTACATTCTGGGTATATCATTTAAGCATTTTTTTCTTTACTAATTATCCTGTTACCTATATCTAATATATCATTAATAACTTGCATTTATTTTTAAATTTTTTTTTAATTCAGACCTGCCTTTGTGTTTTGTTTTGTTTTTTTGGAGACAGAGTCTCACTCTGTTGCCCAGGCTGGAATGCAGTGGTACAGTCTTGGGTCACTGCAACCTCCACCTCCCGGGTTCAAGTGATTCTCCTGCCTCAGCCTCCTGAGCAGCTGGGACTACAGGTGCCCACCACCATGTTCAGCTAATTTTTATATATATATATACTTTTTTTTTTAGTAGAGACAAGTTTTCACCATCTTGGGCATGCTGTTCTTGAACTCCTGGCCTCGTGATCTACCCGCCTCGGCCCCCCAAGGTGCTGCAATTACAGGCATGAGCCACCACGCCCAGCCAGATCTGCCCATTTTTTCTATCATCTATATTGTTTTACTATTGATTTTACATCTTTGTAATAGTAGACTGTTTCTTTAAACAATCAATACACAGGTGCTTAATTATTTCTCCACATTGACAATTTCAACACATTTAGTTTTCAAGGATTTAAATGTGCTATTCATTTCATTAACTTTTATTCATGCTGTCTTGCTTACCTGATCATTTTTAATACTGAACTCATTGCTCTTCCTTAATCTGCCATCATTCTACGGTCTGAAATGAGAATGCTATTATCCAAACTTCCTCTGTGAAACTGACTCAAAGCTTTATCTCAATATGGAAGTTCCAGGATTAACGAACTGGAATTTCTGATGGCCCAAGAGTCAGTAGTACCACCATTAGCATTACTGATAATAGCAGATCATCCTAGAAGATCTGGGAAACCCTCACCCACCTCCATCAGCTAGCCAATACAAAGTACCCAGTGCTCAAGCTCCAGTTCACAGACTATTTTTTGTATTTGAAAGAGGAGATATTTTAAGAACTTCCCTAACCATTTTCAAGGATAGAAATGTTTCAAAGAGATCCTCTAAAATGTATTTGTTCGATAGCAGCAGTCATTTAAGAACAGCTAACTTGCAATCATGGCCAAAAGCCTAAATCTTTCTTTCATTCTAATCACAGATATTTTGTATCTTTTGGAGATATCTCAGATTCAGATGTATTCATACTATTCTATGATTTGGGACACTGCTATAGATTCTTCAAAATGTTACAACATTCCAGTGGTATTTTGGGAGGTATGGAAGGAGAGGAAAAACAATGGGCTCAAGTCTCCCCTGACTTCTCTTCTTACAACATATTTCATTGTCCAGAACTTTTAGAACTATATTAATACAACATTGACAGTGGGTATTCTTCTTTTCCTTCTGATTTTAATAGGATTGAAGGAAGTGTTTTGCTATGAAATTGCTATATGCGTTGTATTCAGACAAATTTTGACTTTGTAAAGGCAATATTCTTCTCATTAATTTAAAATGTTTACCAGGATTCACAGTATTATTTTCAATTCTCCCCATTCAAAGGCATATTTAAATAACTTGATGAAAGGGGAATATTATATATGTTACTCTACTATGGAAACAGAAAAAACCACCACCAAATTGTATTCTAGATACTTTGTACACCAATTGCACCATCTTTTTTTATCTAAGACATTCAATTCTTCCACAGGCGGAAGCACATGAATTAGCATCATTTACTACTTGTAGTTTTCACTACAGACTTTCAGACCTATGGTACCTAAAGGAAATAGAATGCTTCTAGCTGGGTTTAAAAGCTACAAATAAACAGAGGAAATATACACTATTTTGAAAGTACCACTTGAGTGTTCTGTATGTATTTCAATATTATGTTGCTAATTTTAATTGTTCAAGGTTAAGGAGCTTAAACCTCCTCCTCATACATTCCTGAATCATCCATTACTCCCACACATACATTGTTTGATACAGCATAATCCTAAGTAAGTAAAGAGGTAGCAAAATGAAAAAAAATAAAATAATGTGATACCATTCTCATCTAGGAATGGCATCAGTGGACAGATGTGAATAAAAGTAATGTGATTATAATTTTAAAAATCATATTTAATAGGATCCATTTATTATTAAATGAACATTAAATTACTTAATGTATAATAAATCCTTAACACAATGAAAACTCTTAATGCAGAGTGAGACCAAAATGAAGGTATTAACTGTTTTCTTCCTAATCCTTGCTTTACTTGTTATTTCCACCAGACCGTCACTTTATTTGAAGGATATTGTAATAACACAAAGCCCTCAGCTTTGCCATTAGAGAGATCTTCCTTAAATTATCTTTGTTGTAATAAAGGTCATCTGGAGGAAATACTGGTCTGAATACAATAATAAATGTTAAGCTTTCTAGTATTTTCCACTTTTAGACACAAATTGAAAGAATCATTTATAATGTCAAAAACACTTTTTTCTAACTAATCTATTCTATGCCTAAGACACTACTAGCAATTAAAGTAGATAGATCAAATCTAAATGTGGAGAGAAAAAGTAATTTCTACTTATGTTTAAACAGATGAAAGCATGAATAAATTGAAAGCCTGAAATATTAGCTTGGGGGAATAACGTCACTTTTGGGGAGCAGGAGCAGGATATACCAGCCTTTAGCTCTACACCCTCCCCGCAAGAAAAAAATATATAGATAGTTATGTACAAACCAAACTAGCCCTGGCAGGGTTCAAGGGACCATTTAAGAAACTATGACAACACAGTGAAGACAAAAAAAAAAAAAAAAAAAAAAGAGAGAAAGAGAGAGTGAAAGAAAAAAAACTAGCCATATAGAAAAAACAGCTGCTGAAATCAGCATACCTGAGATGCCAGAAACATCTTTTTTGGCTAGAAACAAAAACAGAAAGGGACTATCTGTATCAGCCACAAGGTGGAACCACCAAGGCCCTCAGTAACCCACTCTGGCAGAAGACACTGGCATTTTTTGCCACTGGAGTAAGCAACATCCCTTTCTGACAGAAAACCCAGAGAAAAAGATGAAGAGGTACCATCTCCTCCCACATCCCTTTTCCCCACCAAAAATGCAGTGACTGTTGGGCCAAACCAGGATTGGAACTGCTACCTTTCTTAAACTGCATGTGTCTCTGACATATGAGCAGCAACCATTTCAAGAGCTCCCACATAAAAATGCTCATACTAAATTTATTCTGTTACTTAAGAGTGTTTATGGATTTACATTCCATTTGTGGACTAACTATCTCACTGGATCTTCTTTCCTGCAGTAAGAGGTGGTTTGGGTCCTGCGGAAGGTCATTGTCTCAATTTGTCTGGTGTTTGCAGAAGAGATGTCTGCAAAGTAGTAGAAGATCAAATTGGTGCCTGCCGAAGAAGGATGAAGTGCTGTAGAGCATGGTGGATTTTAATGCCAATTCCAACACCACTTATCATGTCAGATTATCAAGAACCCCTTAAACCTAAGTTGAAATGAAACTGAGACAAAATAAAAATACATCAAAAGTGAAGTTATTTGCATCTAAGAATATTAAAATATACATATTAAGTACTTCCATCTTGATAACTGTCTTGCATTTTCACTTATCAACATAAATGAATAAATACTAATTTCAAATATACCCAAGTACTATTTCTTTGTGAGTCATTAACAGATCTTAACAAAACTTTTAAAAATGAGAAAACTGTTACTTCTGTTTTCCAAGATAGTGGATTGAAGGCATTGTTAGTCTGCCTCTTGCACTTGGAAAGAGAAAATGGTGTGTAGAAACTCACACTGTGAACTTTCTTTCAAGAAGCTACACAGGAATTTAACAGGAAAATTGAAATAAGCCACAGACCATTTGAAAGAAACAGCAGGATGCAGCTTACACCATAAGCTAGGCAGAAAATTGTAAGTTTCCAGGGTGTGACAGGAGGGTAAACTGACTCTAAGATATACACTTCCACTGGGAAACCTATCAATCCAGGCCGTGAGGGAAGGCCTTAACCCTACTCAGCGCTGGGGCTGATTTAGGGAAGAGTGGTGAGTATATGAGGAGTGGCATTGGGATGTGCTTTGAATCTCCAGCACATTCCCAGTTTCTGGTAGAATGGAGGGAAGCCATTTCTGATTCTACCTCAGACAGGACCTCCTAGAAGTCTGCCAGCTAACTCAGATGGTGGTCACAGGTTGAGACAACCTCCCAACTGAAATGTGTGATATAATCTTGACAGGGGACAAACTCTCCAGGCCAGAACTGAGAGGTGAGTGGGAAGTGTGCTGCAGCAGCAAGCACAGGAGCTGGGGGCCCCTGCTCTGCAGGTGGATCAGGAAGGGTGTGGCCTGAAGGTTGCAGTTGCTGTCTCCATAGGGGAGAATTATGGTATGGGTCAGTTTTGAGTTCTGAGCTCAGACTTCTTGAAACTTAGCTAGCTACTCCCAGTGGAACACTGTGGGTGTGAGACCTGCCTTGCCAAGTGTGTGGGAGCTGGATGGGGCTTACTACCAAGCTGCTACTCCCCATTCTTCACATGGACTCTCCTTGTACAGAGGCAGAGACAGCTTCACTTCTCTCTGGAAAATTACTCCAGTGGCCCAAGAACTGCCTTCCAATTCCCACTGGAGCCACTGCTTGTCCCACACATAGACAGCCAGAGCATCACCTTACCTGACCTAGTTCCCACCTGGCTTTGCTCAACCACCTACCCTGGTAGATTAACACAAATAACAGAAGAAACTTTTAGAAGCTCTATGGCTCCACCTATTTCCTGAGACACCAGAGTGCCTCCCATGGGTAACATAAGGCAAGTCCAAATCTCACCACTACCACCACAGCTGGCAGTCTTTTGGAAGCACCACCTCCTGGCTGAAGGCCTACTGACAGTCCTTTACAGCATCTGCAGGTAGAATAACATAGCACCCAGGAAGGAGAAAAGTTGTGAGTGACCACAACTGTTACCATTGCTTGCATCATTCTGGCTAAGCAGGAGGCCATGAGTCTGTCCATGTGATGAGTTCATTACTACTACAACTGGCATTTGAGAAATCCAATACACAACACACTAGGACTATTTATAACCAAGGAATCTTTCAGAGTCTACATCACTCCCCTGCCATCCCCATCTGATCAGCTGCCGATACACACTGCTGTGAGCCTTGAGGACAGATTATATCACTGGATCCATTGCAGACATTCTTGAGCACCAGCATGGTGTGCGGCAGCCCCACTGGGTAGCCAGACCCAGAGAAGCAGCAGCAGCATATGCAGTAATCTGAATTTCAGTGACTCCTACTCTGAGGAAAGAGGAAGCACACCACATCAAGGGAGCACCCTGGGGACAAAATAATCTAGATGACCTTGAGTCCCAGAACATTCCACTTGTGGGAAGTTGTTTGGTGGTTTGTTTGTTTCTGCTTTTTTTTCCAGCAGAGGAACATGTGCATGCTGGGCTCAGCGAGGAAAGTCTGTAGCTATAGCTCAACAATCAGGCAGCCTTGATGCTCAAGAAGAGTCTTGGATAATGGAGACTTATTTTCCATCTCATACACTACTGCAGACACAATAGTACTGTACTCAGAGCCAGTGTACTGAGGTGAGTGGCCATAAAACCTACTGAGA
Source organism: Homo sapiens (assembly GCF_000001405.40). Taxonomy (NCBI): domain Eukaryota; kingdom Metazoa; phylum Chordata; class Mammalia; order Primates; family Hominidae; genus Homo; species Homo sapiens. The sequence goes on along the minus strand of NC_000008.11, from coordinate 12,391,083 downwards.
CACCAGCCAGGACAGCTAAAGGAGTACTTGCATTACCACTCCCCCAACCCCAGGCAGCACAGCTTGCAGCTCCAAAAAAGACCGCTTCCTTCTGCTAGAGGAGATTAGAGGAAAGAGTAAAAAGGACTTTGTCTTGCATCTTGGATATCAGTTGAGCCACAGTAGGATAGGGCACTGGTCAGGGTCATGAGGCCCCCATTGTGGATGTAACTAACTTTTTTTTTTTAATTTTATAGGCTGATAGGCAGAAGGGACTTGTCTCAAATAAGACTTTGGACTTGGAGTTTTGAGTTATGCTGGAATCAGTTAAGACTTTGGGGGACTGTTGGAAAAGCATGATTGGCTTTGAAATATATATAAAAGACATGAGATTTGGGAGGTGCCAGGAGCAGAATAATATGGTTTGGCTCTGTGTCCCCACCCAAACCTCATCTCAAATTATTATCCCCACACATCGACAGAGGGACCTGTAATCGCCATGTGTCGAAGAAGTTTACTTCATGTTATCCTCATGATAGTGAGTGAATTCTTAGGAGATCTGATGGTTTTAAGAGTAGGTGATTTTTGTTTTTTTTTTCTGTGCACTCACTTCTCTCCCTGACACCTTGTGAAAAAAGGTGCCTGCTTCTGTCTTGCCTTCCACCATGACTGTAAGTTTCCTGAGGCCTCCCCAGCGATGCAGAACTGTAAAGTAATTAAACACCTTCTCTTTGTAAATTACCCAGTGTGGGGTAGTGTCTTTACAACAGTGTAAAAATGGACTAATACAGGTTCCCTGAAATATTCTGAGTCCCTTTGGAGGCAAGAATCTCTTCATACCAGCATGGTATACTGATGAAGTACATCCTGATCTCATGGGCTGAGAAAGAATTTATACATACCATTTATGTGCCAGCAACTCTATGTGCAGGCTTTTGAGCCCCAGAATGGGCTTTCTTGCCACATCTATTCTATCTAACATGTTTCTAAGCCAACTCAATATCTCTCATCCACACTGGGATAGGTCCTAAATTGCTGTCTGTTGCCCACCTGAGATAACGAGATGTTGTTAAATCAGGTGTGTGTGACCCAGATATGTCTATCTGGAGTGGCAGGAGAGGGTCTATCTGCTCACAAGAGTCTCTGCAACATTTTCTAAGTCAGTTCAGAAGCTTATTGATTCACCTTTGCAGGCAACATAGCCATGAGAAAGGTGTCCAAAAATTCCTGAACTTCTGGAAATTTTTAAAGTCTCCACAGGTGTCCAGAGGTGACTGTAGCTGTACTGAAAGTCACTGCCTGGATAACTGGCCTGTTAAAACAAATGCAAAATACACTAAGCCCACTAAGGATACCCAGAAGCCATGGTATTCAATTAATTTTTGTCTTTCTTGCAGGTGGGAGAATACTGAGGATTATGCCTTCCTATAGCCAGTGAAGGTTATTCCAGTGCCTAGATGTACCAGTCAACAGAGGCCATGGGAGAGCAGATGGCAGAAGGGCAGCCAGGTCCTTTCACTGGGGTTTACTGCTTGTCATGAGCTCTGCTGCTGGGCAGCATGTGTGATTTCTGACTCCTGCCATGTCCTCAAGAAGCCTTGCCCCATCAGCCAGCTGTCCTACCTCCTGAAAGCTGGTGCATGTTTGTTAGCATGGAGATCCAGAACAAGAGTCACTTTAGTATTTATCCATAGAGTCCCCATGTGTGCACATGCCTACCTGCAGGTTGTTTTTCCTATTTTTCTGAATGTTAATCTTTGCCTTCTGGAACTCAATATTACCCCATGTGGCCAAATATGGGATAATTGTCAGGGGAAACTGCTCTCTAGGTCCCAAGTCCACAGGGTTAGTATTATTATCAATATTAAAATTATTAATTATGGATATTAGTATCATAATAATCATCATTCCTGTTAATACTCATCAATATGTTTATTATTACTATCATTAAGATGGTTTATTAATGTTATTATTCAGTAATAAATGTTTAGTTTCTCCATTCACTCAGTCAAACTGGAGTCTGACTCCCGATATGACTATGGATATGACTGCATATGACTATGAGGGTTACCCTGCAGATATAGACATGAACAGCTGTCCCAGAGACAGCTCTTGCAGGCACTAATTGCTCTTTCATAGGATGAGTTCCTTACAGGAGAGAAGGGCTGATCTCCATGATGTGGTTTCCTCAGGGTCTCATTAAGGGCTGGTGATACAGGAGCACTTCCTACCCCTCTTCCTCATGTGAGAGTGGTACATTCTCTGTTGTCATGGCTGAGATGGCTCCATCTTGAACATATAAATTCCAGGTTGCAGAACCAAAAAAGCAAAAGAAGCATTGGATCTGCATAGGGAACTGCAAGCCATCCAGCAACCTCAGGACACACTCAGAAACAACCACGTGGACCACATCGCCCAAGCTCAGCTGCATGGCTCTCCGTTGGGCTAGGACGTGGACCTCTTCCACCAGGCTCAGCTGGAGTCCTATCCCTGGTCCCAGGACCACAAGGAGCATCTCTTTTTTTTGGAATCACACTGCTCCATTTGAAGGACAGCCCTCAGTTCTCTGTCTTCAAAAGAGGCTGCAAATGGTGCTAATTGGGAGGGAGCCGCCAGCAGCATCACCCTCTACAACTTTAAAATAAAAATGTCTTCCAGGGTGGGATATTATGCTGACCCTACCTAAAAGCACATTCCCTAGATGTTGCTTGTTGCCTGGAGTTTGAACAGCATTGTCCAAACTTTGCCATTGAAGAACAAGGAAACTTACCTGGGGTAGTTGCAGGTGTAGGACTAAATTCAGATGTGAAGATTCTTGAACTGGGGGTGTTTCTGTACCTGTAGAGATTGCAGACTGGGAAAGGTAAGGCTCTGGTCCTGCCAGACTCTCTAGAGGTTAAGAATGTGATCTGCAGAAAGACATGAACTAGCACAGGCAACTGTAGAACATCTGCCCCCAAGAATCATAAATGCCTTTTCACTCATCCTGTAGAATGCACTCTCTACTTTAATGATCATGTGGGATGTGACTTTAATTTCTAGGCATGGGGATTGATCTTAAGAAAAAGCAGGGAAAGTGCTTTACCTGTCCTGGGACTCTGCTCCACTTGCCAACATTTGAATGGATTCATTTGTGTGGTAGTCAAGCTACGGGAAATAAAGGGACCAGTCAGTCTTCCACACAATGACACAGAGGCCAATTATCACAAGTCCAAATCTCCATTTGTCACCCAGCTCACATTCCCGCTGTGGCACAAGGTCACATGCACTCGTGTCCAACTCCAAATAGTAGCTTCACATAGTATGTCAGCACTCTCCCATCCATCACCTCTTTTAGAAGGTCTTCCTCTGGATTGAAAATGGCCTGTGATAAAAGATAATGACCACAGGAAGCAGTTTTTTTTTAGGATCTGATCCACATGAGAAGATAGGACATCTAATTTGGTCTGAGGACTTTAGCTCTGCTAATATTTAAGGTAACTGACCCCTGTGTCTATAGATTTACAAAGGGAATGGAGTGAGAGATGATGAAATCTGTTTTCTTTCCTAGTGAGTATGAGGAAGAACCCTTACATCATGCTCTCTGTTGCCTGTTCTCCATACAGTGCCATTTCCCATTTAGGGAGAAGACATGGATTGTCAGTGGGAGCAAGCCTGAGACATGCCCACTGGCAGCTCCCAGAAACCCCTGAAACCTGGCCACATCATGAAGTTTCAACTGTGGGTCTCATGCCTCCCTTGGTATCTTGAATTCAGAACATTTAATGTCATGGCAGGCCAGGGAACCTCCTCTGCTCTAGTCTGGCTCTCTATCGCATATTCACACACACACACAAACACACACACACAAAGTCACACACACTCACACATCAACCTACTGGCAAACCAAGGTAGAAACATACACACACACATACCTGCTCAATCCAGGCCAATATCCCTGACAACATCAATGCAAAAATTCCTAATATAATACTAGCAAACAGAATCCAGCAGCACATCAAAAAGCTTATCCACCACAATCAAGTCGGCTGCATCTTTGGGATGAAACGCTGGTTCAACATACACAAACGAATAAATGTAATTGATCACATAAACAGAACCAAAGACAAAAACCAGACAATTATTTCAATAGATGCAAAAATGCCTTTGATAAAATTCACCATCCCTTCATGTTAAAAACTCTCAGTAAACTAGGTACTGATGGAACATATTGCAAAATAATAAGAGTTATTTATAACAAACCCACAGCCAACATCATATTTAATAGGCAAAAGCTGGAAGCATTCCCTTTGAAAACTGGTACAAGACAAGGATGCCCTCTGTAACCACTTCTATTCAACATAGTATTGGAAGTTCTCACCAGGGCTATCAGGCAAGAGAAAGAAATAAAGGGTATTCAAATAGGAAGAGAGAAAGTGAAGTTGTCTCTGTTTGCAGATGACATGACTTTATATTTAGAAAACCCCATCATCTCAATTCAAAAACTTCTTGAACTGATAAGCAACTTCACCAAGGACTCAAGATATTAAATCATTGTGCAAAAATCACAAGCATTCCTTTACATCAACAATAGTCAAGCAGAGAGCCAAATCAAGAATGAACTCCCATTCACAATTGCTACAAAGAGAATAAAATACCTAGGAATACAGCTAGGAGTACAAGGGATGTGAAGGACCTCTTCAAGGACATATGCAAACCACTGCTCAAGGAAATGAGAGAGGACACAAACGAATGGAAAAACATTCCATCCACATGAATAGGGAGAATCAATATTGTGAAAATGGCCATACTGCCCAAACTAATTTATAGATTCAATGCTATACCCATGAAGCTACCATTGACATTTTTCACATAATTAGAAAGAACTATTTTAAATTTCATATGAAATCAAAGAATACCCCGTATAGCCAAGACAACTGTAAGCAAAAATAACAAAGCTGGAGGCATTACGCTACCTAACTTCAAACTATACTAGAAGGCCACAGTAACCAAAACAGCATGCTACTGCTGCCAAAACAGACATATAGACCAATGGAGCAGAACAAAGACCTCAGAAATAACCCCACACATCTACGACCATCTGATATTTGACAAACCTGACAAAAACAGGCAAGGGAGAAAGGATCTCCTATTCAGTAAATGCTGCTGGGAAAACTGGCTTGCCATAGGCAGAAAACCAAAACTGGACCCCTTCCTTACACCTTATACAAAAATTAACTCAAGATGGATTAAAGACTTAAATGTGAAATCCAAAACCATAAAAACCCTAGAAGAAAACTTAAGCAATACCATTCAGGACATAGGCATGGGCAAAGGCTTCATGACAAAAATGCCAAAAGCAATTGCAACAAAAGCCAAAATTGACAAATTGGATCTAATTAAACTAAAGACCTTCTGCACAGCAAAGAAACTATCATCAGCATGAAAAAGCAAACTACAGAATGGGAGAAAATTGTTGCAATCTGCCCATCTGACAAAGGTCTAATAACCAAAGTTGACAAGGAACTTAAACATATTTACAAGCAAAAAAACAAACAACCCCATCAAACGTGAGCAAAAGATATGAACAGAAACTTATCAAAAGAAGACATTTATGCAACCAACAAATATATTTTTGAAAAGCTCAACAACATTGATCATCAGAGAAATGAAAATCAAAATTACAGTGAGATACCATCTCACACCCGTCAGAATGGTGATTATTAAAAAATTAAGAAACAATAGATGCTGGTGAGGCTGAGAAGAAAGAGGAAGGCTTTTACACTGATGGTGAAATTGTAAATTAGTTCAACCATTGTGGAAGACAGTATGTCGATTCCTCAAGGATCTAGAACCAGAAATACCATTTGACCCAGCAATCCCATTACTGGCTATGTACCCAAAGGAATATAAATCATTCCACTATAAAGACACATGCACATGTATGTTTATTGCAGCACTATATACAATAGGAAAGACATGAAACCAACCCAAATGCCCTTCATTGCTAGACTGGATAAAGAAAATGTGGTCCATATACACCAAAATATACTATGCAGTCATAAAAAGGAATGAGATTATGTCTTTTGCAGGCACATGGATAAAGCTAGAAGCCATCATACTGAGCAAACTAACACAGGAACAAAAACAAAAAAAAAACAAATACGGCATGTTCTCACTAATAAGTGAAAGTTGAACATTCAGGAAACAAGGACACAGTGAGAGGAACAACACACAACACGGCCCGTTGGGGGCTGGGGGTGAGGGAAGGAAACTTACAGGATAAGTCAATAGGTGCAACGAACCACCATAGCAAAGGATACCTATATAACAAACCTGCTCATTCTGCACATGTATCCTGTAATTTTTAAATTTAAAAAGAGGAAATACATACATACATACATACATACATGCATACATACATACATACATATGTACATACTTTTGAAAAAAGTCTGTACAGTTCGGATCTTCATTCCTGGTAAGCCAAGGAACCTGGACAAACACCAGAATTCTGTCCCTCTGAGAATGCCGGACAGGTTTACCTTCATCACCATAAAATTTTGGAACAAATGTGGTAACTGCAGGTTCTCTCCACAATGAGTAACTGAAAATTGAGGCAGTATTTCAGATCCTAAAAAACTGATGAAGTAATTCACCACACATTTGGGTTGTTTTTGACTTTTCCTACTATGAAGAGTGCTAGTAGGAAGAATGGTGTACAAGTATCTGTTTGATTCCCTGCTTTTAGAATCCTTTGCTTGTTTGTGGGTTTGTCTGTTCTTTCTTGAGACAGGATGTCACTCCAGTCAGCCAGGCTTTTCCAGTGTGTAATTTTTGTTGTTTCCTTTTGTCAAGTTTTAGAAGTTGTTATTTTATTTCTATTGAATTTTAAGGCATTTTTAGATATGTATTAAAACATTATCACACAGGCCGTGTGTTACATTGCAATTATTTTTATCGTTCTTTTAAGAAACAAAAGGTTTTAGCTTAGATATCTTCCAATTTGTGAAGCTTTTCTGATTTTGACTTTTTAAAAAATGCTGTCATATACAAGAAACCCTTGGATTAAAAATGCCATGAATATTTCTCTTTTCTTGCAGTCATAACTTCGGTGGATGTCATCAATTAGTCTCCGGGTTATAGCATGTTTTCTTGAAAGTGTTTCGCAATCTATTTTGGGCATTGAGAATTTCATCAAACTTAAGTGAATGTTTCTACATTCACTATTGAGGGGAATAGTCCCATCTGATGCTTTATTATTTGCATATCTTGCTTCCACAAGACCATTTCATGCAAAGACTTGTCTTCTCCCCAATGCCAGATCATTACAACATGATATGGAATCAACTGGCCAAAAATGGGAAGGTTATCTCTGGAATGTCTATTTGACTCCATTGATCTCTCCATCTTAATTAAGACAAAGTATATGCTGTATTAATGACATACCATTGCTGCAAATTCTCAAGTCAGAAAGTGTAGTTATAACTTCTTGTCATTTAGTCGCTGAATCTTATGTCACAGATGCACATGCTTGGAAGTACTTCTCAATGCATGCAGACACATCCAGAAACAAACACACAAATACACACATACACACAAACTGTTTACTATGTACACAAATGTTAACTAGCATTGTTTTACATGAAATAAGGCAAATGTTTAGCCCCTATCCTAACCCGGTTCCACTCCTATCATATTTGCCCATAATACTGACAAGTAAATCTGCTTCAAATCTTCCATAATCACAATGTAAGCTGTGTCCATTAAATTCTCTGAGGAATGCAAGAGGATACAACCTAAGACAAAAAAATTAATTGAATCCTGATATTTCATTAGTAAACAGGGTAATTGATGGATAAATGTAATGGTCTCGGTGGGTGGACAGTAGTTATATAAGGGCTGATGCAGCAAGATACTTAATTATTTAAAGGCGTTTGAAAGAAATTGAAACACAAGAGTGGGTGTATTCAACTAAAATAAAATCAGAGAGCCCTAAAATAAATCCATTTTGCGGGTAAAAAAATGGCATTAGAGGAGATTCTGGGTCAATCATCCAGCTGTGAAAGTTGCATCTTCGAAGCAGGATCCCTGTAATGCAACGATACTTGTTTATCAGTGGTGGTCTTTCAGTGGAAAAGATTTTGAAGAATCGACCCTTCCTTTTTTGTATTTGACAATTAGATTTCATGCCAAATCTTGGGTTTTAAACTCTATTTAAACGTTAACAGAATTAAATAAAATGGCGAAAAACCATGAGATTCTTTGATTTGGAATCGTCACATATGCATTTCTTGTTAAGTACAGTTATCAAAGATGACCTACCGGAGAGACACAATTGTGGACAATGGCCCGTTACTTTTGTATGTTTGCTGATTAGATTTCATAGTCCATTTCTCATTAGGTACAAAGATCAAAGTTGACCTACACAAGAGTAGAGAGGTCCAGGACAGAACTCAGGGCTCCGCAGAACCACAGAATCTTGGGTGTAAGATTGCTCAAGAACAAAAATGTGCTTATTCAGAGTGTTTCTGTGTGACATGTGTGTCAACTACAGTGCAATGAGCATGACACGCAGGCAGGATATCAATACGGCTCACCTCAAAAGCAGTTATGAGCATTAAAGGACACCCATGCCTAGGTCCCGGTTAAAGAGATAAGACTCTCCCACACCCTGTGTGAAGCCACGGCATGTGGATTGCTCATGCTTCTGGGGATCATTCTCCTGAAAATGGTGGCTCCTTTCTCACTGTGGAGCATCTTTCTAAGCAGTGTCCTTTCTTCCCCCAGGACACTTTACTTCAGGCACAGGAAGCCTTCTGATGGAGCACACCTGGCCCATGAAAAGACAAGGGAAAGAAATGGGGCCAAAGGTCACAGTCCTCTCATTCCATCATCCTCCTTAAAATCATCCTAATTTCATGGGCCCTGAGGCCACGGCTGTTTCTTTAAAACTAGAGGCCTTGGCGCCGGGCCTCAATTTTGCCCTGTTCCTTACTGTCTAAGAAAGGTTGGGAAAATCCCTAGAGCCAGGATCTTCATTCCTGGTAAGCCAGAGAGCCTGAAGACACACCCAAATTCTGTCCCTCTTACTTCAGGGAACATGTCCACTTTCGTCAGCATTACAATTTTTGCACCAAATGTGCTAACTGCAATTCCACCATACAATGCATAAATGGAAATGGAGGGAACATCTCAGATCCTGAACAATCGATGCGAGAATCCAGGAGATACACGGCTGATTTTTGCGTTTTCCCTGTGAAACAAGGGCCAGTATTAAAAATGGTATGCTATCCTCTGTTTCACTCCCTGCTTTTAAGTCTCCGATGTTTCTTCTTAAGACAGGGCCTCACTTCCTTCCCCCTGACTTTTCTACGGTATAATTTTCGTTGTTTGCTTTTGTCAAAATTAGAACTTTTTATTTCATCTCTATGAAATGTTGATCCATTATCACATACGTATGGAAAGACTATCACCCATGATGTGAGATACGTTGTTTTTATTTTCATCAATTCTTTAATAAACCAAAGGTTATAGTTGGGATACCTTCCGATTTCTCTAGTTTTTTGTTTCATGTTTTCTTTCTTTTTTTTTTTTTTTTTTTTTTTTTTTTTGAGACGGGGTCTCGCTCTGTCGCCCAGGCCGGACTGCGGACTGCAGTGGCGCAATCTCGGCTCACTGCAAGCTCCGCTTCCCGGGTTCACGCCATTCTCCTGCCTCAGCCTCCCGAGTAGCTGGGACTACAGGCGCCCGCCACCGCGCCCGGCTAATTTTTTGTATTTTTAGTAGAGACGGGGTTTCACCTTGTTAGCCAGGATGGTCTCGATCTCCTGACCTCATGATCCACCCGCCTCGGCCTCCCAAAGTGCTGGGATTACAGGCGTGAGCCACCGCGCCCGGCCGTTTCATGTTTTCTTAAACTGCCATCGCACATCCGAAATCATTCACTATACAATGTCATGACCATCTCTCTTTTCTGGCAAACATAAATTTGGGGATTGTCATCAATTAGTCTCTCGGTGACTGAATGATTTCCACAAAGTCTTTCACAGTCTACTTTATGCACTGAGTATCTCTTCAAACTTCAGTGTATGTTTCTACCATTTGATGCTTTATTATTTGGCAACCTAGCTTCCAAAAGAGCATTTCATGCAAAGACTTGTCTTGTTATCCACTGGCAGCTAATTTCATTCGGATAGAGAATCAATAGGCTGAACGTGGAAAGCTTATCGCTGGAAGGTTTGTTTGTTTCCACGGATCTCTCCTTTCTTATTAGGGAAAAAAATACGCTGTGCTAAATACTATACTTCATTGACTATTCTCAGGTCAGAAAGCGCACTTCCGACTTCTTCTCTTTCCGTCGCTGAGAGGATGATGGTAGCTGCCAAAAGCACATACTTGGAGGTTCATCCCAGCACAAACACACACACACAAACACACAAACACACACACACACGGCTTCATAGGTAAAGATTTCTTCCCTGACATTGTTTTACCTAAAATAAGGCAACTGTGTGGCCACTGTCCCAACCTGGTTACACTCATATTACATCTGCCTATCATCCTGAGGAGTAATGTGATTCAGGTGTTCTAGAAGTCATGATGTGGGCTGTGTCTGTTGAATTCCCAGCGATGCAAGGGGACACACCCTGTGACTCATTCCTTAATTAAATGCTGATATTTGATTGGTTTATCGCGCACCTGATGAGTGGGTGAGGTGTTCGCCGTTGGTGCGGGTGAGTTATATAAGGGCTGATGCGGCCAGAGAGCTCGTCATTTGAAGACTCTCTCGGAAGAGATAGCGTCTTTCTGCAACATAAGGTCCCAGCCGAAAAACCTTGTGATCCTTGTTCCGGGCGACATGGAGGACGACTCACTCTACTTGGGAGGTGAGTGGCAGTTCAACCACTTTTCAAAACTCACATCTTCTCGGCCAGATGCAGCCTTTGCTGAAATCCAGCGGACTTCTCTCCCTGAGAAGTCACAACTCTCAACTGAGACCCGCGTCGACTTCTGCGATGATTTGGCGCCTGTGGCAAGACAGCTCGCTCCCAGGGAGAAGCTTCCTCTGAGTAGCAGGAGACCTGCTGCGGTGGGGGCTGGGCTCCAGAATATGGGAAATACCTGCTACGTGAACGCTTCCCAGCAGTGTCTGACATACATACCGCCCCTTGCCAACTACATGCTGTCCCGGGAGCACTCTCAAACATGTCATCGTCACAAGTGCTGCATGCTCTGTACCATGGAAGCTCACATCACATGGCCCCTCCACATTCCTGGCCATGTCATCCAGCCCTCACAGGCATTGGCTGCTGGCTTCCATAGAGGCAAGCAGGAAGCTGCCCTTGAATTTCTCATGTTCACTGTGGATGCCATGAAAAAGGCATGCCTTCCCGGGCACAAGCAGGTAGATCATCACTCCAAGGACACCACCCTCATCCACCAAATATTTGGAGGGTACTGGAGATCTCAAATCAAGTGACTCCACTGCCACGGCATTTCAGACACTTTTGGCCCTTACCTGGACATCGCCCTGGATATCCAGGAAGCTCAGAGTGTCAAGCAAGCTTTGGAACAGTTGGTGAAGCCCAAAGAACTCAATGGAGAGAATGCCTATCATTGTGGTCTTTGTCTCCAGAGGGCGCCGGCCTCCAAGACGTAAACTTTACACACTTCTGCCAAGATCCTCATCCTCGTATGGAAGAGATTCTCCGATGTCACAGGCAACAAAATTGCCAAGAATGTGCAATATCCTGAGTGCCTTGACATGCAGCCATACATGTCTCAGCAGAACACAGGACCTCTTGTCTATGTCCTCTATGCTGTGCTGGTCCACGCCGGGTGGAGTTGTCACAACGGACATTACTTCTCTTATGTCAAAGTTCAAGAAGGCCAGTGGTATAAAATGGATGATGCCGAGGTCACTGCCTCTGGCATCACCTCTGTCCTGAGTCAACAGGCCTATGTCCTCTTTTACATCCAGAAGAGTGAATGGGAAAGACACAGTGAGAGTGTGTCAAGAGGCAGGGAACCAAGAGCCCTCGGCGCTGAAGACACAGACAGGCGAGCAACGCAAGGAGAGCTCAAGAGAGACTACCCCTGCCTCCAGGTACCCGAGTTGGACGAGCACTTGGTGGAAAGAGCCACTCAGGAAAGCACCTTAGACCACTGGAAATTCCTCCAAGAGCAAAACAAAACGAAGCCTGAGTTCAACGTCAGAAAACTTGAAGGTACCCTGCCTCCCAACGTACTTGTGATTCATCAATCAAAATACAAGTGTGGGATGAAAAACCATCATCCTGAACAGCAAAGCTCCCTGCTAAACCTCTCTTCGACGAACCCGACAGATCAGGAGTCCATGAACACTGGCACACTCGCTTCTCTGCAAGGGAGGACCAGGAGATCCAAAGGGAAGAACAAACACTGCAAGAGGGCTCTGCTTGTGTGCCAGTGATCTCAGTGGAAGTGCCGACCCACACGTAGGGGAGAAAAACACACACACACACACACAAACACAAATACACCCACAAGCGCGCAAGGAAACACACACACACCCACACAAACACGAACACCGTCTATCCTACATAAAGTAATGAGGAGCCCCAGTTTCTGTCTCTACAACAGGGACAACTGGATAGTGACGGCTGCATCTCAGGATGAGCCCACACATGGGAAACATCAAGTTTTGGGGTCGTGAGTCTTCCGAACCTCTGGAGGGACTGTCTGTGTGTTTGTGTTCATGGTAGATGACATTCAGTGTGTATTTCTTAATGTGACCTATTGACGTGTAGGTTTGCGTGTGAGGTTATTGCAGGGGACATGGTTTACTATTTCCTCTTGGGGTTTGTTTCATTCATCAGTTCTTGGTCGGCAAGAGAAGGTGAAATTTTGCTCATGTGGGACATCCGTGGATCATTCTCGCCACGTTGAATAGTGGATACTGGAATTCAATTGGAAGATAGGAACGGTGCTCTCCTTTCTTACCCTGGCTCGCCCATTTTATTTTGGTTTCTGAATGGACCTTAGGCGCCCTGGGACTTGTGCTCTTGCTGGAACCCACATAACGCCGGAAGCAGACAGACCGACTTGCCTGTTTCACGGTGTCCACTTCCAATGAGTCGAAACAGAAAATTTTCCCACTAGCACGGAAGTCATTTGGAACTAAGTCTTATTGCTACTAAAGGAAATCAAACACTGGAGTGTGTGTATTCAACTAAAATACATTCAGAAAGCCCTGAAATAAACCTCATTTGGTGTGTTTACAAATGGCATTTGGGGAGATTCCGGGTCATTCGTCCAGCTGCGAAAGCTGCACCTCTGAAGCACAGTCCCTGTCCTGCAATCAGACTTATTTATTCGACGTGGTGTTTCTGTGGAAATTATTGTGGGAAATGGCCCCTTCCTTTTCTGTATTTGCTGATTAGATTTCATGGTCCCTTTCTTGTTAGGTGCAGTGATCAAAGTTGACCAACCCCTGAAGAAAGCTGTCCAGGGCACAACTCAGGGCTCCGTAGTACCACAGAATCGTGGGCGCAACCCTGCTCAAGCACCCCAATGTGCATACGAACAGGGTCTCTCTGTGACGTGTGTGAAAACTACAGTGTGACGAGCATGACTCGCAGACAGGTTATCGATTGGGCTCCCCTCAAAATCAGTTATGAGCATTAAAGCACACCGATGCCCAGGTCCCGGCTCCAGGAATAAGACCCTCCAGCGTCTTGTGTGAAGCCACGGCATGTGGATTGCTCATGCTTCTGGGGATCATTCTCCTGAAAACGGTGGCTCCTTTCTCCCTGTGGAGCACCTTTCTAAGCAGTGCCCTTTCTTCACCCAGGACACTTTACATCAGGCACAGAAAGCCTTCTGATGGAGCACACCTGGCCCATGAAAAAACAAGGGAAAGAAACGGGGCCAAAGGTCACAGTCCTCTCATTCCATCATCCTCCTTAAAATCATCCTAATTTCATGGGCCCTGAGGCCACGGCTGTTTCTTTACACCTCGAGACCTTGGCGCCGGGCCTCAATTCTGCTCCAGTGCTTACTGTCTAAGACATTTTGGGAGAATCCCTAGAGCCTAGATCTTCAATCCTGGTAAGCCAGAGAGCCTGAAGACACACCCAAATTATGTCCCTCTTAGTTCAGGGAACATGTCCATTTTCGTCAGCACTAAAATTTTTGCACCAAATGTGCTAACTGCAATTCCACCATGCAATGCGTAACTGTAAATGGAGGCAACATCTCAGATCCTGAACAATCGATGCGAGAATCCAGGAGACACACGGCTTATTTTTGCCTTTTCCCACTGAAACAAGGGCCAGTATTAACAATCTTATGCTATCCTGGGTTTCACTCTCTGCTTTTAAATCTCTCCAATGTTTTCTTCTTGAGACAGGGCCTCACTCCCGTCACCAGGGCTTTTCTACGGTGCAATTTTCGGTGTTTGCTTTTGTCAAATTTAGAACTTTTCATTTCATCTCTATCAAATGTTGATCCATTATCACATACGTATGAAAATATTATCACCCATGCTGTGAGATACGTTGTTTTTATTTTCATCAATTCTTTAATAAACCAAAGGTTATAGTTGGGATACCTTCTGATTTCTCAAGTTTTTTGTTTCAGGTTTTCTTAAACTGCCGTCGCACGTCCGAAACCATTCACTATACAATGTCATTTTCATCTCTCTTTTCTGGCACACATAAATTTGCGGAATGTCATCAATTAGTCTCTCGGTGATTGCATGATTTCCCCAAAGTCTTACACACTCTACATTGTGCACTGAGTATCTCTTCAGACTTTAGTGCATGTTTCTACCACTTGATGCTTTATTACTTGCCATCTAGCTTCCACAAGAGCATTTCATGCAAAGACTTCTCTTGTTCTCCACTGGCAGGTAATTTCACTCGGATAGAGAATCAATAGGCTGAACGTGGAAAGGTTATCGCTGGAAGGTCTGTTTGATTCCACGGATCTCTCCTTTCTTATTAAGGAAAAAGATACACTGCGCTAATTACTATACTTCATTGACTATTCTCAGGTCAGAAAGCGCACTTCCGACTTCTTGTCCTTCCATCGCTGAGAGGATGATGGTATCTGCCAAAAGCACATATTTGGAAGTACATCCCGGCACAAACACACACACACACACACACACACACACACACACACACACACGGTTTCATAGGTAAAGATTTCTTCCCTGACATTGTTTTACCTAAAATAAGGCAACTGTGTGGCCACTGTCCCAACCCGGTTACACTCATATTACATGTGTCTATCAGCCTGAGGAGTAGTTTGATTCAGGTGTTCTAGAAGTCATGATGTGGGCTGTGTCTGTTGAATTCCCAGCGATGCAAGGGGACACACCCTGTGACTCATTCCTTAATTGAGTGCTGATATTTGATTGGTTTATCGCGCACCTGATGGGTGGGTGGGGTGTTCGCGGTTGGTGGGGGTGAGTTATATAAGGGCTGATGCGGCCAGAGAGCTCGTCATTTGAAGACTCTCTCGGAAGAGATAGCATCTTTCTGCAACCTGCGGTCCCAGCCGAAAAACCCTGTGATCCTTGTTCCGGGCGACATGGAGGACGACTCACTCTACTTGGGAGGTGAGTGGCAGTTCAACCACTTTTCAAAACTCACATCTTCTCGGCCAGATGCAGCTTTTGCTGAAATCCAGCGGACTTCTCTCTCTGAGAAGTCATCACTCTCATCTGAGACCCGCGTCGACCTCTGTGATGATTTGGCTCCTGTGGCAAGACAGCTCGCTCCCAGGGAGAAGCTTCCTCTGAGTAGCAGGAGACCTGCTGCGGTGGGGGCTGGGCTCCAGAATATGGGAAATACCTGCTACGTGAACGCTTCCCTGCAGTGCCTGACATACACACCGCCCCTTGCCAACTACATGCTGTCCCGGGAGCACTCTCAAACGTGTCATCGTCACAAGTGCTGCATGCTCTGTACTATGCAAGCTCACATCACATGGCCCCTCCACAGTCCTGGCCATGTCATCCAGCCTTCACAGGTGTTGGCTGCTGGCTTCCATAGAGGCGAGCAGGAAGATGCCCATGAATTTCTCATGTTCACTGTGGATGCCATGAAAAAAGCATTCCTTCCCGGGCACAAGCATTTAGATAATCACTCTAAGGACACCACCCTCATCCACCAAATATTTGGAGGGTACTGGAGATCTCACATCAACTGTTTCCACTGCCATGGGATTTCAGACACCTTTGACCCTTACCTGGACATCGCCCTGGATATCCAGGCAGCTCAGAGTGTCAAGCAAGCTTTGGAACAGTTGGTGAAGCCCGAAGAACTCAATGGATAAAATGCCTATCATTGTGGTCTTTGTCTCCAGAAGGCGCCTACCTCCAGGACGTTAACTTTACACACTTCTGCCAAGGTCCTCATCCTTGTATTGAAGAGATTCTCTGATGTCACAGGCAACAAACTTGCCAAGAATGTGCAATATCCTGAGTGCCTTGACATGCAGCCATACATGTCTCAGCAGAACACAGGACCTCTTGTCTATGTCCTCTATGCTGTGCTGGTCCACGCTGGGTGGAGTTGTCACAACGGACATTACTTATCTTATGTCAAACTCAAGAAGGCCATTGGTATAAAATGGATGATGCCGAGGTCACTGCCTCCGGTATCACTTCTGTCCTGAGTCAACAGGCCTATGTCCTCTTTTACATCCAGAAGAATGAATTTGGAAGACCCAGTTACAGTGTGTCCATAGGCAGGGAACCGAGAGCTCTTTGCGTGAAGGCAAGTGAATTGTGTGTGAAATAAAATGTCATGAATAAATCTTGCAGTGGAGTATTTATTTGTCTCACTTTGTAATCAGTGAATGAGCTTTAACCAATATCAATGCCTAGTGCCTACCCCCCAGAGATAAGAACTTCCACTCTCTTATGTGTAACCATGGCCTCTGGATTGCTTATGACTCTGAAGATAATTCTCCTTTCCCCCAACGTTTCAGAATCACTTCAGGTGGTGGTAACAGATAACACATCAGTCCCTTTCTCTCTCTTTTCTCTTCACTCAGGAAAACTCTCACTGAGACAAAGGAAAATCCTATGGTTTACTGGGGAGGAAGAATTCCCTCAGGAGTGAAATTGGTGGCTCCTTCCTCCCTGTCAAGTCTCTTCCTCAGGATTGCCCCTTTGTCTCTTCAGGACTCTGCTCATCAGGCCCGAGATGCCCCCTGGTTGTGCATACCTGGCCTGTGAAGAAATAAGAGGAAGGAATGGTTCCAAAAACCATACTATGCTCACTCCACCATCGCCCCTGACACCATGCTGACTTCATGAGCCCTGGGTCAGAAGCTGTTTCTTTACACCACTAGGCCTTGCCTCATGGCCTAAAGACGTCCCCATTTCTTACATCTTATAAATTTTGACAAAACCCTCAGAGCCTAAATCTTCATTCCTCATAGGCCAAAGGGAGATACACCAGAATTCTGTCCCTCTGAGACTGCAGGACATATCAGCTTCCATCGACATGAAATTTTGCACCAAATGTAGTTACTGCAGTTCCACTTCACAATGAGTGACTGGAAGTTCAGACAACATCTCAGACTCTATACAGTTTCTATCCAAGCTCATTTGGTTTGACAATGCTTTTACTCTATAAATCAGCTGTGAGAACACTTAGGATTCATATTATTTAGTCTTTTAATCAGTCTGTTATTATTTTCAATGTATTTACTAGACTTTAGTTTAATATTTCTGATAAACTTTGATGCAAAAATTCTCGATATAATAGTGGCAAACAAAATCCAGCAACATATCAAAAAGCTTATCCACCAAGATCAAGTCAGCTTCATCCCTTTGGTGCAAGGCTGGTTCAACATACACAAATCAATAAATGTAATTCACCATGTAAACAGAACTAAAGACAAAAACCCCATGATTATTTCAGTAGACTCAGAATAGATCTTTGATAAAATTCAACATTCCTTTAAATTAAAAACCTCATGAAACTAGGTATTGATGGAACATATCTCAAAATAATAGGAGCCATTTATGACAAACCCAGAGCCAATATCATATTGAATAGGCAAAACCTGGAAGCATTCCGTTTGAAATTCGGCACAAGGCAAGGATGCCCTCTCTCACCACTCCTACTCCATATAGTACTGGAAGTTCTGGCCAAGGAAATCAGGCAAGAGAAAAAAATAAAGCATATTCAAATAGTAAAAGAAGAAGTTGAATTGTCTTTGTTTGCAGATGACATGATCCTATATCTATAAAATCCCATCATCTCAGCCCAAAAGATTCTTAAGCTTATAAGCAACTTCAGTGAAGTCTCAAGACACAAAATCAGTGTGCAAAAATCACAAGCATTCTTATACACCAATAGACAAGAAGAGAGCCAAATCACAAATGAGCTCCCATTTACAATTGCTGCAAAGAGTATAAAATACCTAGGAATACGGCAAACAAGGCAAGTGAAGGACCTCTTCAAGAAGAATTGCAAACCACTACTCAAAGAAATAAGAGAGGACACAAACAAATGGAAAAACATTCCATGCTCATGGGTAAGAAGAATCAATATCATGAAAATGCCATACTTCCCAAATTAATTCATAGATTCAATGCTATTCCCATAAACTACCATGGACATTCATTACAAAATTAGAAAAAACTACCTCAAAATTCATATGGAATGAAAAAAGAGCCCATATACCCAGGACAATCCTAAGCTAAAATAACAAAGTTAGAGGCATCATGCTACCTAACTTCAAACTATATTACAAGGCTACAGTAACCCAACAGCATGGTAGTGGTACAAAACAGACACATAGACCAATGGAATGGAATAGATATATCAGAAATAAGATTGCACATCTACAACCATTTTATTTTTGATGAAAACAAGCAATGGGGAAAGGATTCCCTATTTAATAATAAATGGTGTTTGAAAAACTGGCTAGACATATGCAGAAAACTGAAACTGTACCCCTTCCTTATACCTTATACAAAAATGAACTGAAAATGGATGAAAGACTTAAATGTAAAACCCAAAACTGTAAAAAACCCAACCCCATATAAAAGTGGGGAAAACCAGGGTACAGTGGCTCATGCCTGTAATCCCAGCAGTTTGGGAGGGTGAAGTGGGCAGATAACTTGAGGCCAGGAGTTCAAGATCAGCCTGGCCAAGCTGGTGAAACCACGTCTCTACTGAAAATACAATAAATTAGCCGGATGTAGTGGTGCGGGCCTGTAATCCCAACTACTCAGGAGCCTGAGAGAGAAGAATCACCTGAGTCTGGGAGGCAGAGGTTGCAGTGACCCGAAATTGTGTCACTGAACTCCACCCTGAGTGACAGAGCTAGACTCTGTCTTAAAAAATAAAAATTTAAAAATTTCAAAAGTGAGCAAAGGACATGAACAGACACTTCTCAAAAGAAGACATTTATGCAGCCAACAAACATGAAAAAAATGCCCAACATTACTGATCATTAGAGAAATACAAATCAAAACCACAGTGAGATACCGTCTCATGCCAGTCAGAATGGTGATTATTAAAAAGTCAAAAAACAACAGATGCTGGTGAGACTGTGGGGAAATAGGAACACTTTTACACTGTTGGTGCGAATGTAAGTTAGTTCAACCACTGTGGAAGACTGTGGTGATTTTTCAAAGACCTAGAATCAGAAATACCATTTGACCCAGCAATCCCATTACAGAGTATATGCCCAAAGGAATATAAATTCTTGTATTATAAAGATACATGCATGCGTATGTTCATTGTAGCACTATTCACAATAGCAAAGACATAGAACCAACCCAAATGCCCATCAATGATAGACTGGATAAAGAAACTGTGATACATATACACCATGGAATACTATGCAGCCATAAAAAGGAATGAGATCATGTCCTTTGCAGGGACATGGATGAAGCTGGAAGTCATTATTCTCAGCAAACTAATGCAGGAACAGAAAACCAAATACACATGTTCTCACTTATAAGTGGGAGATGAACAATGAGAGAACACAGACACAGGGAGGGGAACAACACACACTGGAACCTGTCTGGGAGTGAGTGGGGAGGGAGTGCATCAGGATAAATAGCTAATGCATGTGGGCTTAATACCTAGGTGATGGGTTGATAGGTACAGCAAACCACCATGGCACACATTTACCTATGTAACAAACCTGCACATCCTGCACATGTAGCCCAGAACTTAAAATGAAATAAAATAAAGTTTTAAAAAACTTTATTCTAACCTTCCAAAATGCAGGGATTACAGGCGTGAGCCACCGTGCCTGGCCCTGTTTTAACATACGTGAACAAGATTTAAGACATCAGTTTGAAAAGAGCCCCTCTATGGCAGCAACATGAATTCTGTCAAACCTGAAGCAAGAACAAACATCAAATTTACGGTGAAGCTGGGGTACAAAAAATGGTGAAATAAATTATTCTTTATGAAAAGTCTATGGGAAAAATGACCTGAAGAATCAGTCATTTACAAATGGATACCTTATTCTAAGAAGAGATAATACAATGTTGAAGATGAAGTCAACAGAGGAGGGACATCCATACCAATTTTTGAGGAAAAAAAAAATCGTTTCTATGCCCTAATTGAGGAGGATTGACAATTAACAAGAGATATTACAGCCAACACCACAGACATCTCAATTGGTTCAGGTTACACAATACTGACTATAACGTGAAAGTTGAGAAACTTTACATTTGATGAGTCCCAAATACCCTTGTGCCTAGATGAGCAGTGGACAAAAGCAGAGCTATTAGTGACTATTTTGAGCAAGCGGAATCAAGATCCTGAAGCATTGTTTTGAAGAATTATAACAGGGAGTGAAACTGGCTTTATCAATAAGATCCTGAAGACAAAGCACAATTCAAGCAATGGCTACCAAGAGGTAGAAGTGGTCCAGTCAAAGCAAAAGCAAACTTCTCAAAAGCTAAAGCCATGGAGGTTTTGGGGATGCTCAAGGCATTTTGCTTGTTGACTTTCTGTAAGATCAAAGCACGATAACATCTGCTTACTAGGAGAGTTCTTAGAGAAAATTAGCAAATACTTTTGCAGAAAAGCGCCCTGTAAAGCTTCACTAGAGAGTCCCTCTGCACCACAACAACACTTCTGTTCCTTCCTCTCATCAAACATGGGTAATTTTGCAAGAGTTTTCATGGGAAATTATTAGGCATCAACATTACAGTCCTGATTTGTTTTCTTCTGACCTTTTTTTCCCTAATCTTAAAATAACTGTAAAGGGCACTCATTTTTCTTTAGTTAGTAAAAGAAGACTGCATTGACACGGTTAAATTCCCGTTACCCTCAGTTGTTTAGCAATGGACTGAATGGCTGGGATCATCCCTTAATGGAGTGTCTGGACCTCAATAGAGCTTATATTGAGAAATAAAGTTTATATTTATATTTTTATTGTTAATTCCATTTTTCACTGACATTTTTAAATCCCTTCACAATTCACCTTTGTCTCAAAGGTATTTAAATTTAGAAATCATATCAAGTGTGAAATAAAGAAAATTAAATAGAGAGAGGGAGAACAGAATCTATAAATATGCATGTTTGTGTACATACATCCATATACATACATATGTGTGTGCATGCAGTAATTTTATTCTCCTAAAGCAATGCCTCTGCCTTCCACCCTCACTGCACATGTCCTAGTCCTGTGATGTCCCTGGAACTGAGCACCTGATTTCCTTCTCTGCCTCCCACATGAACAGGGAATAGAAATGGAAACCACGCTCTGTGGTTGCTGTTGTGAAAATCCATGTTCCCCACAGGCTGAGTTTGGCATCTTACATTCTAGTTCCCATTGTAAAAAAGCAAGCAACAAACAAAAAATACAAAAGAAAAAATAAAATAGTTGAAAGTCTAGAGCCACAGAGTTTCCGGATCCACCCACCGCCCACGGTGACCTCCACAGCCCTCCAGGCCTGAGGACAGCTATGCCTGAACAGCCTGCCTCTTCACCATCCACGCAGGAAAGTGACTTTAAACTTCAATAGCTATTACTCTGTTCCACAAGGAACCAGGTCAACATTCAAATTCAGTGGTCTGACAACTCTAAGCTTTGGCCGGAAAGTATTGGAAACATTTAATGTGCAGTGGATGAAGCAGCCCGGCCCCACTGCACACAACACACTCACGGGGACTCAAAGGAAGAGACTCAGGATCTGCTGGGTGGAACTGAGGACAGACCCAGAAACACAGGGGGTGGGAGGGGGTCAAACCAGGAGGGCTCAGGACCTGACCTCCTCCTAGGCCCTGCCCCTCTGGAACTCGCAGTTTTTTCTGACCCAGAAGCGGATTTCACTGATGGAAAAGAAGTTCAGTATTTCTGGTCCAGCCCAGTAAGCTGCTCCCATTGCCCAGCCTTCCACACCCCTGCAGACGTCACAATGCCTGCACCCACTAACCTGACAAGGGAGCTATGCATCACCTGGAGACAGTCTTAGGCCTGCACTCCTGTGATGGGGTCCAGGGTCTGTGTCCATTTCTGGTTAAAATTGCTGTGAGGCTGGTCGCTGTCTTGGCCTTCCCTGCTTCCTCTCTGTTCACTTCTCCCCTCCTCACTCCATGTGAAGTTTTTACTCAGGAGATGGATTCTCACCCCTCTTGGAACATCAAGGACAGTGCCCGGACACCGCACCATCCCCTTGACCCTGGGATTCTGTAGACCTCAGTCTTCTCCTGAGGTCCCCTCCCTCCCTACCTCATTTTTTCCATACTTCTGGGGCCTGGGCCTGCTACACCTCAGGCTTCCTCTTCACAGTCACAGAGTGAGGGAGTCCCCTTCATCCTTGAGCTCTGGCCACAGCTCACCTGCTGCAAGACACTCAGCAGCTTTCAGTAGTTCATGCAGACATCTAGCTGGAAGTGGGATTTCCTGGAAGGAAAGCAGGAACCCAGAATTACACTGAATTCTAACACCAGGGCCCAGATTCCCCTTCTGCATGGGACACTAAGCTGCAAACACTACATAGGCACTTAATGCTCAGCTGTCCTTCTAACATCTGGTCCAATTGTGTCCCTCCTCCTTGGAATATCTCAGAAAATGTATCTACACCTAGAGTTGTTTGAAAGCATCATCCTATGTGATTGCAGACCATCAGGGGGTGCAATGGGTCCTCACCAGTATTTCTACTCTTCTTGGAAGACTTAGAATATCCTGCGGCTGCTCAGAGGGTCAGATTCCCATCTCTGTGTTTCAGTAAAACTTCAGTCTTCCCCGGACAAGTGAGGAGACAGAAAATGTCTAGTCTCTGGCACATCTTTTGCAAGCAATGGCGGCTCCCAGGAATCAAAACTATCAACGAATATATTTTTGAGACTCTGGTCAAAAGAAGAGTCATCCTGCAATTTCAGGTAGGATGGAGTGGTTCTGTGGCTCCTGAGGTGATTTTGAAAAGATCTTGACTCTCAGAAGGACCAAGGAGGACATTTCTGGCATTTCCAGACCAGGAAGACTGACTGACGGACCTCCAGTATTACTTGGAAAACTTTTTGTTGGACAGCTTTGTAACAAGAGGATCTTGCTTTGGCTTTCAGGCCTTCACATAGGTTGTTTAGATAATGGAAGTGTTTCTACATTTCTGCATAGGCTTAGGATGCCTTCTCAAGTCGTCCCTGCAATTATGAGACAGTTGCTTTCTCCAGAGGTCACTTAGAATAATACAAGAGGCTTCACCCTCAAAGGGACACCAGACAATATAGCCACAGTTCAGCCAAGATTATCTGTATTTACATACCTGTGAAGTAACACTCCTAGTTATCTCCATTAACTTGGACATCTTTCATGAATAGGGAAACTCTAGTGATTGTTATATAACAGCTGCCACAAAAATTAACCAATAAAAAGAAATGATATACGAAAAATAATTAATAATCATGATAATGAACTCAATGACCTAAATAGTATGAATTTTAATACTGGAGACATTATAAACGTAAGGATACAAAAATTAATGTGGAGCTTCCCCTAAATATATGAAAACTTCACAGACTGTGTCCTCCTTGTGTAATTTGGAGTCAGAGTCAAAGAATTTCTCTATGAAATGTGTTCCATGATGGCAAACATCAAAAACAGGAGGTGAAAGAAAAGCAAGCCGCAGGAGACCATGGGCTAATATGAACATTTGTGTGCAAACCTCTCTCATCAAGAACTACCAGCCAGAGGTGAAGGGACTGTGATTTGTGTCCTGCCCACCACTGGGCACACAAAAGCTTTCAGTAGTGCAACCAGATGGTTGGTTTGGCCTGGCTCCCTGCAAGGAAGACACGTCTCTGATCCCCACCAGCCCATCAGTCCTGGAACTCAGAATCCTACATGCAGTAAACATGAAGCTCCAACTCCATAGCTGACTTTACCTCCTTACTGTCCTTCTGCCATCTGGTGTTTCAGGTGCTCTCCAGATCTGGACTTCTTGGCTACCCTACCTTTACCAAGTGAACTCAGGATGTATCATTCTCAGTCTTCTCCTGCCAGTCCAAAGTGAAACTCACCAATACAGACATACCCTGAATGGGCTTCCTTGGAATATTTAGAAAACAATGAGCTTGCTCAGGGGTGGTGTGAGCTCTAGGAGTAGAGTTACAGTCTCCCATGGAAACCCGAGAGGACTTAGAATATTCCCAAAGGCCTAAGCAGTCCAATCTGTCCTGGAAACATCAGGAATGATATACTCGGTCTTCCTGAGGCTCCAAAATTTTTCTAAATAAACTCAGAGGTTACAGAACCATTTTTCTCTTGAGAACTGAAGTGGAGTTATTTGTCTTCTGCCAGCACTTCAATTTTTTTTTCTCTAAGTTAGATTTTGAGCCCAGAAGTAGATATTCCTTGTATTTGATTTACACAGGGAGCTTCCTAGAATGCCCGTGCCTCTGGATAGTTTCTGCATTCACTCAGGTATTGACAAAATGCTGCAGTTCTACTGAAAATCTCTGAGATGACCATTTGATCACCTGAGTAACTTTAGAATGTGTCTTCTATGGAAGCCCTGGAGCCTCCCTTCTGGTATTTCATACATTGCTGGTACCAAGTACCCAGGGTGAAACCCTCCATCAGACATTGTTGGCAATTCCAGTATGGAGATGACACTAACATGATGGGGCTCAAGAATCAGATGGTACAAGACCAGCTGGGAGGTGAAGTTTCAGTAGGCTAGGGGCTTAATGTTCCATGCACACCAGACTTCTGAGACTCAGGAGGTGGGTATGGATCTGTCTGCCCAGTGCCTCTCATCTACAGCCTGGACCAGCTATTTCTTGGGGTGCACTACTGAAGGCTTTTGTACGAGCTGTGTCAGGCAAGACTCTGGCCAGACCCTTTGCCATAGTCCATTTGTAATGTATTTCCACATGGCACAGGTATCTCCACTTTTGCCCATGCTCTCATGTGGCTCAGAATAATTCTCCGTACTGCCACTCTTCTTTGCCTTCACAGAATATATTTCAAGATGTAGCCCTAAGCTTCCCCATCTAATCAATAACATGAGGGCTCATATGGGAACATTGTCACAGGCTTACAGGAATATGTTCTTAAATATCTGCTTTTTATTACTCTCTTCATTAAATTGACATATCATCACCATTATGATTGTTATTAATGTTATTATATTGGTACAGTTCTTTATCATGGATATATTTGTGGTCATTTTTATGTAATGTTGAAAAATTTTTTTATGTTCCTGAAGACTGTTGAATTTGCTGAAGATGATTAAAAGACAACCTTAAAACATAAATACCACAGCAACCCCAGGACTCCTACTGTACTGCCTGGTGTCCTGTAGAAGAATGGGCTTCCTGAATTATTCTTTTATTTTTCAGGCAAGTACCTATTCATACCAGCATAAGAGACTGATGAAGTGCACCCTCATCTTG
The DNA here is from genome assembly GCF_000001405.40 of Homo sapiens. NCBI lineage: Eukaryota > Metazoa > Chordata > Mammalia > Primates > Hominidae > Homo > Homo sapiens. The sequence goes on along the minus strand of NC_000008.11, from coordinate 12,365,245 downwards.
CCATGGGCTCAGAAAGAGTTCATACATCGGCTTTATCTGATAGCAACTCTGTGTGTAGGCCTGTGAGTCCTAGAATGCACTTTCTTTCACCAACTAGTCCACGTAACAGTTTTCTAAGTCAAATCCCCTCTCCATGCTTGGATAGGTCATGAATGGCTTTCTGTTACCCACCTAAGATGAAGGGATATTGCCAAATCAGGTTTGTGGCCAAGAAACTTTTACCTGGAGTGGCAGGAGAGGGCCTACCTGTTCACCAGAGTGTCTGTGAATTTTCTTTTTTCTTCCTTTTTATTTTATTTATTTATTTATTTATTTATTTATTTATTGAGATAAAATGTCTCTCCGTCGCTCAGGTTGGAGTCCAGTGTCGCCATCTTGGCTCGCTGCAACCTCCAACTCCCAGGTTCAAGCGATTCTCCTGCCTCAGCCTCCCGAGTAGCTGGGATTATAGGTGCGTGTCACCACGCCCGGCTAATTTTTGTAGTTTTAGTAGAGAGGGGTTTCACCATGTTAGTCAGACTGGTCTCAAACTCCTGACCTCATGATCCGCCTGCCTTGGCCTCCCGAAGTGCTGGGATTACAGGCATAAGCCACCGCACCTGGCCTCTGCAACATTTTCTAAGTCAGTATAGAAGCTCTTTGAACCATCTTTTCAGTCAAAGAACTCATGAAAAAGTCCTCCAAGAACTTGTGACCTTCTGGAAATTGTCAAAATCTCTACAGGTGTCCAGAGTCATCTAGATCTGTATTGCAAGCTACTGACTGGGTTCCACCACTATTAAAGCAAATGCAAAATATGCCATGCCCACCAAAAAAAATCCAGAAGCCGTGGTATTTAGCTGTTTCCATCTTTCTTGCCTCCTGCAGGTGGGAGAGTACTGAGTATCATGCCCTCCTGCAGCCTCTGGAGGACATGCCAGTGCCTAGAGGTACCAGTAGAGAGGGGCCATGAAAGAGCAGATGACAGCCAGGTGGCTGGGAATGACATTGTCCTGGGGCTTATTGCTTGTCATGAACTCTGCCACTGGGCAACATGTGCAGGTGTGGACCCGTGCCTTCTCTGGATCCCTGCCCCATCAGCCAGCTGTCTTATCTCCTGAAAGCTGATAGGTGTTGGTCAGCATGGTGTTCCAGGACCAGGGTTATATTAACATTCCCTCTTAGGCTGAAACACCAGAAGTTAACACAGGAGTCCCCAGGTGTGCACATACTAACCTCCAGATTGTTTTTCTTCTCGTTCTAGATGTTCATCCTTGCTTTTTGGGACTTGAAGTAACCCTACACAGCCAAATATTTATGCCTATTATCCACTTATGGAAAACTTATATGTCCCAAGTCCATAGGGTTAGTATTATTATCAGTATTAAAACCATTAGTACTAGTATCATGATGATCATTATTCCTGTTAATATCCATCAATATTTTTATTACTGCCATTGTTAATATGGATTTTTCATCATTGTACAGCAATGAATATAGTTTATCCATTCACAAATGGTGTTCAGTTACTAAAGATGACTGCAAGGCATGTGCTACAGACATATACACACACAGCTATCCTGGAGACCCAGGTTTGCCACCAATTGCTCTTTCGTAAGTTGAGATCCCCCAGTACCCACCAGTTTTTCAGGACTCAACCTGAGCTGGCTCAGCTAGACCCGGAAAAGTTTCCTATGCCCAAATGTACTTGGAAAAATTTTAAAGTCTCTTCAGGGCCCAGTAATAGCTTTTGGCAGCTTCTAAGATCAGGGAGGGTTTCTTGGCCATTCAGAGCCATTCAAATATTCTAAGTAAACTCAAGGATCCAGAAACCCCACTTGCAGTCATGAAATACCAGTGAATAGCCTCTGTGAGTCTCTTCAAGGTTTTCAAAGATGACTGCCTGGGAAGGCTGGCCAGGAAGTCACCCAAGCCCAACCTTCGGCAGGATGTTCTATATCAGCCAGGGACCCAGGGAATTGCCATTGAACAGAAGGGAGGAACAGAGACAGCACGCCTGAGCTTCTGGAAACATTCTAAGTGCCCTTGTTGGCCCAGAAAAGACTGGTGCTACCATATGAGGCACAGACTTGGCAACCTACCTACTCCAGGAACCACAGAAGGTTTAAAGGTTCCCAGGAAGTCCCAGGAAGGGCAGCCATGGCCCTTTAGAGCCATCAGATTTTATTCTAAGTCTACGTGGGAGACAGTGCTCTTAGCTTCATAAAAACACCAGTGGAGGTGCTAACACTTGCCCCAGTATCCAGTCTTTTCTACCTCATCTCAGAGCCAGCAGTAACTATTTCCCAAAGCTGCTGTGCAATGAAAGGGGAATATTCTAGGTGCTCTCCTGTGCCCACGAAATTCTGTGGCTGTGCTGAAAGGCAGGAGATGTCCTCCGGAATGCTCTTCAGAAATCTGACAACACTGGTCAAGATTAAAGACGCTCAATTCAACGTCATACAAAACCAATCCCCCCACCCCCCACAAAAAAAAAATGCATAGTGAGACAAAATGATGAACACACCTGCTAATAATCATAAATGACAATAATAACAACAATGATGATCTTAGTGATAATGCCACCAACACTGTTAATGGCAATAACAATAAACCTGAGGTAATGAGTGTTAGGGTCCCGATTCACCGATGTGAAGGATGGCGACAATTTCTGGCCTCACAGAAATAAAGGAAAAGTAAACACCTGGAGGAGGAGGAGGTGAACCTGGAGCTCCCGCCGGCCTCTGGGCGCTCCTTGGTGGAAGGAGAGGGACTTGGTCCTGAGCCTGCCCCGGATCCACCTACACCAGAATCCCAGAGTCCCAGTCCCTGGATGGGCTCAGTCCCACCCAGGCCAGACGCCCCGGAGCCCCGCAGCCCGGGTCCTCCAGCCCTCGCTGCCGCCGCTTCTCGCGGAGCCGGGGCCGCCCCCGCGCCACCTCAGCCTCTGCGTGGCTCTGGGAGGGCAGCGCCGGAGGATGCTCCGGGCCCAGCGGGGTCATCCGGGCCCAGCGGGGGTATCCAGCCTCAGGCTGATACTGACGCCCTGAGGGCGCGGAATAGGGCGGCCTGCGCAGGGCCCGCCGTCTCGGGCCTTGCAAAAAGAGCGGCCTCTCCAACGCCCCTACCGGAACCTCCCCGGAGGCCCCAGCCCCAAAGCCAGGGCGATGGCGCCTCCCTGACAATGGGTGAAGAAAACTCAGGTCCTCCCTGGAGACCCGGCCCGCCGCGGGAGGCAGACCGCGCATGCGCCCTGCATGGCCGGAAAGGTGGGTTTCATTGCCCTCTGCCGGCCATGAGGTGGCAGCACAGGACGTTTGGTCTTAGCGGTGGACCTGAGTCTGAATCACTGAAATTCAGGTGTGGATTATTCAGTACTTTCTTTTGGAAGATCAAATGGAAATTGAGTACGATATCTTGTGCTTTAATTAAAGAAGATGGAAATAAAGAAGCAAATTCAAAAATCAGTATACAAAAGTCGATTGATTCCCTCTATGTGGAGGGAAGACGAGCTTGAATAAGAGAAGCATTCTGTGTTACGCTTTAATAATGGCTGGAGATCTGCCACCATGCATTTGTCAAATCCCATAGAATTTCACAGCACAAATAGTACATCTTAATGTGGCTCAGGAGTACATATAATGTCAGCCACAGTTTGTGGGTAAATTACATATTTAATTAAATAGATTAAACAATAAATAATGATATGAGCTCTGCCTGGACACAGTCCTTGCCTCTCCAACCAGTTTGCCAAGGGCTTGAATTTCTTGCTCATTATCCTCACACTTGACATAAACCCTGGCTGCAGAGTAAAATCAATCACTCGTGGAGATTTTTTAATATGATGATGTGTCAATTTCAACCATGGATAAGGCCATTTAGCCTTAGTAAGGCCGATCGTATTAAGATTCTGCCTGTTTGACAAAATTTCAAGTCATCCCACTTGATATTCAGGAAACATTTTCTCTTGAGTTTTAGGTTCAGTGGTGAGGCTCCTTCACGGACAATACATTTTCCAATTCTGAGGACAAGGCAGAGGAGGGCCCCTCTGTGAGAACTTTCATTTTGCTTCGGGAAAAGTACATTGAATCAAATATAGAAAAGGCTTGCAAGGTGGCTGACAGGTTCGGCTGTTTTATCATGCTGGTGTTTTATCTTCTGGACTGCAGTAAAAGGAGCACAGCTGTGTCTGTCTCTGTGTAATAACTCAGGACTCACCTGAATAAAATGTGGGGTGTCATGAGATGAACTGCTACTTCCAGTTAGAGAGGCTCCAGGGACAAAATTTCAAGAGCCTTCTGAGGGATAGAAGAGAAGAGCTGCCTTATTCTCTGATCCCAGGTAACTGCTCAGAGACAGAGGCAAGAGCTGGGGACACCCAAATGCATATACTAGGGGTCTTTGATACAGCCTCCATTTCCCTGCTAAATCTATGCAATGACAAACTGAGAAATCTAGCAAGTGGGGCTGAAGATCCCTGGTGTGTCAACTCGAGGGTTGGATGGAAACAAGTGGTTTTGGTGGACGTTGAAGTAAAGGGAGGTGAGCTGTGAGGAAAGAGCTGTTGAAGACTGGGGAGACTCAGAAGTTGGGGTAGAATCTCCACCAAGAATCTCACCCAAGGAGTTCAGATGCAAATCAGTTTGTTAGGGCTGCATAAATGAAACAAGGGCTTCACCAACATACTAAGTTTTTTCAACAACAGATTGTATTCTTTCAATATTTGTAAGTATTGCTCTTTTGGAAAAGTTTAATGAGATTTCTTATATAATTCTGCATTCAATTTATTCCTTGGTCACTTTGCTATTATGCATTTACATGCCACATTTTTATGAATAGATATTTTCTCAAATTTCTGAATTATTTTGCTAAAGTATGTGTTAAGAGTTTTTTCTAGAGGTCCACCTTCTTGACTCACTTTTCTGATGAGAAATCTATCAGGTTTCTCCACAGTGATTTTCAAGTTTGATAGCTCCTCAACGTGAGAAACTTAATGTCAACTAAGAAATGAATTACCACTAAAGAATTTTCTTCTTTCAAGATGCTAACCCTGTTTTGTCCAGTGTGAAATCTCACATGTGCCACATGTGTTGCTCTATGAAGAAAGGATTTCTCATGATTTTTCATTGCATAACTTCTCCAGTAAGAAGTATTTGGTATTCCAAGAGAATTCATTGCCCTTGGAAAGACTTTCCCTTGTTATTTAGCTTATGAAGGCTTTCCTCTCTTATTTTCCATTTTAGCAGCATTTTGTCACTCTTCTCTTGTGAACATCAAGCCTGGTGCTTGGCTGAATGTTCATTCACAGAAAAATACAAATAAAGGGTTCATCCAAGTAAAGTTTTCTCATGTTATTTGACAATAAATTGCAAATAAAAACATTTTCACACTGAATGCAGAGTTAGAGATTCTCTACCTGAAAGTCCCACATGTTTTAAGTTAAAGCTGTTGCTGAAGACTTTTAGTTGATTATGCTGACAGTTTCAGCTCTCTCATGTCATTTATGCTCAGATCACTAACAAGTCTTTGGTACATACATGTCATACAATTTCTCTTCCATATGAATTTATTGATGTGGGCTGAAGAATAAAGGCAACTGAAGTATCTTCCATGTTGATTACAGTATTTCTTCAAAATGTGAGTCCTTTGGCATGTTTAGATGCTACAACTACAGCTGAAGTCTCTTCCACATTCCTTACCTTCGTCATTCCTAACACTGTGTCATCTAAAGTCCGAATATGTTCTGAAGAAGTTTATAATTTTCTCTCCAGGGTGAATTTTCTGATGCTTTTTAATATTAGTACATTGACTGAAGGCTTTCCCACATAAATGGCATTCATATGGCTTTTCTCCAGTGCGTGTTCTCTCATGTCATCTAAGGTCGGAAGACAGACTGAAGGCCTTCCCACATAGAAGACAAGCATGAGGTTTCTCTCCAATGTGAATTATTTTGTTTCCTCTAAAGCCAGAGCTTTGACTAAAGGCTTTCCCACTTTTATCACATTCATAACACTTTTGTCCAAGGTGAGTTCTCTCATGTCTTCGAAGGTTAAAGGATTGAATAAAGGCTTTCCCACACTGATGACACTTATATGGTCTCTCTCCCGTGTGAGTTTTCTCATGTCTTCTAAGGTGAGAACACTGAGTGAAGGCTTTTCCACATAGATGACATGCATATGGCCTCTCTCCAGTGTGAGTCATCTTGTGCCGTCTAAGGTAAAAGCAATTAGTATAGGCCTTTTCACATAGATTACATTGATATGATTTACCTTTAGTATGAATTTGTTTACGTGGTTTAGGGGACAAAAGATTACGAAGGGATTTTCCACACTGTTTGCTGACATAGGGTTTCTTTCTACTGTGAGTTAACAAACACTGAGTTATTGTGGAACTGTGAGTGCAATCTTCTCCCGAATCATTATATTCAAAAGGATCCTCCAGAATGAGAGTTCTCCTTTGGGACAAAGATTAAAAGCTCTTAATGGTTTACCCACATATATCTATACATTAATTTCACTACCTTTGAATCCTAGACCAACCATTCAGTGGTAGACCCCAGTTGAAATCTTTCCAATGTTTCTTGTGTGAAAGGAAATTAAATTTTGGGACCCCAAACTCATTTAACCAAAGGGAAAAATCAAGCTGGGAACTGGGTCACACAAACCTGCCTCCCCCTTCTGGTTCCTAAATAATATGACTACAAGATGAAAAGCTACATGCCTCCCCCATATTTTGCCCACAAGGAAATTCCTCATGAGCTGTTAAAATTACACCACGGCAATGCAAACTGATAACTTGTCTTTACAGGTGCAGTCATCCCAAGTTCACCAGACACAAATGCATATCTGATTGTTTCCCTGCCCCCATTTTGCCTATGTTGTCTTATGTAAAATGCAGCTTTCCTGCATTATTCCTCTGCCTCATTTGTTTATGTCATGTTATGTAAAAAAATCCAGATTCACTGAGCCAGAAAAATGCATGAATGACTATTTTTTCTACCCACCTTTTACATGAAAATTGTGTACTTCTCAATATCCCAGCCTTTCCCCTTTGAATTTGGAGCCTTCAAAATCATCTTTGGAGAAAGGCATACACCTGTCCCCTGGGTGCATGTCCTTAACTTTGGCAAATAAATCTCCTAAAATGATTGAGACTTGTCATTTTTCTCGATTGACATTTGCATACACATTATCTCCTGCAGACACAGGTATGTTCTCTTCTGTAAGATCTCAACTGCAGAGTTATTGCATAATTGTGATGATATCAATATCTTTCAATGTCTGGGCATGAGCAATGTATATGCACTTGCTCTATTTTAGAGATCTCATGTTATGATTTAGAACAGAGGTCAATGTATTCACTAAATTCAAAGTCTCCAGTTTTTTTCTTTGCTTAGAAAGCACTTAATGCCAGCCTAATTACACTCAGGTGATTGTGCTTCATTATTAACTTAACCCATTACCATATCTTTAACTTAGATGACTGGTGTACACAGCTATAAAACTTACCATTGTCATACTGGTGGATGCGTCTTTTCTGATGATAGGATGCATGGATATCATGTGTTTTTTCTTAAGGGCACTTTCCCTGTCTGAAATAATTGAAAAATAAATTGTTACATTGGTATTATGGTAATAAAATTGTTTGAAAAGCCCCAAGGCCCATTTACTTTTTTTCAAAAATTGACACTTAGATGTGGCAAGTGTGTCAAATGAAGAAACTACTTGAATAGAAGAAATAGATTGTACAGTGTCAGCAATTAGAAAAGATTTTTAAAATTAAAATGTGAAAAGAGTTAAAATGGAGATGAGATATCAGGCAAGTAAATAGAGGGATAGTCTTCACAGGGGTATCAGGGAAAGGGTCAGCATATGAAAGTTTAACCCCAGCCAAGTACATGAATTGTCTTTTTCCCAAAAGTAAAAGAAAAGAAAAAAAAGAGGACACAAGAGTAACATCTGACACATGAACAAAATGATAATAACATCTAAGGAATTCTGCTCCAGTAGCCTAACCTACATTTTAGAAATTATCACTCATTTAATAAAACCACTAATTAATATTCAACTGATATTATTCATTGAGAAAGCACCTCCTCCTATTAGGACACAGGACCCTGTTGCTTACCTGGATTCTGGTCTTGAAGAAATACTCTTCCTTCCCGCCACAGCTCTTTTCCTTGCTCCAGCTGCAAAATTATATAGGATTTGCTTATCTGGTACCCTGTTAGTGGAAAGAATACATGTGTTTTGAGTTCACTGTCAATAAATGTGCATTATCACCAAGTGTAAGGCAGGCTATCAAGGAAGAATAAAAACAGTGAAGGTCAGCTCAGGCCACAAGACCTAGAACACAGAAAACTCCCCAGGATTTTTCTGACCCAACTTGAGACTAGAAAATAAATCCAAACCAAAGGGCCATCAGGAAAAGGAAATTCAAAACAGTCAGGACCTATGAATGCTGAGTCCATGCCTAAGTTCCAAGACACAATGCATAATACACAATCTTTTCAGAAAGAGAGTAATTAAATCTCTGCACATTGTGTTTATTATTATTCTCACGCAGAACAAAAAAAAACATTCGATTTACAAAAATAATTGGTGTTCTATATAGAAAAGATATTGCTATTGTTTTCACTAATTGGTCTCAGCCTAAGCATAGACTAAAGCAGAAGAGTTATTTAGAGAGTATTTAATTTAATACATTGAAAATATTCATTATGTTCCCAGGTCTGTTATGAGTATTAGAGACTGAGTACCAAAGACACCATGAAATACTTGTCAAGATTACATTCTAATTGAGTGACAAACTAAATAAAATAAAATAAAAAGAAAGATATTTATTTAAGATAGATTTAGAGAGTTCAAACTTTTTTCAGATGAGATCTGTGAGAGAATCAGAGAAGAGATTAGAGTGAGATATGGGGAAGCTGTTCTAACACTTATTGAATGAATGAGCGAATGTGTGTCTACATATGTACGTGAATGTTGAGGGACTCACCGAGGGACACCAGGTGACTGATATTTTCCAGCATCACATCTCTGTACAGCTTTCTCTTGGATGTGTCCATCATGTCCCACTCTTCCTGGGTGAAGTCAATAGCTACATCTTCAAAAGTCACTTTCTCCTAAAACATCACAGACATTTTAGTTTAGACAGAGAAATCCCTTTCAATGTCCGGAAGAGGAAGGCTGAGATGATATAGCTAGGAGCTGGGTATGCAGAATACTCAGTGTTTTTGGTTCCAGCCAGTTCATTCTCAGTACTAAGCTGGTATCTGCCTTTCAGATTCACTCACAGAGATATACCCACTCTGAATCCATTAAACTTTACTATAAAGAAATATTGCATGAGGTGTGGCATAATATAACCCAGATATTTTTCAGTAATGTCTTAATCACCTCTACATAACTGCTTATAAAATTTTCACTTGAACATTCATAAATAAAATGAAATTTACCATGAATTTCAAGTAAATTACAGATTTGTCACAAGGCAAATAACCATGATTTACTACTTTTTAAACATGACTGCGATGAAATAAATTATTTCTCTAGATGAAAGACAGGTTTCTCCCCAATCAAATGGTTAAAAGACCAATGATGTGTTTTGAATAATCTAATGAACTAATAGAAAATGTGTTTCCTACTTAGCAAATATTTATTAAATATAAGTCATTGGTCCCTTATTCATTCAAAAGTTAGAAAGTAATGAACCAGACTCCAGCATTCTTCAGAACTGAACGCTTTATGCAGAATATAGGATTCAATTCATACATATAGTCTCTCTAATGTTATATAATTCAGGTGTTCATGAAAAGGCTTGAAGACAGTCTAGCAGCACAAGACAAGACTGCTGAGGCTGACATACTGAGGAAATCTTAGTTCGATGATTCCTGTGATATGAAGCCTCCTGTTCTCAACTTTCTCTCGGCAGTCCAAACATCAGTTATCATTGTTTCTCTTTTAAATTGACCTTCTCACTTCACTTGTTCAAAGATTAAGAAAGCCTCTTCATTGTTTTTTTTTTGTAACCAGCCCTTATAAAGCATTTCCACAGAACCCTAAATTGTACTCTATCTACTATATTCCTTCTTCTGAGTGTGCAACCATAATTAAATAATTATATTTCCTATATGTTACTTTCACTTACCAGAAGGCAAAAAAGTTAATTACCAAAAGGTAAAATGAATGGGGATAAGAATAGTAATGACTTCTTTAGTTGTCCTTTCACAAAGTTTTTAAAAGCTCAAATATATTTTATAAAACTCTTCTTTTCCCTCAACACTGCACAGCTCTTGCCCAAGTCCTATCACACTGGATTTATTGAACTCAGCTGCTAGAACATCAGACTCATTGTTGGGCTGTGATGTTCTGCTCTTCACTCATCTCTGTCGTCTGCATTCATCACAATCCTAAGTCTATTTCAGCCAACAGTACAGTTAATGGGTCAATTATTTCCCTATGAGATTATAGGATGGATAGAAGAAAAAGAAATATATAAATGAAACCTCTCATATCTTTTTTTGTAAATAGTCTTAATAAGGGCTGGAATAAAGTAGTGTAATATTAGAAATTATATTGATAATTTAGGAGTCTTTGACACACGATACCCAACCTAGAGTCCTGAGAAAACTTAATTGGAGGCCAGATACCTGAAAGCCTCCTGACTGCATTTGGAACACCCAGGCTGGGTGGATTTTACATCATAAAAACAAACAAAAAAAGAATAAAAATGAAACACCCATGCAAATTGGAGAAAACTGCCCATTTGCCAGCAATATGGGTATAATTTCAGTAGAAAGAGGCATCCCCTACTCACTAGTGAATGCATTGTCAGGAACTCAGTTTCTCTCTGTCTTCCTCTGGATTTCCACTTGCAGACACTTTAGGCACTAAGAAAAGCTGAGGTTGGAGAAAGAACATGTGAGACACCAGTCTTGTGCACAATTTTCAGATCAACCTGTGATGAAAAGCCAGACTTTCACTGAAGTGTGACACCAGCTGCACCACAGCCTAACCAACAGACACAAACACGCAGAGGCCTCTCCTCTTTTCCCGTGGTCAAAATTAGGAAGCCTATGACTATGGTTGCTAATAAACAAGGAACACAGATATCTTGTGAATGAGAACATCAAAAGCACGGAGTTTTGTATGTTAATTGGCACAAGTCCAGATATTCAATTCCCTCACTGATTTTAAAACACAGGGATCCCTGACTCCATCCACATGTGGAATATGATTTCCACCTATAGATAAACACTGGGATTTCTCAGATTTTATTATCCTAGCTTTATGCCCTAGCAACGTTTCTCCAACACCCACCACAGCCTTCTGAAGCCTTACTCCACTTTTATTTTCACTCAACTCTGACTTTTGTATTTCCCCTTGGAACGTGGAAATAATCAAGTAAGAATCTGTTTTAGGGTCGAGTGCGGTGGCTCACGCCTGTAATCCCAGCACTTTGGGAGGCCAAGGCAGGTGGATCACCTGAGGTCAAGGGTTCGAGACTAGCCTGGCCAACATGGTGAAACCCCATCTTTACTAAAAACACAAAAATTAACTGGGTATGGTGGTGCTTGCCTGTAATCCCAGCTACTCAGGAAGCTGAAGCAGGAGAATCTCTTGAACCCAGGAGGCAGAGATTACAGTGAGCTGAGATCCCACCACTGCACTCCAGCGATGGCGACAGAGTGAGACTCTGTCTCAAAAAAAAAAAAAATCTGTTTTAGGATGGGGATAATGAATTGAGGGATTTATTTCACTTAGAGGGTCAACACTCCCATCCTGCTAATCTAGCCCTTAAAATCTCCTGCATCGGAAATTAGCAGGAGTACCCTGAGTCATGGTGTTTCTGTCCTGTGTATACAGTCACAATCGTCTAGGATGCTCAGAAAATACAAAATGACATAGGGGTGGGAGAAATTTAGCAGCTCAATCTGATGTTTCACTAACGTGGTATCTAAAATTCTTGCAATCATGGTTTATATTAGTCTTTGTTAGCTGCAATATCTGTGATTATCATGATACATATTTGCTGAGAAATACCCATGTCCATGTATATATTCGTACATAGATATGTAGGTATATAGGTGCATATGTTTATATGAGTGTATGTGTTTGAGACAGGGGGAAACATGCATGTATTATTTCCTTGCTAAAAATATAAAAATAATTAAATATATTTTATGTGCAAGTGATAATTATGTGTCATAAACAAAAAATTTACTGACCCATTTGTACATGAAGTCCAGGAAAAATAAAAAGGGTAACTTTGTATTAATTGTGACATTGTGCTTACAGATGTACATATATTTCCTTATTTAACCCTCATAATAATCCTGCTGATTATAATTTATTTACCAATTTAATAAATGATCAACAGGGTTTGAATAATATGACAAAATTACAAAATTAGAAAATGGCCCAGCAATACTTTTAATTATATTCTGCCTGTCACTGCCTCTTCTTGCTTTTTGACAAAATTACTCCCCTAACCAAGGTTCTCTATGATTCTGGGGACTCCAGCATTTAGACCCCAGTTCCCAAACATCATTGTGTCTATTTTTACTGCCACATTTAATGCACATTTACAGACTTCAACAAGCACTTTTCAATATCAACTTTTTTCTTATTCCTTGGACTATTTTCTACATCTGTTCATCAAGACTCCAGTAACATATGACTCCATCTGCCTGTCCCTTCCATGAATGTACCTGACAGTACATGTATTATGTAGCCTACAATTCAAGCAGAACAGATATTCCTTCAAAAAAATAAGATATTAGAGAATGCCGACAAAGCTTCAGTGTAACCAGCTGTAACCCTTAATATTATTACCATGTAAACTCTTCCTCGAATATCAAAATAAGATTTGGGCTTTAGAGAATATTTGTGTGTAATTATAACCCAAACATGAACTAAAAGTAATTTAACTGGTCATATACAGACCGTGCCAGGGACAAAAAAGGATAAATATTATAAGAAAGTTAAAGCATACTTATTTCATAAAGGACTCTTGTGTGGAATCTATCAAAACGATTTCAAGATGTAGAGATTAAATATATTTTAAACCACATACATACACAAGCAATCTTTAGGAGAAACTTTTAAAAACTTATGTTATAGGTCTAAAATTTTCATTAATTCATGGAAAAAAAATGTATTGACAAACTTTTCACCAGAGCAGAAATAACAACTTATGTATTTGGTGACTTCAAGATGAGAGCCTGCACAGCTTAGTATCTCCCTCCAGTTGTCTCTCTCTCTCTCTTTTTTTTTTTTTTTTTGGTAGAGTTTCACTCCTGTTGCCCAGGCTGGAGTGCAGTGGCGCGATCTCGGCTCACCGCAACCTCCACCTCCTGGGTTCAAGCAATTCTCCAGCCTCAGCCTCCTGAGTAGCTAGGATGACAAGCATGCGCCATCGTGCTCGGCTAATTTTGTATTTTTAGTCGAGACGGGGTTTCTCCATTTTGGTAGGGCTGGTCTAGAACTCCTGACCTCAGGTGATCCGCCAGCCTCCGCCTCTCAAAGTGTTGGGATTACAGGCGTAAGCCACCGTGCCCGGCCCAGATCTCTTAAAAAGTCATGAGGAATGAGCCGTTCTGCATCCTCAATATTACCTTAATATTTTAAGGGCACCCGTAAAAATTAAGAGGCCAACTTGTGACTTCTTAGCCCTTTCACGGCTATTTAGACACACGTTAGTGAAGTATTAGGAATGCAGTATTAGGTCTCAAGTTCCTGGACAACAAAACCATGTTCTCCAACAGATCTTCAGTAAAAATAGCTGATGTCTATATTGTTTTGCCTGTCCTTTCCCTTCCTTTTAATTCAGAACTGCAGTCTCGAAAAGTGCTATTATTTAGTAGATTCTCTCACTTCTCAACACCAGTGCTATACAATGTTGAATGACATCTGAGGTGCTAGGGAAACAGCAGCTCACATTCTAGCAATGAAAAAATAGAAAAGCAAAGATCACCACAGAGTAAAAGAGAATAGATTTTTTTAAAGTATGAAACCAGAACGAATATATATCAGATTACACTATAAATGGAAAATCCTATTATCTTGACGGGATTGCAAGTCAGATTACACTATAAATGGAAAATCCTATTATCTTGACAGGATTGCAAGCCTCTCATGGCTTCCAACCTCCAATATATTCAAAGCAGTTCAGGAATGGTGAAAGTGGAATGGAATTTAAAATTATTCTAAGGTTTTATGTGTGAAAGCATCATGCCCTGAAACAAAATATTTATTTTTAAAGTGCATAATGAACACTGCATACAAAGTTTATGTAACAGGAGAGAGGAAATATCTCACATTTTAAAAAAAGGAATATGCAACATATTTACATACAATAAAATTAAATTAAATTAAAATACAGCAATGGAAGACAGAATCTAACATCTGAAAATCAAGGGAGAAATCTATTTTAAATAAACTTGTCACAATTTTAAAAGTAAGTTATGAAAAATAATAATACCTGAATATAGTACATAAAAGTACCAATACAATAAAGCTAAAACAATATCGATGGAAAAATTATTTGCTGTGCATTATTTTAAAAAAATAATCTAAGTACTTACCTCAATAAGGTAAAAGAATGAAATTTAAAAATTGCTTGAGAAAATCTGTGAAAGGAAATGAATATAGAGAAGCAGAATATAATTTAACTATAAACCACACAAATAGAATTTAAAAATAAGTGGTAGCCAACATGCCCAACACGATTTTCTGTGATGAAAGAAATTCTCTATATCTGCATTGTCCAATGCAGTAACTACCACACATATGTAGTTACAGAATTTCTAGTTTGGCCAAGACTTTGGCTATTACTACTAAGGATATGTCATTTAGTTATTTAATTATAATTAATTTACAGTTTATAGTCACATGTGACTAGTAGTTACTATATTGGCCAATGCAGATCTAGAATCTTGGAGGAGGCAGTTCAAATAATGAGATATGGTCAAAACAAAAGTGGAAAAGGCACACAAATAGTGAACACAGATTATGAGAATGTGAAGTAACAATTCACACAATAAAATGTAATAATGAGATGCTGCCTTGATGGGACAAATGTCTAATGATATACAAGGCTTGTCTTGTTACAGGTAGAAGAGCATGAGCAGGGCAGGAGAGGGCTCTTCCCCTACCCACTAGAAATGTCAGGTGATGGCCTGTCAATTATCACATTGCCTCTCTAAAAATGATAATTAGGCAGCACCAAAGAGAGGCCATTTCCTGATGGTCTACACCTGTTAACATCAAAAATGTTAGTTAAATGCAGACTTCAGGAAGAAGCAACTTCTTGGGCATGCATGTTAAGAGACAAAAATGGCAAAGCATAATCTTCCGGGGGCACACTCCACCGGAAAAGGAAAGAAAGCTTCAGATGGACATGCATATAACTCCCTAAACACACCGTGCATGCTCAATTTCAAAGGGTAAGGAAAGCACTGTGCAAGCCGGAAACGCTCCCTAAAGTTAGAATCATGGGAAAGAGGAAAACCCATGGCAGGATCAAGGTTAAAGGCTCTTCTCTTTTCTTTCTTGGACATTCAGGCATCTGTTCGGGTCTCTTCCAAGAGAATTTTCCTCTCCTTCCTGTTCTAAAGCCTTTTTAAATAAACTTCCACTCCTGCTCTGAAACTTACCGCTCAGTCTCTTTTTCTGCTGTATGCCCTTCAGTCAAATTATTTCTTCTGAGGAGGCAAGGACTGAAGTTGCTTATGGACCCATGCAGATACGCTGCCAGAAACTGGAATCTCTTCTACTGGTAACAGTACCATTGTAAGGGAATGAGGCCAGTTCACATCTCAGTGCTTGGAGAACTCACCAGAAATAAAAAGTTGGAGGATGCAGTGAACTTATCTACCTTCCAAGGCAAGTCCCACAAGCAAGCAGCAAGACTCTCTTTCCCCAAGGTCGTATAGCAAAGACATGGAATCAACCTAGATGCCCATCAATGTTACAGTGGATAGAGAAAATACAGTATATGTACACCATGGAATACTACACAACCATAAAAAAATTATGTCCTTTGCACCAACATGGATGCAGCTGGAGGCCATTATTCTAACATAATGCAGGAAGAGAAAACCAAATACCATATGTTCTTAGTTATAAGTGAGAACAAAGCGTTGGTTACACACGGATGTAAAGATCGGAACAACAGATACTGGGGACTACTAGAGGGGGAAGGGAAGGTGGGGACAAAGGCCTTAAAAACTGTCTATTGGGTATTATGTTTTCTATCTGGGTTACAAGATCATCCATACTCCAAGCCTCAGCATCACACAATGTGCCAATGTAAAAACCTGCACATGCATCTCCTGAATCTAAAATAAAAGTTGAATTCTTTTTTTAAATGCTCAAAGATCTGGCTAACACGGTGAAACTCTGTCTCCACTAAAAAAAGAAAAAAAAAATTACAAAAAATTAGCTGGGCATGGTGGTGGGTGCCTGTAGTCCCAGCTACTTGGGAGGCTGAGGCACGAGAATGGTGTGAATCTGGGAGGCGGAGCTTGCAGTGAGCCGAGATCACGCCACTGCACTCCAGCCTGGGTGACAGAGCGAGACTCCATCTCAAAAAAATAATAATAATAATAAAAATGAGCAAAGATCTGAGTAGACATTTCCCAGAAGAACAGATACAAATGGCCAACAAATATGTGAAAATATTCTTACCATCTCTAATCATCAGGGGGATGCAGATAAAAACCACCATGAAATATCACCTGATACCTCTTAGAATAGCTATTATCAAAAAGATGTATAACAAGTATTAGCGAGGATGTGGAGAAAAGATAACCCTTGTATACTTGCGGTGGAAATACAAATTACTATGTCCATTTCAGATAACAGTATGAAGGTTTCTCAAAAATTTTTTAAATAAAACTACCTGCTGATGAGGCTGTTGAGATATAAGAACACTTTTACACTGTTGGTGGGAATGCAATTTAGTTCAACTATTGTGGAAGACAGTATGGTGATTCCTCAAAGACCTACAACCAGAAATACCACTTGACCCAGCAATCCCATTACTGGGTATATACCCAAAGGAATATAAATCATTCTATTATAAAGATACATGCACACATATGTTCATTGCAGCACTATTCACAATACCAAAGACATGGAATCAACCCGAATGTCCATCAGTGACAGACTGGATAAAGAAAATGTGGTACGTATACACCATGGAATACTATGCAGCCATAAAAAGGAATGAGATCATGTTCTTTGCAGGATCATGAATGGAGATGGAAGCCATTATCCTCAGCAAACTAACCCACGAACAGAAAACCAAACACTTCGCTTCTAACTTACAAGTGGGAGCAGAACGGTGAGAACACATGGATATTAGGAGGGGAACAACACACACTGGGGCCTGTTGGGAGGCAGGTGGAGGGAGAGTATCAGGATAAATGGCTAATACATATATGCAATGGAATATTATTCAGTGTTACATAATAATGAAATGCTGTCATTTGTGACAACATGGATGGACTTGGAGGGCATTACGTTATATGAAATAGGCCAACCACAGAATGACAATTACTATATGATTTCACTTGTATTTGAAATCTAAAATCGACAAACTCACAAAAGCAGAGAGTAGAATGGTGGTTGCCAGGTGCCGTGGTGCTGGGGAAATGGGTAGATGTGGTTAGAGCACAAAGTTTCAGATATACCACGTAAGTAAGTTCTGGAGGTCTCGTTTACAGCATAGTGCTTACAGCTAAGAATACTGTATTGCATACTTAAAATTTGCTAAAAGGGTAGATTTTGTATTCTTACCAATATTTCTTACCAAAAAAAATAATAATAAAGGGGGGGGGACTTAGGGAGGTGAAGGATATGGTTATAATCTTGATGGTAGTGATGTGTTCATGGTGTATACTTATCCCCAAGCTCACTGAGATGTACACCTTAAATATGTACAGCTTTTTAAATGTCATCATAGCTCAACAAAGTCGGTGAAAAAAAAACAAGAGGGGTTGGTTAAAAACCTTAAAAGGAGGGGTAGATGTTCCCTTGTTTTTCTCTCTTGGCTTTTTTCCTTCCTGCTGCCTGGAATTCAAAAATGGTAAGTGGGAATTTAGCAGCCAAACTAGAGCCTCTTCTAAAGTATAGCAGAACAGAGAGCTGGAAGGGGCCTGCATCCCTAATGAATTTGGCAAGTATCTGTACTAGCCATGGTAGGTAGAACTATAGATTTAAGTGAGGGAGAAACAAACTTCTGCCTTGTTTAAGCCACTTTGTTCAGACATTAATTTTATATACATATAGAGAACATATGCTCCTTTATGCGTAGGAAAAATGTTTATGCCATATGGTCCATGATGGGTGTTCAACAATGTAGGATGAGGCTGATTATGATGACAATGGTGACAAATAGCATGAAATAATAAGCAATGAAAAAAAGGTGGCCTCATAGTTGTGTATGGTTACTTTATTTAAAGATTCTGCTGCTAATATCATTCAATGTATTTGTATGCTGGTGGGAGTTTTATTAGATGTAGACTAAGAAAGTTTACATTACTTAATGAAAAATACTTGACCAATTTTTTTTAAAAAAATAAAAATATCATGAGATGGAACTAAGCATCTGTATTGCAAAGTAACTCTCCCAGTTGATTTTCTGCATAGTAATGATTGAGAATCCCCTGATCTAGATCCAACAGATCTCGACCTTTATAGGTGCTATCAAGGAAGCACCTAAGGAAGACAATTTTCCTGACTATATCCATACCTCCAGTTAGTAATAGATCTAGAGATCTAGAACCCAAATCCAGACCTCCTGCCTCCATGTGCGGTGGTCTTTCCCTGTTGTTTTGTTCCACTTGGTGAAGAGGATTTGAGAATAAATAGCCACATGATTCAACTCCCTCCTCAGTTCTGAGGAATATAGCCTTGTCCTAGCAAGCAAGAAGTTCATACAGCAGTGGATGAGACAAATATACATTCACTAATCTAACACACAAGGCAGTAAGTACTGTAACATAAACAAAGCACTTTGGAGTTTCAGACCAGGAGCAAGTGGGGTGATTAATTCTTAGCAGGGCTAGTAAAGTCTGGGAAGTGTTCACTAAAAAAATGTCTGGTCATTAATGAAACCAACTGATTTCGCAACACAGTCTAATTTATTGTAACAATATAAATGGTTGTTTGTTCATAACCTTTCATCTTTTGCCAAAATGTTTGTAGCTTATGTCCCCATTTAACAAGGTTTTCTGGCCAAAACTGTGCACCCACATCATTCTAATGAACTGGCTGTCCAATAAAAAAAAGGACTCTCAGTCTTCCCATAAAAGCAATTTTGCGTGCATAGAACACCTCTATCTGTGACTATCCCTAATGAGGTACAGAAAGACCCTTCTTATCCAAACAGAGACATTCCACTGGTGCTAGACAGCCACAGACGGAAGTTTTCTCTGCCTCCTGGAAATGAAGCCCAACTTTCTTCTTTCTTCAGCCGTGAGGATTGCTGTCCTCCTCTTCACCATTTTCTTCTTTATGAGCCAAGTTCTACCAGGTAACAAAATAAACTTGGTAAGAGTAGAGTGCCTAACACCTTACAGGGATTCAATACTCAAAGAGAAATCACCATCACCTGTGACCAGAAAAGGGGGTCTCATAGGAAATCTGGAAGACACATTGGCTGAGAGGCCTGCAGCCATCTAATTCGTTAATTCTCCATAGCAACTCAGTTAAATGAAGTCAATGGTGTTTCAAGTCTTTGAAACCCTCTTATTCCATCTCCATATTAGGCAAGTTTACTAGCAGTTACTAGACCGCAAAAATTAAAAATCAGGCATTATTCTACTAAATTTTTGTCTCCAAAGCTCCTCTAGTTTCTTTCGGCAAAAGTTAGTTATCCTAAGAACTGGCATAAGAGCTATGCCAAAGGTGTGGTAGGCTCAGAAAGAAGGGATTGGTGGAAGAAGTCTCTTTGAAAATATTATTATAATCTAAGAAATCTTTAACCTATTGCTCCCCAATACTGTTGGTCCCTGGGGCTTGACTTTTCCCCTTAAGGCTCCATCTCCATCCCTGGCTTTCCCTCTTCCTTCTCAGCATCTAGTCTTGTAGAATTTAAACACAGGAACCAGGGATGACCCCACACCAGAGCATAGCCTACTGCATTCAGCATGCGAACATTAATCACAGGTATAAGGCCCCTTGCACAGACATGCTTTGGAGAAGTGTGTATAGGACTTCTTGGATTTGCCCAAGGTGGTTACCAGACACCCAAAGTAGATTCGAAAATTTTCTGGAACTCCTGAACATGTGTATTCAAGGATGAATAAGCAACTTATTGCCTCTATTTTTGCTGTTTTATAGAGAAAAAAAATAAGGCCCTGGAAACTGAAGTGCTTTTCCCAACAGTGGGGTAAATGTCAGAGTCAACAATTTGTTTTAATATCCTGGCTTTCCCTATACATCCCACCCTAGAGTTCTGTTGTGCTGTTCCTTTGTTTGACTTTCTAAAGCCTGAAAAAAGGTGATACCATATCCAATCATATTAACTCGGTAGCACACAACATCCGGGACTGACATAAGATTATTATCCCTGTGGCATTACTGAATTCCTGTCTCACTAGTACTTGTTAAATAGTCACCCTGGCTAAATACATGGGTTTGATTTTTTTTAATTAGTTAAAAATATTTTAAAATATGTGTCTTACATATATAACCCCAGAAAATCAATTCTTTTAATCAAGGTTTAAAAATTCCAAATTTGGATAAACAAATTTTTTTGTTTGTTTGTTTTCACTGTCACTCAATAAAAATAGAAGCAACTAATTGGATAGACCAGCACAGGCGGAAGCACGACTCACAGTCAAAAATGGGATGCAACAAGACTGGAGAAGAAAACACAGGATGGTGCTAAAGAATGCAGCCTAATGAAAGGTGGCATCTCCTCTGGATGTCCTTAGGTAGACATTGAAGCAGAACTGCCAACTTTTTGTAGAAGGCTAGAGAGGAGAGGAGGACACAGAGAGAGGGCAAGAGTGGAAAACAGAATGAGGCTCAGAATACCAAGCCTTAGTGCTCTCCCTATCATCTGCCTCACTCGATCACTGGGTAATCTTGGGCAAGTTTCTTCCTTTCCATCAGCTTATTTCCTCATCTTTAAGGTAAGTGACTAGACAAGACATCCTATGTTCATTGTAACTCTATCTTTTGTTCCTGAAGCAAATGGCTGGAAAAGACATAGTGTCCACAATATGCAATACACAAGGTTCACAAGCAAAGAACAAATGAAAACGAAAGATTTTTAAAATCCCTAATGTTATTTGAATTCTTGCAGATGAACTATGGTACATAATAATTTTAAAAAGCCTTTTGTAATTTCAATTTTTAAAAATAATTTCAACCTTTATTTTAGATTCAGGGAGTGCATGTGTGATTTGTTACATGGGTATATTGTGTGATATTGAGGTTTGGGGTATGAATAACTCTGTCACGCAAGTAGGGTGTACCCAAAGGGTACCTTTTCAGACTTTACTCCCTCTCCCTCCCCTCCTGGTAAGACCCAATCTCTCTTGTTCCCATTTTTATGTCCATGTGCACTCATTGCTCGGCTCCCACTTATAACTGAGAATATGTGGCATTTGGCTTCCTGTTCCTGAGCTAATTTGCTTAGAATAAAGTCCTCCAGCTGCATCCATGTTGCTGAAAAGGACACAATTTGGTCCTTTTTATGGATGCATAGTATTCCGTGACATATATGTACTACATTTTCTTTATTCAATCCACTGTTGATGAACACCTAGTTTGATTCCATACCTTCACTACTGTGAATACCACTGTGATGAACATACAAATTTAGGTCTTTTTACAAGACTGATTTACTTTCCTTTGGATATACACCCAGTAGTGAGATTAGTGGGTCAAATGGTAGTTCTGTATTAAGTTTCTTGAAAAGTGGTTTGAAAATATAATGCTCAATAGAATCAGGTATAGTAAAATAGTACACATGATTCAAAGACCTGTGAACCGAGAGTAACAACAAATTTCCACACAAACATATTGCAAGTTAGAAAATAGCTGTATTTTAATCAATTATTCCACAATCATTTACTGAATAGCTATTATAAGACAAGACTTTAATCAGATTCTGGAATATACATACAGAGGAGAATAAGATATGATTCCTGCCCTCAAGAAATTCATTATCAAGAATTGAGGTCAGATGGGAAAACGCCACCCATAGTAGAATGCAAGAAGTACTACCACAGAGGGATGTCCAAGAGTGATTTATCACATATCACAAGACAGGTCAGTGGTTCATCCTCTACACTATACTAATCTCTTATGACTCTTCCAGCTGCAAAGGGCCAATTTTAGCACAAGGCCAGTGGGCTTGGGTACTACTATACTTAGTAGCTGACTACTTACAGATAAAAGGAAGAGATGGAAAGCTCAGGGATCAAAAAACTCAGATTTCAGCTTGTTTCTACCAAGTGGTCAACATTTAGAATTACCATTGTCTTCAGAAAGGCATGACCTTTATTTCCCAATTTGCCTTATAGATATAAATATGATGTTGCATATATTTGGTCTTCACATCAATCCACTAACTGCTTTGTGACCATTGAAAAGTTAAATGGAATCTAATACATTTGGATTTCAGTTCAATTAAATAGGCATTTATTGAATGTTTATTAAAATTGCTGTACTGATTGAAAGCTATTCTAGAATTGGCTTTTGTGTTCCAGAATAGAAAAAAAAAAAAGGTGCTGGTTTTTATACTTCTCTTATTGCCAAGAAGTTGTCATGGAAAAGGTGCTCTGTGTTACATACAAAGACTGCTCAGAATTAAAACACTTTTCAAACTAAATACCTCAGTGTGTGTGGCCTATCCCCAGAGCAGTGATATTTTCGGACATAAATGAAATACTATTCAATGTTTTCAACAAGTATAGTTTTTAAGCCTTTAAGAAGACCTTGAATGTTTCACTCTTAATATATGCAATGGTTTCTAAAGAAAAATTGCAACCTCAAAGACCAGTGCCAGAGATATAAGTAGTGTGTGAAGTCTCAGGGGGTAACAAGTACTGGCACAGATATATTTGTGTATTAAACACATAGGAATATTGTTCCCTTCAACAGGAAAAATATCCTCTCTAACAATTAAAGTATATTATCTTTTAGGTCTAAATTTCAGTTCTACTTTTGAAAGATACATCTGTTATAATCTATCATATAGAGTGTGTGTGTGTGTGTGTGTGTGTGTGTGTGTGTGTGTGTAGGAGTAAAAAGAGATGAGCCAAAAGAGATTTTCTTCTCTTTCACTCCAGGAAAATCCATAGTACAAGACATTATATTTTTTTGAAAGGCTGAAATCTCCCATCAGTGTTGGAAGATAATAAGGAAGAAATAAACTGAAACTTGCATGCTCTAGAACTTGTAAAGGGGAGCGGGCTACTCACCTCCAGCCTTTTGTCATGTAGGTGCACCCAACATTCTCAGATTTTTCAAGAACACCAAAAAATCCAAATTTTTGTGTGACAGCAGATTTTTAAGTGTTTAAGAAATCAAATAACACACACACACACACAAATCCACACAAGATTATTTTCAGGCACTGCCCCCTACGTCCATGTAATTCAATACAAAGTAAAGACTGATGAATGCTTACAATAACCCTCTTCTGCTGTAGCCAGGGGCAAATTCAAGGAGATCTGTGAACGTCCAAATGGCTCCTGTCAGGACTTTTGCCTCGAAACAGAAATCCATGTAGGGAGATGTTTAAATAGCCGACCCTGCTGCCTGCCTCTGGAGCATCAACCAAGAATTGAGAGCACTACACACAAAAAGGACTGAAGCCTGTTGTTTTCTGGTGGTTTTAGGTTCTCTTTTTTCTCTCTCCCTGTCCCTATCTCCCTGTCTCCCGTTCCCTCTCTCCATTTTTCTCACAGGGATTTTTATTGAATCCTCAAAAAAGAATAAACCAAAACCAACCAGCACAAAACCTCTTTTAAAAGTTTATATTACTGGCTGGGTGCGGTGACTCATGCCTGTAATCCTAGCACTTTGGGAGGCCAAGCTGGGTGGATCGTGAGGTCAGGAGATCAAGACCATTCTGGCCAACATGGTGAAACCCTGTCTCTTTTAAAAATACAAAAATTTAGCCAGGCATGGTGGCGGGCACCTGTAATCCCAGCTACGCAGGAGGCTGAAGCAGGAGAATCGTTTGAACCCATGAGGTGGAGGCTGCAGTGAGCCGAGATCCCGACACTGCACTCCAGCCTGGGTGACAGAGCAAGACACTGTCTCAAAAAAAAAATAAAGAAAGAAAGAAAGAAAGAAATAAGTTTATATGCCATGTTATGACTTGATTACTGTTTGGTTTCCAGTATCCTTCTATCCCATCTAGATGAGCTCTTAGTTGAAAATGACTTACAGGAGGGTGGGGGAACTTTCAACCATACCTATTGATTTGTCTAGCACTGTAACCCTTCACCCTGCATGTGGGAAGACCACTCCCATTTTTTACAGGGAAAATGCGCCATCCTATTCCATGCAGCCTTGCAGGGGTCTGTCTCTCCCTGATAAAGGTGCACCACATATGAAAATTGCACAATCACGTCAACCAGACTTCACCAGAAATCTAAATTATAAAAAGAGTTGCACTCAGAATAAAGGCAATTTCTTCAGCACCCTTTTCGGAGGCAAATCCCTGGGTCTGTACATGCATGCCTGGCCAAGATTCAGGGAATTCCTTCAGTTCCCAGCTTTCACTGGGCATAATCATTCAGCATTTTCTGCCATCTTTTAAAACACTGTATTGGCTTCCTATGGCTGCTATCACAAATTACAACAAACTTAGTGGCTTAAAGCAACACAAATGCATTATCTGACAGTTCTATAGGCTGCAGGTTTCAGATGGATCTCTGTGGGCCAACATCAAGGTGTTAGCAGGGCTGAGCTTTCTTCTGGAAGCTCTGCAGTTTTCTTCCTGCACCTTTATCCCAGCAATGACAGGCTACTCCTGGGAACCATAGCTTCCTTCATCCATTTTCAAAGCCAGCAATGGAGCATTGAGTCCTCACATTCCATCATTCTGAATTCATCTTCTCCCCACTCTTCCATTTTTTAGGACTCATGATTACGTTGGGCCCACCTGGATAATCTAAGATAATCTCCCTATTTTAAGGTCAGCTGATTAACAGCCTTAATTTCACATGAAACCTCAATTCCCCTTTGCCTTACAAGGTGGCACATTCACAGGACCCAGGAGTTAGGATGTGGATAGCTTTGGCAGGAGACAGAGGGGACATTATTCTGCCTACAACAGCCACTGAGTGCTTTTACCACCTGTCACAATTTTGCTCCATTTAGACACAATTTTAGTGGCTTTGTGTGAAGAGATTCTCATTCATAGAGTTTTCTTTTTTGTGTAAAGTAGTGAGGGGCCTCCCCTTGGTCATTGAAAGAGTATAGAATCAAGATATTTAAAAGTATATTAGCTGGATTTTATTTTTCACTATGACTGATTTGGCCAAGAAACAATGTTAAGTTATGTCACATGGACTACTCGAAATCTCAAAAAGTTCAAAACATTGGGTTCAAAATCTCAGAGACTGAGATATATTCCAACCAACTCAACCCTGTGGAAGTGCCAAGTTTTCCTCAGTGCCACTCTTGAAACCGCATCACCAACTGACCCTTTAATATATTTTTGCACTATATAACATTTATTTCTTAGAGTAAGTGCTTCCCTAGAAAAGAAGCAGTTTGGACATGTATATTAAAGCCGTCACCTAGAATATTATCTTCTCATTGCTAGGAGGTGGCCTTCAAGATGGCTGACTAGAGGTACCAGGCACTGTGTCCTCCCAAAGAAAGACCAAAACAGCAAGTAGATAATCATACCTTGAAGAGGGCATGAAAGAGGGCACTAGAATTCAGCAGCAAAGTGACGAGGAATCTCTGAGGCATGGAAGGAAAGGAAAATGAAGCAGCAGCCCAGCCAGAATCAGCTTAAAGCCAGGACAGGCTCTGCAGTGTGGTGAAAAGGTAAAAAAGAGAGCCCCAGTGGTCCATATTCCCACTGTGGACACTGCAATCCTAGCCAAGGGACGGTCTCTCAGCCCTCGCAGGCCCTGAGACTACTATAGGGAGCTGCCTGGAGTGTATGTGATGGTCATTGTCCCAGAGAAGGAGTTGGCACTGGATCATCTGCACCTGCCCCCAGACACAGGCAGCTGTGGCACAATGCCAATTTGAGAGCCCAGCCCCCAAAAGACTACATCCTGCCCTGGGGCCCAACAGCCCCTGCATCTCCACATCTCTGGACCCTCAGTGACATTCCCTCATGTCCATCCAGAGGCCTGCAGAGTCACAATACCAGCTGAACTCACCAGTGTAGCTTGGTCCCCATCACTCTAGCCTACACAGTGTCCTACACTCCAGGGAACTGGCAGTGCCATTCACTAGAGAGGCTGCCCCCAGAACAAAGGGAGCTGAAGCAGGCACTCTTCACAAGTGGAGAGTCACCTTCCCAGGACCACTGACACTGACAGCAATCCTGACCCCCAGGAGCAGGGCCACTGCACACCTGCAGGCATCCTCAGGGGACCTGGGGACTCACCTGCCTGAGCACTATTCCAGGGCCAGAGCACAGGCCCATCCCACCCATTGCTGTCACTACCACTACCCAAGGTCGTTGTCCAGGACGCTGGGGATCAACCCACACTGCTGTCTGTCATTGGCACCTGTGCATGCCTTCTTGTGACCTAAGTATGAGCCCACCCAGCCTGGTGGTGCCTGTGCACATTGTCTGGGAGCCTGGGGATTAATCCACCATGCCTATCACCATCAAGTACCTGTGTGTCTCCTGAGAGCCTAAGGATAGGACTTCCCAGCCTGCCATCACGGCTGCCACCAATGCCCACATATTTGCACCAGGTGAAAGCCTGAGGACTACTCTGTCCATCATGTTGCCATGACTGTTGGTGTCTGCACATGCCATCTGGGGTCACAAGAGTTGACCTGCTATGACTACAGCACAGGGTCTTGAGGGCATGCCTATCTCCCTAGCTCACCACTGTCACTGCTGGCACTTGAGAAAGCCACCTGACTCACGCCTGTAATCCCAGCACTTTGGAAGGCTGAAGGGGGCAGATCACCTGAGGTCGGGAGTTCAAGACCAGCCTGACCAACATGGAGAAACTCCATCTCTACTAAAAAAAAAAAAACAAAAAAAAAAAAATACAAAATTAGCCGGGCATGGAGGTGCATGCCTGTAATCCCAGCTACTCGGGAGGCTGAGGCAGGAGAATTGCTTGAACCTGGGAGGCGGAGGTTGCAGTGAGCTGAGAACACGCCATTGCACACCAGCCTGGGCAACAGAGCAAAACTTCATCTCAAAAAAAAAAAAAAAAGCCACCTGAAGGCCCAAGGATGGCCTGCCTGAAACTTCAACCACTGGTGCCCACGTTCATCACCCACAAGTTCAAAGACCAATGCAACTGGTGCCCAAGGACCAAACTGCCTGGCCTGTCTTTCCCCAGCAAAATCTCACCACAGCCTCCATTAACAATGAAGGCTAAGACACTGAGGAGCTCACAGACATCAGTGATGCTGATTATAGCTGAAGAAATCATAGAAGTATAAACTACTGAACCAACTCAGAACTAAAGGCAAAGTGTCTTACTGATTCAACAGTATAGATACAGCTACAGAAGTCAGTCTTTTACTACCAAAGCCAATCTATAAAATTAGAAGAAGCAACTGTTTTACCAGATATTCAAATATCAATGTAAGGACATAAGAAACATTAAAGAGCAAGGAAACATAGCATCCCTGAAGGAAAACCAATAATTCTCCAGCAACAGATTTCAATCAAACAAATCCATAAAATGAGTGAAAAGGAATTTAACAGCTGAAATTGAATAATTCAATAAATAAAATAAATAATACAATTTGAGAACCTCAACAATAGACTAGATTAAGAAGATGAAAGAATTTCTAAACATAAAGATCGGTCTTCATATGCAGGATTAAATGGATTAAAGACTTAAGTGTGAAACACAAAACTATAAAAACCCTGGAAGACAACCTAGGCAATACCATTCAGGACATAGGCACGGGCGAAAATTTTATAACAATGACACCAAAAGCAATTGTGACAAAAGCAAAAATTGACGAATGGGATGTAATTAAACTAAGGAGCTTCTGGGCAGCAAAAGAAACTATTAACAGAGCAAAAAGACAACCTGCAGAATGGGAGAAAACTTTTGCAAGCTATGCATTCCACAAAGATCCAATATACAGCATCTACAAGGAACTTAAACAAATTTACAAAAAAAAAAAACTTTAAAAATAGGCAAAAACATGATCAGACACTTCTCAAAAGAAGACATACATGCTGCCAACAATCATATGAAAAAAAAAGCTCAAGGGTCATGAGGGATTATGACAGACAGGAGGCAGAACTAGATGGCAGCTCTGGACAGAGCAGCATGCGGAGGCTTGCGTTGTGAATTTTAGCTCCAGATGGACTGCAAGAGCAGACCAGCAATCCTGACAGGACCCACAGACCCTCCGAAGGAAGCAGACTGCTCTTGCAGGACCTGGGAGACACCCCAAATACTTTAAGTCCCCTAACCACGGAAATGGGAAAGGGAGACCCTCGTCTCATGAACACACACCCCCACTGGAGAAGCTGAAAGTCTGTTTGTGGGAGAAGTTCGTGACTTTACCTGGAGCTGAGTCAAGTTAGAGAGCCGAGCTGAGCAACATACAGGAGTAGAGGAAGTAGCACAAAGGCACTGGAAGGCCGCTGGATCCCCAAGTAGCCCATTCCTGCCTGGCACCGCAGACATCCATCGGGGGGGTGGCCAGAGGAGTAGGGGGTAAAACTTCACAGGGAGAAGAACCTCTCTAGCTGAACTTTGTAAAAAATTGAATGGGGCTGGAAGCCTCCTGGCCAGAACTCGGGGGAGGGCGTGAATCAGGCTTGCAGACTTCACAGGCGGGGTAAGAACTGAAGCCCATTTCTTTGTCAGTCGGGAGGCAGAAAGCCTCAGGTAAGTTTTCAAGCCAGATTCGCCTTCGGCCTGGAAACAGACTCCGGGCTATCACAAGGGGCATTGTGGGAGTGAGACCAGCCTTTCAGTGTGCATGGAAGCTAGCTTTCCCCAACTTCCCTGACAACCTGCATGACTCAGCAGAGGCAGTCATAATCCTTCTAGGTACACAACTCCACTGACCTGGGAATCTCACCTCCATCCCCCACAGCAGCCAAAGCAAGACCCACCCAAGGAGAGTCTGAGCTCAGGCACGCCTAGCCCCACCCCCACCTGATGGTCCTTCCATATCCACCCTGGTAGCAGAAGACAAAGAACATATGATCTTTGGAGTTCTGGAGCCCTGCCCACCACTGGTCCCTCTCCACAGTGTCCGGAATTGGTGGGTTCTTGGTCTCGCTGAGTTTAAGAATGAAGCCGCAGACCCTCCTGGTGAGTGTTAACAATTCTTAAAGATGGTGTGTCCAGAGTTGCTTATTCCTCCCAGTGGGTTCATGGTCTGGCTGGCCTCAGAAGTGAAGTTGCAGACCTTCGCAGTGAGTGTTACAGCGCTTAAAGGCGGCACGAAACCAAAGAGTGAGCAGCAGCAAGCTATGTTGCAAAAAGCGAAAGAACAAACTTCCCACAGCATGGAAGGGGACCCAAGCCTGTTGAGCTGTGGGCTCCGGTGGCCTGCTTTTATTCCCTTGTCTGGCCCCCATCCATATCCTGCTGATTGGTCCATTTTACAGAGAGCTGATTGGTCCGTTTTGACAGAGTGCTGACTGGTGTATTTACAAACCTTTAGCTAGACAGAGTGCTGATTGGTGCATTTAAAATCCTTTAGCTGGACACAAAAGTTCTTCAAGTCCCCCACCAGATTAGCTAGACCCAGAGCGCTGATTGGTGCATTTACAAAGTTTTAGCTAGACACAGAGTGCTGATTGGTGCTTTTACAATCATTTAGCTAGACAGAAAAGTTCTCCAAGTCCCCAGCGGGCCCAGAAGCCCAGCCGGCTTCACCTCTTGATGGCACTCGCCACACAGGACTTTGCAGCACCCAGCCCTGGCACTCCAGCAGCCTAGAGAGAGCTCATCCCCCGGTCAAGCCCAGCAGGCACCGGCCAGCCGCCTCAAGTGTGGGGCCCACCGAGCCCGCGCCCACGCAGAACCCGCGCCAGCCCACAAGGGCCACACGCAGCCCCGGCTCCCACCACGGCCTCTCCCTCCACACCCTGCGAGCAGAGGGAGCCGGCTCTGGCCTTGACCAGCCCCAGAGAGGGACCCCCACAGTGCAGTGGCGGGCTGAAGGGCTCCTCGAGTGCAACCAGAGTGGACGCCGAGGCCAAGGAGGCACTGAGAGCAAGCGAGGGTTGCTAGCATGTTGTCATCTCTCAACACTACTACAGCGGATGCTTTCTGGAAAGCGCCATCTCCCAGCAGGAGGCCCATCAGCACAAAAAATAGAGCCTTAAACCACCAAAATGGTGGAAGCAGTTTGAAAAACAGGTTGGCAGTTTTCAAAGAATTAAAAATAGAGTTAGCATATAACCCAGCAATTCCACTCTTAGGTATATACTTAAGAAAAAAGTTTGTACGTAAGAGTTGAAAAATTCTCAGTGAATTCTTATAGCAGCATTATTCATAATAGTAAAAAAGCTGAAATAACCCAAATGCCCATCAGCTGATAAATATATAAACACATTGTGGTATATTTATATAATACAGTATTATTTATTGATAGAAGGAATGAAATAGCTATATATCCTACAACGTGGATGACCCCCATGGAGTCATCAGAACACCACCATCATTCTTCAGAGTTAGTAAAAACAATTCTAAAATTCATATGGAACCAAAAAAGAGCCCACATATCCAAAGCAAGACAAAGCAATAAGAACAAATCTGGAGGCATCACACTACCTGATTTCAAAGTATGCTATAAGATCATAGTCACCAAAACAGTGTGGTACCAGAAAAATATATACATCAAAATATGTGCACTTTAATAACATAGCATCAAATTTATAAAACAAAAATTGAGCAACCTACAAGGAAAAATGAAAAAATTCCAAACTATAGTGGGAGATTATAACTTATTTTTCTTAGTCATTCAAAGAAAAAGAAGACTTTAAACATCAATAATACATTGGATGTTAATAAAAATTTACTATTTTTGTGAAGGGAATAATTACAAATAACTTCATTCAACAACTACAGAATACAGTTTTAATAGGACATATTGAATATGCACAAATATTGACCATATAACGATTTGTTCTACATGCCAAATCTTAACAAAAGTCAAATAACTGACACTCTACAGAAAGTGTTCATTTATCACACTGATATGAAATTATAAGAAACTGTTCTAAAACCCAGTTAATTAAAGAAAAAAATCTTAGTGAAAAAATAAATATATTGAAATTAAAATATTACTTATTAAAACTTTTTGGATTCCATTGGTATAATATTAAAGAGGAAATTCAGGGTCATAATTGCTAATATTAGAAAATAATAATGGTGAGTCTTTGGCAATACCATCATGAACACTCCTGATCTCATCTGATCTCAGAAGAAAATAATAATAGAAAACAGAAACATCTCAGTCTTTGCAGTATGAATTACAAAGAAAATAAAATGCACAAATAAAAGTAACAGGAAAAAAGGAAGCATCTTTAAATATGCAAAACCATTAACGAAACTTGACAAAATTAACTCAAGATGAAACAGAAAATAAGAATGTTTTCCTGAATTAATAAAGCAACTAATTCTGTAATCAATAACCTTCCAAAAAAGAGGGCACTTAACTTATATTTTCAACCACATTTCAGAAATTTAAAAAATTGTAATTATATCCAACTCTTCTAAGAAAAAAAGAAAAAGGGACACTCCAAAACATCGTATTTATCAAAACAATTTTTATTAAGATAATATTCACACAATGAAATATTCACTATTTCAACCATTTTGATTTGTTTAATTTAATAGATGTTAGTATATTTACAATGTTGTGCAGCCATCACCACTATTTGATTCCAAAACCTTTCCATCACCCCAAAAAGAAACTCCTTCTCTAATCCCCAGAAACTAATAATTTGTTTTCTATCTTTATAGATTTGACTATTCTGGACAGTACATAACTGGAATTATAAAATATATACCCATTTGTGTCTGCCTTCCATAACTTAACATAATTTTTCAAGGTCATCCAAGTTGTAGGATATATAGCTATTTCATTCCTTCTATCAATAAATAATACTGTGTTATATAAATATACCACATTGTGTTTATATATTTATCAGCTGATGGGCATTTGGGTTATTTCAGGTTTTTTTACTATTATGAATAATGCTGCTATGAGAATTCATTGAGAATTTTTCAACTCTTAGGTAGAAACTATTTTCTTAAGTATATACCTAAGAGTAGAATTGCTGGGTTATATGGTGACTCTATTTTTAATTCTTTAAGAAATGCCAACCTGTTTTTCAAACTACCTCCACCATTTTATGTTTCCATCAGAAATGTATGAGAATCCAATTTCTCCACATTTTCCACAACACTTGTTATTTTCCATCTTTCTTGATGATAGTTATTCCACTCGATATCAAATGGTATCTCATTGTGGTTTTGATTTTCATTTCCCTTTCATGTGCTTATAGCCCACTTAAATATCTTTTTCAAAAAACTATTCAAATCTTTTGATCATTTCTTAGATCATTTGTGTTTTATTGTCGTTGTTGCTGCTGCTGATTTGTAGTAGTTCTTTATATATTCTGGATATTAATCCAATTTTCAAATATTTTTCTCATATTCATTGGGCTTTTTTCCCCTTCCTTGGCAGTATCCTTTAATGCACTCAAATTTTTAACTTAAATGAAGTCCAATTTAACTATTTTTTGTGGCTATGTTTTTGGTGTCATATTTAAGAAAGCATTGCCTAATCTAAGGTCACAAATATTTGTACCATTTTTTCCTAAACATTTACAATTTTAGTTATCACATTAAGGTCTTTGGTCAGTTTTGAATTAATTCTCATATATGGCATGAGGTAGACAAATTTTTCCTTTTACATGTGGATATCCAGTTGTCCCAGCACCATTTGTTGAAGACTATTCGTTCCTCATTAAATGGTCTTGGCACCCTTGTTGAAAATCAATTGCATGTAGATGAATGGGTTTATTTCTGAACTTTAAATTTGATTTTATCAGTCTATATGTCTATTCTTACACCATTATCACACTGTTCAGATTATTGTGACTTTGAGGTAAGTTTTGAAATTGAGAAATTTGAGTGCTCCCACTTTGTTCTTCTATTTCAAAATTGTTTTGGATATTTAATCGTCTTTTCATTTCTATATAAATTTTAGAATAATTTTTGTCAATTTCTGCAAAAAGACAGAATTTTGATAGGGGTTGCATTAAATCTGTAAATCAATTTGGGAAGTATTTTCAGTTAAATTATATTAAATCTTCCAACTCATGAGCATGAGAAATCTTTCCATTCACTTGGGTCTTCTTTTTCTTTCAAAAATATTTTGTAGACTCAGCGGACAAGTCTTACACTTGCTTCATTGCACTATTTCCTATGTATTTAATGTTTTATGCTATTGTAAGTATCATTGTTTTCTTCATTTAACTTCCAAGTTGTTCATTCCTATTACAGAAAAGAAATGCAGCTGATTTTTGCATATTGATCTTGTATCTTCAAACTTTGTTGAAATTGTTTATTAGCCCTAATAGATTTTTGTGAATTCTTTTGAGTATTCTACATGTAATATCATTTCATGGCTTAATGGAGATAATAATGCTTCTTCCTTTCCTCCGAATGCCTTTAGTTTCTTCTTAGCCTAATTGCCTTTGCTAGAACTTTCAGCACATTGTTGAACGGAAGTGTCAAGGACAGACATTCTTTTCTTGTTCCTGTTTTTAGGAGAAAACCTTTTAGTCTTTCACTATTAGGTATGATGTTAGCTACACTTTTCTTATCGATGCTCGTTATCAGGGTGAGAAAATTGTCTTGGATTTATGATTTCTTGAGTGTCATCATGAAAGGACACTAGATTTTGTCAAATAATTGTTTATGTCTTTTGAGACGCTTGTGGCTTTTTTTCCCTTTATTCTACTAATATTGATTGATTTTGCAGATTTAAAAAAACTTCTTTTTTTTCTTCTTTTTTTTTTTTTTTTGAGACAGGGTCTTGCTGTGTCACCCAGGCTGGAGGGCAGTGGTGCAATCTCACCTCACTGCAGCCTCTGCTTCTCGGGTTCAAGCGATTCTCTTGCCTCAGCCACCGGAGTAGCTGAAATTACAGTCGTGCGCCACCGCGCCCAGCTAAATTTGTATCTTTAGTGGAGATGGAGTATTGCCATGTTGGCCAGGCTGGTCTCGAACTCCTGGCCTCAAGTGACCTGCCTGCCTTAGCCTCCCAAAGTGCCGGGATTACCGGCTTGAGCCACCGCCCACAAGCCAATTCTTAAAATAAATTGCACTTGGTTGTGGTGTATAATCCTTCTAATGTATTGCTAGATTCCATTTTAAAGTATTTTGTTAAGAATTTTTGTATCTTTATTTATAAAGAATACTGGACTAGTTTTCATTTCTGGTAATGTCTTTGTCTTGCTTTCATGTCAGGGTAATACTGGTCACATAAAATTAGTTTGGAAATGTGTCATAATTTTTTAAAGACTGTAGGAAAGCTTAGCCTTCATTATTCTTTAAACGTGATTAAATTCACTAGTACAGCCATCTGGTCCTGGATTATATTTTTGGAAGTTTTTGATCACAGACTCACTACCGTCACTTGTTATATGTCTATCTGTATTTTTTATTTCTTCTTGACTCAGTTTTGGTAGTTTATTTGTAGAAATTGTCCATCATTTTATTTAGGGTATCTAATTTGTTGACATACAATTATTCATAGGGTTCGCTTATAATTTCTTTTATCTATGTAAGTTTGGTAGTAGTATCCCCACTCTTTTTTTTTTTTTTTTTTTTTTTTTTTTGAGACAGAGTCTCGCTTTGTTGCCCAGGCTGGAGTGCAGTGGCGCCATCTCCGCTCACTGCAAGCTCTGCCTCCTGGGTTCACGCCATTCTCCTGCATCAGCCTCCGAAGTAGCTGGGACTCCAGGCGCCCGCCACCACGCCCGGCTAATTTTTTGTATTTTTTTAGTAGAGACGGGGTTTCACCATGTTAACCAGGATGGTCTTGATCTCCTGATCTCGTGATCTGCCTGCCTCAGCCTCCCAAAGTGCTGGGATTACAGGCGTGATCCACCGCGCCTGGCCTTTATTTTTAATTTTAGTAATTTATGTATTCTTCCTTTTTTCCTTGGTCAGTATAGCAAAAGGTTAGTCAAGTTTCTCGATCTTTTCAAATAATCAACTTTTGGTTTTGTTGATTTCTCTACTGTTTTGTTATTCTCTATTTCACTTTGCTCTAATATTTATTATTTTATTTTTCCTGCTTGCTGTGAATTTAATTAGTTCTTCTTTTCCTGGGTTCTGAATTTCGAATGTTAGCTATCTATTTTATTCATTCTTTTTTAAGGTAAGGGTTTACATCTATAAATTTTTATCTGAGCTTAGCTTTTGCTGCATCCCTGATTGTATTTTCATTTTCGTTCTTCTCCAAGTATTTTTCAATTCCCTTTGTGATTTCTTCTTGGACACATTGGTTATGTAGGGGTATGGTGTTTAATTCTCACATATTTGTGAATTTTTCAGTTTTTTTTTCTGTTACTGATTTTTAGTTTCATCCCACAGTGATTGGAGAAAGTATTTTGTATGATTTTAATATTTTAAAATTTTCTGAGATTTATTTTATGGCCTAACGTGGACTATTCTGGAGACTGTTTTGTGTTTACTTAAGAAAAAAATATGTATTCACCTGTTGTTAATTGGAGTGTTGTATAGATGTCTGTTAGTCTACTGGTTTATAGTGTTGCTCAAGTTTTCCATTTTCTTACCGGTCTTCTATCTAGTTATTTTGTATTATTAAATTTAGAGTATCAGAATATCCATACTTTTTAGCTATTCTCTCTTCAGTTATATTAGCATATATGTATTTCAGGGCTCTCTTATTAGGTGCATACATATTTATAATTATTATATCTTATTAATGGATTGACCCTTTTAATATTATACAATATCCTTTTGGTTATAAAAATTTTGTCTTGAAGTCTATTTTGTCTGACATTAATATAGCTATTTCTGCTCTTTTTTGGTCACAATTTGCATGAAATATTATTTTCCATTCTTTTTTTTCAAACTACTTGTGTATTTTAATCTAAAATGAGCCTCATAGATAACATATAATTGGATCATGTTTTTAAATATATTCTCTCAATCTCTGCCTTTAATTGTAGAATTTAATTCATTTACATGGACTATAATTCCTAATAAGGAAGGATTTCTGCCATTTTTCTATTTGTTGTCTATATATCTTATATCTTTTTTGTTCTTCAATTCTTTCATTCCTCCATTATTGCCTTCCTTTGTATTAAATATTTCTAGTGTATCATTTTAATTATCTTGTTCTTGTACTACTTGTTTTTATTTTTTCATTTTACTTTAAGTTCTGGGATACAAGTGCAAAACGTGTAGGTTTGTTGCAAGGTTTACCTGTGCCCTGGTGGTTTGCTGCTCCTAGCAACCCGTCATTTAGGTTTTAAGCTCCACATGAATGAGCTGTTTATCCTAATGCTCTCCCTCCCCTCGCGCCCCCATCCCCTTACTGGCCCTGGTGTGTGTTGTTCCCCTTCCTGTGTCCATGTGTTCTCATTGTTCAACTCCCACATATGAGTGAGAACACGTGGTGTTAGTTTTTCTGTTCCTGTGTTAGTTTGCTGAGGATGATGGCTTCCAGCTTCATCCATGTCCCTGCAAAGGACATGTTCTCATTCCTTTTTATGGCTGCATAGTATTCCATGGTGTATATTTGCCACATTTTCTTTACCAGTCTATCACTGATAGTCATTTGGGTTGGTTACATGTCTTTCCTATTGTAAATAGTGCTGTAATAAACATACGTGTGCTTGTATCTTTACAGTAGAATGATTTATGATTCCTTTGGGTATATGCCCAGTAATGGGATTGCTGGGACAAATGGTATTTCTGGTTCTAGATCCTTGAAGAATCGCCACACTGTCTTCTACAATGGTTGATCTGATTTACATTCCCACCAACAGTGTAAAAGCATTCCTATTTCTCCAGAGCATCACCAGCATCTATTGCTTCTTGACTTTTTAATAATCACCATTCTGACTGGCATGAAATATTATCTCATTGTGGTTTTGATTTGCATTTCTTTAATAATCAGTGATGTTGAGCTTTTTTTTATGTTTGTTAGCCGCATAAATGTCTTCTTTTGAGAAGTGTCTGTTCATATTCTTTGCCAAATTTTTAAGGGGGTTGTTTTTTCTTGTAAATTTGTTTAAGCTCCTTGTAGATTCTGGATATTAGACCTTTGTCAGATGGGGAGATTTCAAAAATTTTCTCCCATTCTGTAGGTTTCCTCTTCACTCTGATGATAGTTTCTTTTGCTGTGCAGAAGCTCTTTAGCTTAATTAGATCCCATTTGTCAATTTTGACTTTTGTTACAAATGCTTTTGGCATTTTCGTCATGAAGTCTTTGCCCATGCCTATGTCCTGAATGGTATTGCCTAGGTTTTCTCCTAGAATCTTTATGGTTTTGGGTTTTACATTTAAGTCTTTAATGCATCTTGAGTTAAATTTTGTATAAGGTGTAAGGAAGGGGTCCACTTTTAATTTTCTGAATATGGCTAGCCATTTTTCCCATCACCATTTATTAAAGAGGGAATCACATCATCTGCAAACAGAGACAATTTGACTTCCTCTCTTCCTATTTGAATACTTTTATTTCTTTCTCTTGCCTGTTTGCCCTGGCCAGAAGTTCCAATACTATGTTGAATAGGAGCGGTGAGAGAGGGTATCCTTGTCTTGTGCTGGTTTTCTATCTCTGGTGGAATTCAGCTCTGAATCAGTCTGGTCCTGGACTTTTTTTGGGTGGTAGACTATTAATTACTGTCTCAATTTCACAGCTTCTTACTGGTCTATTCAGGGATTCACCTTCTTCCAGGTTTAGTCTTGAGAGGGTGTATATGTCCAGGAATTTATGCATTTCTTCTAGGTTTTCTAGTTTATTTGCATAGAGGTATTTATAGTATTCTCTAGTGATAGTTTGTATTTCTGTAGGGTCAGTGGTGATATCCCCTTTATCATTTTTATTGTGTCTATTTGATTCTCCTCTCTTTTCTTCTTTATTAGTCTAGCTAGTGGTCTATTTTGTTAATTTCTTCAAGAAATCAGCTTGTGGATTAATTGATTTCTTGAAGGGTTTTTTTGTATCTCTATCTCCTTCAGTTCTGCTCTGATCTTAGTTATTTCTTGCCTTCTGTTAGCTTTTGGATTTGTTTGTTGTTGCTCCTCTAGCTCTTCTAATTGTGATGTTAGGCTGTCATTTTTGAGATCTTTCTAGCTTTCTGATGTGGGCATTTAGTGCTATAAATTTCCCTCTTAACACTGCTTTAGCTGTGTCCCAGAGAGTCTGGTATGTGGTCTTTGTTCTCATTGGTTTCAAATAACTTCTTGATTTCTGCCTTAATTTCCTTATTTACCCAGGAGTCATTCAGGAGCAGGTTGTTCAATTTCCATGTAGTTGTGTGGTTTTGAGTGAGTTTCTTCATCCTGAGTTCTAATTTGATTGCACTCTGGTCTGAGAGACCGTTTGTTATATTTTCAGTTCTTTTGCATTTTCTGATGAGTGTTTTACTGCCAACTATGCAGTCGATTTTAGAATATGTGTCATGTGGCACTGAATAGAATATATATTCTGTTGATATGGGGTGGAGAGTTCTGTAGATGTTATTAAGTCCACTAGATCCAGAGCTGAGTTCAAGTCCTGCATATCTTTGTTAATTTTCTGTCTTGTTGATCTAATATTGACAGTGGGGTGTTAAAGTCTCCCATTATTATTTTGCGGGAGTCTAAGTCTCTTTGCAGGTGTCTAAGAATTTGTTTTATGAATCTAGGTGCTCCTGTATTGGGTGCATATATATTTAGGATAGTTAGCTCTTCTTGTTGAATTGATCCCTTTATCATTATGTAATACTCTTCTTTGTCTTTTTTTATCTTTGTTGGTTTAAACTCTGTTTTGTCAGGGACTAGAATTGCAACCCCTGCTTTTTTTGGCTGAGATTACAGGCATGGGCCACCATGCCCAGCTAATTTTGTATTTTTGGTAGACACGGGATTTCTCCATGTTGGTCAGGCTGCTCTCGAACTCCTGACCTCAGGTGATCCGCCCGCCTCGGCCTCCCAAAGTGCTGGGATTACAGGCGTGAGCAACCGGGCCCAACCTAAATCACATCTTTATACATCGTATGATCATCAACATAGGTTTATATTTATTGCTTTATGCGTTGACTTTCTTTTTATTGTATTTAAGATATACAATATTATGTTTGTGTATATATACATATATATATAGTGCAATGATTGCCATAATCAAGCAAATTAACATATCCGTCATCTCACATAGTTACTTTTTTGTGGTAAAAGTATCTAAAATCTGCTCTGGGCAAATTTCTGGAGTATGATACATTATTAACTACAGCTCTTGTGTTGTACATGAGATCTCTAGGCATATGTATTTTATATAGCTGAAACTTGTACCCTTTGGCTTTCATCTTCCATCTTCCACACATCTCCCACCTCTTTCTAACCATTCTATTTCTTAGGGCTTTTGTGGGGCTTTTTTGTTTAGGGTCTACCTATAAATGAGACAATGCAGTATTTTTCTTTCTGTGCCTGATTTATTATTAGCATAATGTCTTCTAGGTTCATCCATGTTGATGCAAATGAAAGAAACTTTTTTACAAAACTGAGTGATATTTTATTATGTATATAATTCCTTTATCCATCTGTTCATAAACACTTAGGTTTTTTCAATATCTTGGGTAATGTGAGTAATGCTGCAATGTGATGTGCAGTTGTTTTTAAATCAGAAGAAAAGAGGATATTGCTTATATATACTAAAGTTCCCTTTATTAAAGATACACACACACACACACACACACACACACACCAGCATTTTTACTCCTTTATGTGTTTGAAATTACTATATAATGTTCTTTCATTTCAGCCCAAATCACTCCTTGTAGAATTTTTTGTCATCCCACCGCATTCTTAAAAGAGGTCAGCTGTAAATTTACTGTGAATCACTAATAACTAATCTTCCCTTATCTGCAATTTTACTTTCCATGGCTTCAGTTACCTATGGTCAACTTTCACCTGAAAATATTAAATGGAAAATTTCAGAAATAAACAATTTTCAATTGCATGCCATTCGAGTAGCATGATGAAATCTCATGCTATCTGGCTTCATCCCACTTGGGATGTGAACCATTCCTTTGTCCAGAATATTCATCCTGTATATGCTACCGACCCATTAGTCAATTAGCACCTGTCCTGGTTATCAGATTGACTGTCACGCTATCACAGTCCTGTATTCAAGTAACCATAATTTTACTTAATAATGGCCCCAAAATGCAAGAGTACTCCCCCAATTTATATAATAAAATTATCAAATTTTAAATTTTGATTAAATGTTATTGTAAGTATGTATTAAAAAACATAATATGTGTATGATTCAATACTATCCATGGTTTCAGGCATTCACTAGGAGTTTTGAAATGTATCCCTCATGGATAAGAAGGAACTACTGTAAATGATAAGTCTCTTCTCTCCTACTGTTTTCAAGATTTACTCTTTGGCTTTGGATTTGAGCCATTTGGTTATGATATGTCTTCGGGTGGTTTCTTTCAGTTTATCCATCTAGAGTACATTGAGCTTATTGTACATGTAGGTTAAATTTTTTATAAAATTTGGTAAGCATTAGACAATTATATCTTCAAATATATTTTCTGTACCTTTCTCTCTCTCTTTTCTTTTTGGAACTTCCATTATGCATATGTTGATATCTTGATGGTGTTCCACAGGTCTATTAGGCTCCATTTATTATTCTTCATTCTTTTCTCTGAGATTTTCCCTAACTGGATAATCTCAATTGACCTATTTTCATGTTCACTAATTTTTTGTACCTCCTCAAATCTGCTGTTTAGCCCTCTAGAGTATTTTTCATTTCCATTATTTTATCTTTCAACTCCAGAATTTCTATTTGGTTTCTTTTTAAAAGAACATTATAAAATAAATAATTTTTTAAAAAAAAATTATTGATAGCCTCTATTTTGTGAGATATCATTCTCATGTTTTTTTTTTTAATTGTCTCTTGTTGATATTCTCTATTTTTGTGAGATATCATTCTCATGTTTCTCTTTAGTTCCTTAGGTGCCGTTTCCTTTAGCTCTTTGAACATATCTAAAATAGTTGATTTAAAGTCTGTTTCTATTAAAGCCAATGTCTGGATCTCCTCGGGATAGATTTCTTTAACTGCATGTTTTCTTTTCCATGTGCCATACTTTCTTGGGTTTTTTCTTTTTGCATGTCTCATACTTTTTTTGAATACCAGACATTTTAAACATGATAATGTGGCCACTCTAGAAATAAGATTCTCCGTCCTCCCCACGTTGTACTCCTCATTGTAGTTATTTGTTTGTTCAGTATCTTTTCTGAATAAACTTTTTGGTCTCTATTTTTTGTCACCTATGTCGATTAAAATATTTTTTCCATTAGCTTAGAGGTCAGCTAATAATTTGACAAAGATTTCCATATGTGTTTGGAACTTGCAGAGGGGCTTTGTGTATGTGTTGGGCCCTGCTTTCAACACTCAGCCACAGAT
Organism: Homo sapiens; assembly: GCF_000001405.40. NCBI lineage: Eukaryota > Metazoa > Chordata > Mammalia > Primates > Hominidae > Homo > Homo sapiens. Next base: position 12,323,414 of record NC_000008.11, on the reverse strand, counting down.
TACAACTCTGCCTTGGCCTACACTTTCTGCTTGTGCAGGGAAGGTAGAAATTTCCCAGGTTTTTACTAAACATGCACACAGCCTTGACATACACAGTTTTGCAAATTCTCAGAAATATGTTGAAGCTTTTCAAAGCCCACATTCCCCAAAGCATCTCATTCCCAGGACTTCCTCTGAAGACTTTTGTTTAGTCTATTGTTTTCCCCAGTGTTCAGGCGGCAGTATTTATAATGTTTTTCTGTAAATGTTTTCTAATACCGCCCCACACCAAGTAGCAGCTTTACCACTGCGTGAGGTCCAGGTTAGGTGAAAAAACAAGGCTTCTGAGAATATATTCCAGGGAGTCAACAGGCAGACCAATTTTTCATGAATGAGGTCCATTCTGTTTCTTCTGGCATTGGTGTTAAGAATCTGGGCATTATTTTCAAGCCTGCTGCTTCTCTGTGAAGAATGGAAACAGGGTAAGTTAAAAACCACAAATCGATGTTCTTACTGAGACCAGATATTTTGCTAGAATTAGTACTCCCTAGATTGCTGAAAACCTTAGGTTAGTTTTCAGAGTTCTAAAAAGCTTTATGTTGACAGTTGTTGCCAGTTTTATCGCATATTTTATAAAGAGATAAAATTTTGAACATTTTTATTCCACTTTTGCTGATGTCACTATACCACAACCTTTTTATTATACTCTTTGTACCGTATAAGTTATTCATTATACTATTATTATTACTTATTAGTCACAACAATTCCCAATATTGAAAATGAAGGACAATAAAATTCTGGCAATTTTATTCAAGAGCATAATGGATTGAACCATGTAAAACTGACATTTTTGAAACTGAAAAAAAAGTTATAGCTACTGTGGCACATTGCATTTTTCAAAAATGCATTTCCAAAAATTGTAGTTTTCTAAAAACATATATTCCATCCCACAAGATCTTTTTATAATGTAACATTGATACTCCTCCACTGAGAGGTGAAGTCTGTGTTCCCTCTGCTTGATCTGAGGCAAACCTTTGTAACTGCCTTAACTAATAAATACAGTGCAGATGATGCTTTCTGACTTCTCAGGCTACATAATAAAAGGTTATATGACTTCTGTTTGTATCTCAGTCTTCAGAACCACTAGTTGAAAGACTGGAAATCTTAGCCAGAGCAATCAGGTAAGAGAAAGAAATAAAAGGCATCCAACTAGAAAGAGAGGAAGTCAAACTATCTCTCTTCGCAGATGATATGACTCTATTATGAGAAAATTCCATAATCTCTGCCCAAAGGCCATAGACCTGATACTCAGTAAAGTTGCAGGATGAAAAATCAATGTATAAAAAATCAATATCATTTCTATACACCAAGCTGTGAGCCACACCAAGAACAAAATTCCATTCATAATAGCTGGAAGAAAAAATAAAAATACCTAGGAATACAGCTAACCAGGAGGATGAAAGATCTCTAAATGAGAATTATAAAACAATGCTGAAAGAAATCAGGGATGACACAAACAAATGAAAAAACATTCTATGCTCATGGATAGGAAGAGTCAATATTCTTAAAATGGCCGTACTGCTCAAAACAATTTACAGATTCAGCGCTGTTCCTATCAAACTATCAATGACATGTTTACAGAGTTAGAAAAAACTATTTTAACATTCATATGAGACCAAAAAAAAAAGAGTCTGATGAGTGAAAGTAATCCTAAGCAAAAAAGAACATCACTGGAGGCATCACATTACCTGACTTCAAACTATATGACAAAGCTGCAGAAACTAAAACAACATGGGACTGGTACAAAAGCAGACACATGGACCATTGCAACAGAATCTCTATTCCAGAGATAAAGATTGCTGTAACACAGAAATAAAGCTGCACACCTACAACCATCTGCTCTTTGACAAAGTTGACAAAAATAAACAATGGGGAAAAGACTCCCTGTTCAATAAATGGGGCGGAGATAGCTGGCTAGCCATATGTAGAAGGATGAAACTGAATGCCTACCTTTCACCATATACAAAAAACTAACTCAAGATGGATTAAAGATTTCAATATAAGACCTCAAACTATAAGAATTCTAGAAGAAAATCTAGGAAACATCATGTTCGACATTGGCCTTGGGAAATAATGCATGACTAAGTCCTCAAAAGCAACTGCAACAAAAACAAAAATTGACAAGTGGAGCCGAATTAACTAAAGAGTTTCTGCAGAGAAAAAAAAAAAAACTGTTAACAGAGTAAACAGCAAACTACAGAATGGGAGAAAATATTTGCAAACCATGCATCTGACAAAAGTCTAATATGCAGAATCTATAAGGAATTTAAATCAACAAGCAAAAACTAAAACCTTTATTTAAAAATTTGGAAAACATGGACACTTCTCAAAAGCAGACATACAGAGAGACACCCAACATATTTTTAAAATGCTCAGTATCACTAATAACTAGAGAAATGCAAATCAAAACCACAATAAGATCCCCTCTCACACCAGTCAGAATAGATATTATTAAAAGTCAAAAAATAACAGACCCTGGTGAGGCTTTGGAGAAAAGGGAATGCTTATACACTGCTAGTGGAAATATAAATTAGTTCAGCTATAGTGGAAAGTAGTCTGAAGATTTCTCAAAACACTTAAAATAAAAGCACTACTTGACACAGCAATCCCATTACTTAGTATATATCTAAAGGAATATCAATTATTCCACCATAAAGATACATGCATTTGTATGTTCATTGCAGCATTATTCACAATAGTAAAGACATGGAATCAACCTAGATGCCCATCAACAGCGGACTAGATAAAGAAAGTGTGGCATATATGCGCCATAGAATACTATGCAGCCATGAAAAGAAAAAATCATGTCCTTTGCAGCAGCACAGATGCAGCTGGAGGCCATTATTCTAACCAAATTAACACAGAAACGGACAGCCAAATACCATACATTCTTACTTAAAAGTGGAAGCTATTGGGAGGCTGAGGCAGGCAGATCACGAGGTCAGGAGATTGAGACCATCCTGGCTAACATGGTGAAACCCTGTCTCTACTAAAAATACAAAAACTTAGCTGTGCGTGGTGGCGCACACCTGTAGTCCCAGCTACTCAGGAGGCTGAGGCAGGAGAATCGCTTGGACCCCGGAGGTGGAGGTTGCAGTGAGCAGAGATCATGCCACTGCCCTCCAGCCTGGGCAACAGAGCAAGACTGTGTCTCAAACAAACAAACAAAAAAAGTGGAAGCTAAACACTGAATACACATGGACACAAAGAAGGGAACAACAGACACTAAGGCCTACCTGGGGTGGAGGGTGGGAGGAGGGTGAGGATTGAAAATCTACCTGTTGAGTAATACGCTGAATACCTGGGAAAATTATCTGTATACTAAACCCCCAGGACACACAATTTATCCGTGTAACAAACCTGCACACGAAACACTTGAATGAGTTACATATACAAGAATGAGGGCATAAAAAAAAAAAGGACTTTACTTAGCACCTTTGTCAAAATCATTAAGCATGGATAAATATATATGGTCTTACCCATATGCAGACCATTCATATGATGGTCGTATCCTTGACTCTCTATTATGTTCTGTTGAACTATATGTCTCTTCTTATTTCAGTATCACAGTGTCTTCGTTATTGTAGCTTTGTCTTGAAACAAGGTAGTCTAAATTCTCTGGCTTTGTTCTACTTTTCAAAAAATCTTTTGAATATTAGTCTTTTGGAACATTTATTCAAACCTAAAATTATTAAGGCATAAATTATTAATGAGGAAATAAATTAGCAAATGCTCATAAATACATCAACTAACATGAAAATGATCAAAAGTAGTCAAATAAAAGCTATATAAAAGTTATATATATATGCATATATAATTTTTCAGAAAAGACTGACACCATATATGAAAGTTTACAAATTTAAAAAAATATCAATTCAAGGAAATATGCCAATAAGGAATTGAACAGAAGGTAAATTTGTTTTGGGTAAGTTGGATGTTGGTCAATTGATTCTTGATTAAAGCATGCTCTTAAGCTTTCAATATTTTGTTGCTATGTGGTGGGTTAGGGTGAAAGGTTAGGGGAATCTCTTTAAGCTGTAGGCTCAGAGTCTTTTGAGAGGAGCTGCGCACTTTACTCTGTCTTTTATCTTTCAACTCTCCTGATCTTGCTTGTCTTGTTGTATGAGATAATTATACAAAGGATCAATAACGATGAAAAAATATTTGTTTTCAATGTGAATTAAATGTATCCACCTTTCGGATGTGATTAAGAACACCTCAGGGCCGGGCGCAGCGGCTCACGCCTTGTAATCCCAGCACTTTGGGAGGCCGAGGTGGGCGGATCACGAGGTCAGGAGATGGAGACCATCCTGGCTAACATGGTGAAACCCCGTCTCTACTAAAAACACAAAAAATTAGCCGGGCGTGGTGGTGGGCGCCTGTAGTTCCAGCTACTGGGGAGGCTGAGGTAGGAGAATGGCGTGAACCTGGGAGGCGGAGCTTGAGTGAGCCGAGATCGCGCCACGGCACTCCAGCCTGCAACCTGGGCGACAGAGCGAGACTCCGTCTCAAAAAAAAAAAAAAAGAACACCTCACACAAGTGACAGCCTTTCTTTTAAGGACTAACTTAGTTAAAAAAATAATAATAAATAAGAAAAACATAGCTTTTCATAAATGCACCTTAGACAATACTCTTGTCCCTCTTGCAAAAAAACAACTACAACAAAAACAAAAACAAAACAAAACAAAAAAAAACAGTGTATTATGGAAATGTTTCCTTACAAGCCCTAGGACTTTTGCAGTAAGGATGTTCTGTACCCACATGGCTTTACTTCTTAGCCCCATTCAAAAAAGAAAATTAACTACAGGTATTAATTAACCTCTGGTGAAATTGAGAGCCATAGGAAAAGGAAAGGGTTAGCCATCTGGTTTCCTATAATTAGGTTAATTTGTCACAAAATTTAGAGACCTTCGAGTTTGGAAGTATTCCAACGGAAGCTGTTTTATGTCCTTTCTGTTAAGCTTCACTGAGCAAGAGGAACCTCAGGCCCCCAGAATTAAATAAAACCCCTGTGTTCCACCAGCCCTGATCACTCACCTCTCTATTGGGCACTCAACCATGAAACTCCATTCCCTTATTTCTGTTCTCCTCCTCTTTGTGACTTTAATACCAAAAGGTAAGATGGTGAATGATTGTAGAAGTCTATTGGGACGCCTAGACCGGAAGAGGTCTACTGAGATAATTATGCTGTGGCCATCCGAACTCAGACCCCAATTCACAGCCTTAGGAATTCAGAAATCCACCATGTTTCTCTTCTTTGGTACTAATGAGGCCACAATTGAGAAGCAGGACAAGGAGTTCTTTCAACAGAAAATGGGGGTTCAAGAGCTCGATAATTAGAAAATGGGGCCGAAATAGAGTTAGGGGTATAGAAGCTCTGATATGTGATTTAAAGGTTAGTAAATAAAGCAAACAGCTATCATCAAGGCTTCACTCTCCAAAAAGGAGAGTGAAGATGATAGTTCTTGATTCCAACTCGGTAGTGGATGGAAGTGATGTTGAGTCTATTGGTGAGGAATATTTGTGAAGGGTAGCAGTTAGGCAAATAAGACAGAGTTCAACAAGAAAATTTTGCATCAAATTATAAAAGACCAATAGAAATTTGGGAACAAGGGAATTGGGAAAAGAATAAACAGTGGCATGAAGCTTTAATGGCAAAATTTTAAGCATAAGACAAATAGTACAGAAAACCCTTCAAGACTCATAGTTGCATCCTTAGGGTCCACGATTCAGAAGTTTAAATATCGAAATGTAGAATCAAACTGAAAAGGGAATATAGAATCAAACATCTTCAGGGTGTTTCATCCAGATCCTGATAAGATATGATAAAATTATTATCTCCACTGTTAATAGTGGGATGTTCATAGCCCCCAAAATAAAGTGTGTGGTCAATGAGCAAAGATCTCTTCCTCCCTTTATCTCTGAGATTATTTTTTAAATAATTTCAACTTATATTGTAGATTCAGGGGGTACATGTGCACGTTTGTTATGTTGGTATATTTTGTGATGTGAGGTTTGGGGCATGATGGTAATCCCATCACTCATGTAGTGAGCATAGTACCAAATAGTTTTTCAATCCTTGTTTTCCTCCCTCCCCACTCTAGTAGTCTCCCATGTCCCATCTTTATGTCCATGAGTATCCAGTGTTTAGCTCCCACTTACAAGTGAGAACATGCAGTATTTGGTTTTCTATTTCTGCATTAATTTGCAGTCCTCCAGCTCATCCATGTTGCTACAAAGTATATGATTTTGTTCCTTTTTATGGCTTCATAGTATTCCATGGTCTATATGTACCACATTTTCTTTATCCAGTCCACCATTGATGAGCACCTGGGTTGATTCTTTGTCTTTACTATTGTGAGTAGTTCTGGGATGAACATAGGAGTGCAGGTATGTTTTGGGTAGAATTATTTGTTTTCTTTTGGACGATATACCCAGTAGGAATTGCTGGGTGGAATGGTAGCTCTGTTTTAAGTTCTTTGAGAAATCTTCAGACTGTTACATTCCCACCAACAGTGTATAAGCACTCCTTTTCTCCACAGCCTCATCTGCGTTTCTGTTATTTTTTAACTTTTTAATAATAGCCATTCTCACTGGTGTAAGATAGTTCTCATTGTGGTTTTGATTTGCATTGCTCTAGTGATTAGTGGTGTTGAGCTACTTTTCATGTTTGCTGGCTGCTTCTATTATCTTTTTTTGAGAAGAGTCTGTTCATGTTTTTCATGTCTTTTCCCCACTTTATTTATTTTTTGCTTGTTGATTTAAATTCCCTGTAGATTCCGGATATTAAATTTTTGTCAGATGCATAGTTAGCAGATATTTTCTCCCATTCTGTTGTTTTCTGTTTACCCTGTTAATAGTTTCTTTTTCTCTGCAGAAGCTCTTTAGTTTAATTCGGCTCTACTTGTCAACTTTTGTTTTTGTTGCAATTGCTTTTGAGTACTTAGTCATAAATTATTCCCCAAGGCCAATATCTACAATGGTGTTTCTTAGATTTTCTTCTAGGAGTCTTATAGTTTGAGGTCTTACATTTAAATATTTAATTCGTCATGAGTTAATTTTTTGTATATGGTGAAAGATAGGCATCCAGTTTTATTCTTCTGCTTGTGGCTGGCCAGCTATCCCAGCACCATTTATTGAACAGGGAGTCCTTTTCCCGTTGTTTATTTTTGTCAACTGTGTCAAAGAGCAGATGGTTATAAATGTGCAGCTTTATTTCTGGGTTCTCTATTCTGTTGAAGTGGTTCATGTGTCTGCTTTTGTACCAGTCCCATGCCATTTTAGTTACTGTGGCCTTATAGTATAATTTGGAGGCAAGTAGGATGATGCCTCCAGTGTTGCTCTTTTTGCTTAGGATTAGTTTGGTTGTCTGAGTTCTTTTATGGTTTCATATGAGTTTTAGAATAGTTTTTTCTATTCTGTGAAAAATGTCATTGGTAGTTTGATAGGAATAGCACTGAATCTATAAATTGCTTTGGGCAGTATGGCCATTTTCACAATATTGGTTCTTGCAATCCACAGCAGGGAATATTTTTCTATTTGTGTTACCTGTGATTGCTTTCAGTAGTGATTTGTAGTGTCACTTGTAGAGATCTTTCACCTCCTTGGTTAAATGTATTCATGGGTATTTAATTTTTTGTGTGGCTGTTGTAAATGGGATTGCATTCTTGACCTGGCTCTCGGGTTGAACATTGTTGGTGTATAGAAAGGCTACTGATCTTGTACATTGATGTTGCATCCTGAAACTTTACTAAAGTTGTCTATCAGGTCCAGGAGGCTTTCAAAGAATCTTTAGAGTTTCTTAAGTGTAGAATAATATCATCTATAAAATGAGGTAATTTGATTTCTTCTTTTCCTATTCGGATGCCTTTTATTTCAAAAGGCTGATTGCTCTGGCTCGTATTTCCAGTACTATGTTGATTAGGATGGTGAGAGGGGGCACTCTTGTTTTGTTCCAGTTCTGAGATTCTTTGAAGTGCAATCAAAGCTACTCAATTGTTTGATCTTTACCTAATCTGTGGACATGTTGAGATCCACCTCACATATGATTGCCTCCTTCTGAAGGAGCTTATGCAATTCTCATTTGGTTCTCAGCTTTGGTCAGAAGATACCATTGAGGTCAGATACACTTGTAGTGACATGTGATGTGAAATTATATGATGGTAATAATTTCAAATTAAAATAAAATTTAGTGGCAGTTGTTTTTATTTTAGATAATAAAACCCATGTACAGATAAAGAATGTGATTTTCCTCCGATCACATAGGTAGTAGCAACATCGCAGCTAAAAGCAAATCTCTTTAATCTGGGTCAATGTTGTTTTTAATCAATCCATAGGTGGAGATATGCATACAAAAACGATAACTCTGATTTCTGCCAGACTTTTTTCTCAGAATCTTCTAATTATATATTGTGGAAACTAAGGAGGTTTTCTACTATATGTGACAACATGGATGAACCTGGAGGACATTATGCTAAATGAAATAAGCCAGTCACAGAAGACAAATAGTGCATGATTGCACTTATATGAGGTACCTAAAATAGTCAAACTCATGGAAACAGGTAGCAGAATGGTGCTTTCCAGGGACTGGGGAGGGAGGAGGAAATAGGGAGTTGCTATTTAATGAGTAAAAGTTTTCAGTTTTATTAGATGAATAAGCTCTAAATATCAACTGTACAATATTATATCTATAGCACTTAAAAATTTCTTAAGAATGTAGATCTCACTTTAAGTGTTACGACCACAATAAAATAAAAGATGAAGAACAAGAGGTTATTTGAGGTTGAAAGCTGAGTTAATCTCCCCACAAATACGACAAGAATCCTTCAGAGGCCTGCCTTTCAAGCCGTGACATCTTCCTGGAGGAATAGAAATATCAGCCCTTCTTTCTTCCTTCCAAATCAGCTATACCAGGAAGAAGGATTAAACAAAGGTCCTATAATTCTGCACAGGAGGGAATCACTTTTGAATAGCCAGGTTTCTTGTGATCAGAGGATATTAAAACCATACATAAAGGTCAAAATACCTTAGTTGTGCATATTGAGATGTTCTTGGACACATTATGAAGTGGGACCCAGAACACTCAGGTCGAAAAATAGGAATTTCAATATCAGTTTTGTATGGTCTCTTAGTACTGAATAGTTAATTGCTGAGCTGTCTATACAATTTAATAACACTGCACTCCAAAAATTCTGATCTTAATCTCTGCTGTGACTGTTGGGCATGTAGAATTTATCAGGTGTCTAGAAGCATTCTGATAATCTTAGAAATTTTATAACTCCTATATAACTTTTATGTCATAAAATTTCTTTTAAGAAAAATTGAGTGGCTAGATCATGAAGAGTTTTGTTAAAGACATTTTTACACCAAAAAAATCCAATTAAGTAAAAAAAGTTATTGTTTTCATGAAAAAATTTCTCCAAAGAAACTACCTAATCTGAAATATTAGTTTATCAGCTTAATGTCTGATGAATATTAAGTTATAGCTACTTGAATATATGTTTTTATATATCCTTATATTTAATCCAAAAAGAATCCATGGTATCCTATAAAAAATTGGAATAGTTCATATAGATTTATATGTACACATAAACATACATATATATGCTGGGAATATGAGTCTAAAGAGGTTAGAATGGCATAAATCTTGGATTGCTGCATTAGCTCTCTGAGAATTAAGAAAATTATAGCATTCTTCTTACACTGACTGTGGAGAATAACATAATATCTAAATACACGACATTGGACAGGAGCAGAAGACAGCCTGAACTCACATTATGTAGAGAAAAGGAAACTGCACTTCTATTTTTTGATTGATAAAGTTCCAGGCAGATCCTGTTCCATTTAAATCCTCTACATCATCCAAAAAAAAAAAAAAACTTAAAAGTTACTGACTCAATGAGTTCTAATGCTAAGAAAGTTATATCCTTTTAGAAAGTAGATGAATGCGCTATTAAGGGTATTTTCCAGTGTGATTCTAAGTCCTTCTCACTGCATCCACAGAAATTAATGTTGTGATATAATATGAAGTGAACATCTAAATTGTTTCTTTTTCCAAAGGCACTTATTAAATATGCATCCTTTCCTCAACTGCCGTGTGATATAACCATTATAACATATTAATGTCAAATAAATTCTAAAGTGTATTAGAGAGTGCCTCTCTTCTTTTGCTCTATATGTATATACTTCTGTCAGTAAGTCTGAAAATAAATGTGAATATCTGGGAAGAAATTTCCTTCCTCATGAATGAAGAATATGAATCTGAATCTGAATTAAGTAATTTAATCTTATCTTTTTGAGTTAAACTAGTGCCCTCGGCATGACGATATGTCACAGTCATCGGTAAAAAGGGAGATTATAATTCTTTGGCTTCATGCTCAAAGCATACCTCCTTAAATTAAGCTTCCCATGTAGCAAGAAGCACATCACTGGTAGGATGAATTGTTCCACTCCTTTTGAGTGAAGCAAGGGACATCTCCCAAATAGAGGAATTGGCACTGTCTTAGGCTACATGCTGTGTCAGTAGGCTGAACTTTACCGTATAGTGGGTTATGCATCCTGCTGAGAGGAAGTTCACTCTTTTGGCTTCAGCTGAAGATTCACATTCCACCTCATTTTGCATGGGATGCCTCTAAGTTCACACACATAGGCCTCCTTGATACCATACTCTGCCTCTGACTATATCTTTCCCAGTACTAACACCCCCTGATTTTAGCTTCATTTAAAAAGTCTGACAGTGTTGCCAGATGTTAAATGTATGGATGAAGTTATCAGGGAAAAGACCAACAGCTAGCAACAGGTCTGCTATGCTTCTGAGCATGAAGCCTGTGTTCTGTGTAGACAATGCAGTTGAACCAGCACCTTCCACAACTGGCTGGGGAGACTTCAGGTCTCTCTCTGAAAGTCAGCCACTTTCTCTTCCACAATAGTCTTGGAAAAAAGAGAGAATATTACAAGATATTGCCCAACTCCCCCATCATGATATTCTCTTGTGCACAGAAACCCTGAGTTTATGAACTGCTAGTCTGATAGTAGAGTATAATACCAGACTGCACTAGGTTGAAGCTTCTAACAAGAGTGGAAGACAATCTTGCATAGGTTATGAGCACTCAGTTCCAAAAGGTTGCATTGGTTTTTCTGGCTATGGATCTATTTCTACAGAGTAGAGAAACAATAATGATAGCCTAGTTTAAATACAAAACAATAACAAACAACAACAAAAAGATTGAGAGCTGAAACGGCCACCAAACTGTTACTCATCTACAGAAGCAAAGAAGCCAGAGGTAGTATATTAGAGGCCAGTAAAAACAAAATAAGATCCAGGTGTGTTAACAGGATGGTTCAGGAACTAATGTCTGTTAATGAACATCAGCAAAAGTGTTTTTCTTATATAACATCTGCAGTGATATACAGTAGGAAAAATAAACTATGGTTGTGCTGAGAAGGCAAGAGAAAGGATAGTAAGCATAGAGAAAACTACTGAATTAGAGCACACCCTTAGCCATATGCTTCTCAAAAACCAGATGAATTAAGAGAACATGTGGATACACTTAAGGGAAAATACCTTTTAGCTCTGTGAGTAATTCTCTGCAGGTGTCTGTCTGTCTATCTATCTATCTATCTATCTATCTATCCATTCCTCCACCTATCTATGAGGTATTGAGCAACATAGGAAAGGTATTTCTTACATACTTCTGAAATGAGGAAATTAGTTTAGATAAAATCTCAAGGATTGATAGGCTTTCTATGAAAGGAGATGAAGATATGCACATGAACCATTTGATAGGGATGATGTATGCACAGATGGGTATTTGGAGGGACACATACTTCCTTTGAAACTGTTTCTTAGTGGTGGCATTGTTGGTGTTTGGTGCAAGACAATTCCTTAGGTGAAAAATTTAGCAATGCTGTGCTATCTGCTAAATACCAAAGACACCTTCCCTAGGCATGGTGGCAAGAACAAATGGTCCCACACATTTCAAAATGTACTGCAATAGGGGAGGACAATCCCTTTAAAGGATTTTAGAAATTGGCCTATTTCCTCCAAGGTGTATATAATCTACAATCTTAGCTCCCTTCCCATAAAAAGGCGCTGTTTCTGTCTGCGGGTCTGATCCTTTCATATAGACAATGTTTTCTTTCCTATCCCAAAGCCATTCTTCTGGGGGTTTATTGTTTTATGTATATTTTCAATAGTGAATTAATGATGTTCTTAAATTTCTTCCTGTGTAGGAAAGACTGGCGTTATTCCAGGACAAAAACAGTGTATTGCTTTGAAAGGGGTGTGCAGAGACAAACTATGCAGCACACTAGATGATACCATTGGTATATGTAATGAAGGAAAAAAATGTTGTAGAAGGTGGTGGATACTTGAGCCCTATCCAACTCCGGTTCCCAAAGGAAAATCTCCTTAGGTGGGAGCAAACGTTAAGCCCTTTGAACTCCAGAATGGATGGATAAATTTTGCAGACTCCTGCTTAACCCAATTCCTTATTCTTCCTTGACTGGAAATAAATGTTGTCCTAATCCCATGTGTACTGACTGCCTCCTGGAGCATTTCTTCTTGATGCACATGCAAGCCTCTTAAGAACTATAGGAATAAAATAAATAACAGAAGAATCTCATACCCTATAGGTACTTATAAAAAAATGTTTCTAAGAAAAAAAAGATAAAAATATTAAATACGTAAAACAATAAGAATATGAAGTATCAGTAGGCAGTGTTTGATTATTTGAAGTGCAATGTCAGTCTGCTTCCTCATCCAGTTCTGAACAAATATCATTTTCATTACTAATAGAGACCTACTTAGATAATATGGGTTAAAGCCTGCTAATCATGTGACCTTGCTAACATTGCACCTGAGAATTAGGCGCATGACCATTCCAGTCATACCAGCACTTGAAGCAGATCTCCCCTCTGCTGCCCCCTGCCCCTAGAGAAGTAGAAAAGAAGACCCGCTTTCTACAAGTAGGCTCACTAGGAGGAGCTGTAGAGCTGAAGAGTGGCTAACTTATCATGCCTGGTTCTTTCCAAACTCTCCATCAGATAAGTCCATTTCCTGGGGCCAAGAAAATTAAAGGGCAGGGAGGATACCAGGAGTATGACATGGCATGAGTGTCACAAAGATGGAAAACATCTAGAATGAGGCCAAATTACCTCACAAACAAAATTCAAGGGTTTGTATTTTTTTAACCACAGAGCTTATGGTCAATGAATCAGGGGAGGATGGGTTATCTCCCTATGCAGAGGAGATGTCAGGAGTCTATTAAAATAACTCAAATCTCATCTTCATGGATCTGTTTCTTCAATACTAGTCATTAATTTTTCTATATCTTCTCAGAATCACTCATGAACGGCATGTTACTCTGAGATCAGATTCTAAGCTAATCTCAGAATAATACACTAATACAATTTTTACCATATACATTTTACACATAGCTGAAAATTTACATCCTCTCTTCTTTGCCATCTTAAGTTATGTGCCACTACATTATCCAGTGTAGCACATTAGAGATTCTTTGATAATTAAATGACATTAAGAGACTTTAAAAGTCATAAATACCCTCCTATATTAAAATGCTAAAAAAGAAAAACTTCCCACATTTGAATATAAACAAGTGTTCTTATAAAATTTCTAGGCATAAATTGAAGTTCAAAGATTGAATCTCTTCTATCTCTATGTTAAAGCCCAAAGACATTAGAATCCAAATGAATTACTGCCTGAAATTATCTTCCCCTTGTTAAGTCCAAATTTTTCTATTAAATGTAAGCAAAAAAAAAAAAAAAAAAAGTCATCACCCATTTCTTATTCTCCGTCTTAGTGAAATAGTGAAAGTTTCTTCAGAGACTTGACATTGAATTAATATAACATCTCAACTCACTGAAGCAAAAAGAACTTTTTTTTTTGAGACGGAGTCTTGCTCTGTCACCCAGGCTGGAGTGCAGTGGCGCGATCTCAGCTCATTGCAAGCTCCGCCTCCCGGATTCCCGCTATTCTCCAGCCTTAGCCTCCCAAGTAGCTGGGACTACAGGCGCCCGCCACCACGCCTGGCTAATTTTTTGTATTTTTAGTAGAGACGGGGTTTCACCGTGTTAGCCAGGATGGTCTCGATCTCCTGACCTCGTGATCTGCCCGCCTCGGCCTCCCAAAGTGCTGGGATTACAGGAGTGAGCCACCGTGCCTGGACAGAACGTTCTTTATATCTGGGCAAGAAGAAAAAACAGGTAAGGGAAATGAAAAACATAAGGAACAAACAGAATCAGTCCAGAAAGTCTAATTTCTTTTTTTTTTAAGTGAAAGTTTATTAAGAAAGTAAAGGAATAAAAGAATGGGTATTCCATAGGCAGAGGAGCCTCTAATTTCTAATTCTGATTGTTTTTCTTAATTTTCTTTCGGATAATACTCTCGATTTTACCATACAGTATTGGCCATTTACTAAAGAAGTTCAGTGACAGATAATACAATATAAAGTAGAGCAATGTGTCTGATCTCCAGCACTGTCAACATTTTGAGAAGAACAATTTTTTTTTTTTTTTTTTTTTTGCTGTGGGGAGCTTTCCTGTATATTGTAGGATGTTTAGCAGCCTCTCTTGCCTCTAAAACATTTCTCCCACCTGTGACCAAAAAATAAATAACTAAACAAACAAACAAATAAAAATCTCTAACATTACTAAAAGTCCTCTGAGGGCAACATTGTCCCTAGTTGAAAACCACTATAGTAAAGAAATTATCAGTTAAAGGTGAAAGTAAATAGGAGTTAGAAAATTCAATCAAGTAGAGATCTTTGCCTGTAAACTTTCAAAAAGTAGGACAGCTTCACATATAAAATAATAGATAAGAAAAGTCTTCTGACAATCCAAAGATGAATTATATCTCTTTATCTGAAACATATAGATCTAGAGATAACCCCTTTGGTTTTTTTACTGCTGTGCTAGTTGTTATAAATACCTGACCATATCTTAACCATTGAGATTTTAGGGCAATATTGCTCTGATATCTCATCCAGAGGTGCAGAAATCCACGTTTTAGGGACATTTAAAAGATTTCTGGGAAAAGGCTGTCTGTGCCTTTTGATAATAAGACTGGGTGAATTACATGCAATCTGTTGGAGTACTTGACTATATCTTCTGGAGAAGGCCATGTTTACTGTATACAATGATATGATTCTGTGCATGGAACATATTATATTGATACTAATTTATGAGGGCATAGTTGATAAACCCCAAAGGAATTAATTTTACTGTTATATAAAGGCAAAGGCAGGCCGGACGCAGTGGCTCACACCTGTAATCCCAACACTTTGGGAGGCTGAGGTCAGGAGTTCAAGACCAGCCTGGCCAACATGGCAAAACCTCGTCTCTACTAAAAATACAAAAATTAGCCAGGCATGATGGTGGGTGCCCGTAATCCCAGCTACTAAAGAAGCTGAGGCAGGAGAACTGCTTGAACCCAGGAGGCAGAGGTTGCAGTGAGCCGAGATTGTGCCACTGCACTCGAGCCTGGGCGACAGAGCGAGACTCCTTCTCAAAAAAAAAAAAAAAAAAAAAAGACAAAGGCAATACTATATATCATGAAAGCTTGAGATACTCTGAGACCTTTGCCAGTTGTACATTTAGAAGTTCGTTTTGTTCTTTCTATCTTTCTGGAAAATTTGATATGATCGAGACAATAGAGTTTCTGAATAAATGGCAAGTCACAAAAATACTAGAAAATAGTCCAAGTAAAATGGATTTTATTATCACTAGAAAAAGATTGCAATTTCCATATTCAAAATACAAAATAAAATATTTTTGCTGCTGTAAGAACAATAGCTCATATAACCTTGAAAGGTTTTTATATTAGATGTAAAGTAGTATGACACCCAATGATAGACTGTGGTGTAAAGAGCAATACTATGAACACTAAAGCAACTCTTAAATAACACAACAGTTTAATAAGAAAAAAAATGACTAATTACAATGACCCATCTACTTGAAAAAAAGAAGAAAAAGAAATCAAAGAACAAATGAAGCAGAACATCTGTAAGATGGCTAAGTAGAAGATCCCCAGCCTTCGTCCACCCACAGAACACTGATTTGGCAACCATCCATGGATAAAATATCTTTGTGGTAACATCAGGACCCAGTCAGGAGTTCATGACAACCCACTAGAGCCCAAGACCAAGGAAAACTGCTTTGAGAAGGCAGGCCCATGTCCCTGGGAGTAGGCTCACCAATCATAGACCTGGCCATGAACACAGAAACACCGCCATCTGCCTGTGGACCCTGCTGCAGCCCGGCTCACAGGTGGTTCCAGATGCAGCCTCAAAAGTCATTCCCAAAAGTCATTCAGGAGCAGGTTGTTTAATTTCCATGTAATTGTATGGTTTTTAGTGATTTTCCTAATATTTGTCTCTATTTTTATTGGGATATAGTCAGAGAGTGTGGTTGGTATAATTTCGAGTTTTTTGAATTTGCTGATTATTGTTTTATGGCCAATCACATGGTTGATTTTAGAGTGTGTACCATGTGCACATGAGAAGAATGTGTATCCTGTTGTTGGGTGGACTGTTCTGTAGATGTCTTTTAGGTCCATTTGGTCAAGTGTTGAGTTAAGGCCTAAATATCTTTGTTAGTTTTCTCTCTCAATGATCTGTCGAATGCTGTCAGTGAGGTGTTGAAGTCTCCCACTACTACTGTGTGGTTATCTAAGTCTTTTTGTAGGTCCCTAATAACTTGTTTTATGAATTGCGCACACTTGTCTTGGGTGCATATATATTTAAGATAGCTAAGTCTTCTTGTTGAATTGAACCCTTTACCATTATGTAATGCCCTTCTTTGTCTATCTCTATCTTTGTTGGCTTAAAGTCTGTTTCGTCTGAAATTAGAATGGCAACCCCTGCTTTTTTGTTTCTCATTTGCTTGGCAGATCTTTCTTTGAGCCTTTACTTTGAACCTATGAGTGATGGGTCTCACATGCAATGACACTGAAGACAGCATACATTTGGGGCTTGCTTCTTTATCCAACTTGCCACTTTGTGCCTTTTAAGTAGGGCATTTAGTCCATTTATGTTCAAGGTTAATATTGCTATGTGTGGAGTTGATCTTGTTATTGTGTTGTTAGCTGGTTATTATGCAGACTTCATTGTGTGTTGCTCTATAGTGTCACTATCTATGTAATTAATTGTGTTTTGTGGTGGTTGGTACTCTTTCATTTCCATATTTAGTACTCCCTTAAGGACCTCTGGTAAGGCATGTCTGATGGTAACAAATTTCCTTAGCATTTGCTTTTCTGAAAACGATTTTATTTCTCCTTTACTTGTAAAGTTTAGTTTAGATGGATATAAAATTCTTGGTTGGGATTTCTTGTCTTTAAGAATGCTGAATGTAGGCCCACAATCTCTTCTGGCTTATAGAGTTTCAGCTTAACAGTCCACGGTTAGCCTGATGGGATTCCCTTTGTGGGTTTCCTGCTTCTTTTCTCTAGCTGCCTTTAATACTTTTTCTAGGGGATGGTTGTCTTGTGTAGTATCTTGCAGGCATTCTCTGCATTTCCTAAATTTGAATCAACCTCTCTAGTGAGGTTGGGGAAGTTTTTATGGAAGATATCTTCAAATATGTTTCCCAAGTTGTTTGCTTTCTCTCCTGCTCTTTCAGGGATGCCAGTGAGTCATATATCTGGTCGCTTTACATAATTCCCTATTTCTCAGAGGTTTGTTCATTTTTTTGAGTTCTTTTTTCTTTATTTTTGTCTAACTGAACGAGTCTTCAATCTCTGAGATTCTTCCCTCAGCATGGCCTATTTTTTTATTAGTATTATACTTTAAGTTCTAGGGTACATGTGCACACGTGCAGGTTTGTTACATATGCACACATGTGCCATGCTGGTGTGCTGCACCCATTAACTCGTAATTTACACTAGGTATATCTCCTAATGCTATCCCTCCCCCCTCCCACTACCCCATGACAGGCCTCAGTGTGTGATGTTCCCCTTCCTGTGTCCAAGTGTTCTCATTGTTCGATTCTCACCTATGAGTGAGAACATGCGGTGTTTGGTTTTCTGTCCTTGGGATCGTTTGCTGAGAATGACGGTTTCCAGCTTCATCCATGTCCCTACAAACAACATGGAGTCATCCTTTTCTTATGGCTGCATACTATTCCGTGGTATATGTGTGCCACCTTTTCTTAATCCAGTCTATCACTGATGGGCATTTGGGTTGGTTCCAAGTCTTGCTATTGTGAATAGTGCTGCAATAAACATACGTGTGTATCAGCATGCCCTGTTTTGCTGTTAATACTTGTGATTGTATTATTAAATTCTCATAGACAGTTTTTCATATCTATCAGATCAGTTTTGTTCTTTCTTAAAAGGGCTATTTTGTCTTTCAACTCATATCATTTGATTAGATTCCTTAGATTCCTTGAATTTGGTTTCAACTTGCTCCTGAATCTCGATGATCTTCATTCCTATCTTGATTCTAAATTATATGTCTGTCATTTCAGCACAGTTAAGAACCATTGCTGAGGAACTACTGCAGTCCCTTGAAGGTGAGAAGACACTCTGGCTGTTTGAGTTGCCAGAGTTCTTGTGCTGCTTCTTTTTAATCTGTGTAGACTGATGTTTCTTTAATCTTTGGTGTTCTTGTCTGTATTAATCTGTTCCCAAGCTGATAATAAAGACATACCAGAGAATGAGTAATTTATAAGGAAAAAGGTTTAATTTGCTCACAATTCCACATTGTTAGGCTGGGGAGGCCTAACAATCATCGCAAATGAGGAGCAAAATTACGTCTTACGTGGTGTCAGGCAAGAGAGTTTGTGCAGGGGAATTCCCGTTTATAAAATCATCAGATCTCATGAGAGCTCACTCATGGGGGAACCACCCCCATGATTAAGTTATCTCCATCTGGTCCTGCCCTTGACACATGGGGATTTATTCAAGGTGACATTTGGGTGGGGACACAGAGCCAAACCGTATCACTGTCCTTTGGATGGGGTTTTCGCTCTTATATTCTTTGACATCTTTGACGGTTTGATTGTGGAATAAAGTGGGTTCCGTTGACTGGTGTCATTTCTGGGAAACTTCTGGGGGCCAAGGCTCAGCTCATTACTCCTGGGCTGTGTGCCCTAATCCTGGGAAGCTGGTACCAGGCTCCTGGCTTTTTTCTCTTGTCCCTTGAGGTGAGAAACCTGCTGCACTTGACATTGGACATTTTAAGTTCTAACTTAAGTTCTAACCGCAAAAGCACAGACAATGCATTCAAAAATAGACAAATTCGATTATAATCAAAATAAAAAGCTTATGCACACCAAAGAAAACAATTAAAGAGACAATCTGCAGATTGGGAGAAAATATTTGCAAGCCATACATCTGCTAAGGGGTTAACAGACAAAATTTATAAGGAACTCAACAACTCTACAGAAAGAAAACAAATAGTCCAATTAAAAAATGGGCACAGGAGGTGAATAGACATTTCTCAAAAGAAGACATACAAATGACCAATAAACTTGTGAAAAACTGTTCAACATCACTAATCATTAAGGAAATGGAAATTACAACCAGAATGAGATATCAGCTCACACCTGCTAGAATGGCTACTACCAAAAAGAGGAAATGTAACAGGTGTTGGAGAGTATGTGTAGAAAAGGGAACACTTGCACACTGTTGTAGGAATGTAAATTACTGTAGCCATTATGGAAAACTTATAAGTTTCTCAACAAAAATAAAAATAAAATTGCCTATGACCTAGGAATCTCACGGCTGGGTATTTACTGAAAAGACTTGAAATTTGTATATTGAAGAGATGTCTGCATTTCCATGTTCATTGCAGCACTTTTTGCAATAGTCAAGTTTTGGAATCAACCTAAGTGTCTATCAACAGATAAATGGATAAAGAAAATATAGTATATATACAGAGTAGAATACTATTCTACCTTAAAGAAAAGAAACTTTTTTATTTGCAGCAACAAAGTTGGAATTGGAGAACTTTATGCTAAGTGAAATAAGTCTGGCACACAAAGACAAATATTACATGTTTCACTTATTTGTGGAATCTAAAACAGTCAAACTCAAATAAGCAGAGAGTAGAACAGTGGTTACCAGAGGCTGGGGATGGTAAAGGGATGAGGATATCATGGTCAAACAGTACAAAGCCTCAACTGGACAAGAGAATTAGGTTTCTTTAAGATATACTGCACAGCATGGTGAATATAGTAAAAAATGTATTATACATTTCGAAATTGCCAAGAGAATACATTTCAACCATTCTCAAGACAAAAAAATCATGATTTTAGGTGATTGGTGTGTTAATTACCATGATCTAACTTTTCCACATTGAATTCATAAATCATAACATCACTTTGTACCCAATAAATAAGACAACTATAATTTATCAATTTGTAATTAATAATTTGTTAATAAATATGATAACAGGCAAAAGATTTGAGTACTCATTTCACCAAAGAAAATATGTGAATGGGCATAAACACATGAAAAGATTATCAGAATCATTAGTCATTAGTGAAATGCAAATTAAAACCACAATGAGAAGCCACTTAACACACACTAGAATAACTATAATAAAAATGACCAGTGATAAAATATGTCCGTGAAGATGTGGCTAAATGAGGTCCCTTTACAATGCTGATGGAAATATAAAATAGTATCACCGCTTTGGAAAATAGTTTGGCCTTTTCTTAAAACTGATAAATATGAATATATCATACAATTTAATGATGCTATTCTTAGGTTTCTATCCCATATATTAGTATATGGATAAACAAAATTTACTATATCTATATGGAGAAATACTATTTCATAATAAAAAAGAACAAATACTAATAGATGATACATCATGGATGAACTTCCACAACATTATGCTGCATGAAAAAAGCCAGTGGATGAGTTTATATATAACCCCCACACTCCCAGTCTTCAGATTAAAATGTAGCCCCAGCTGACAGCTTTTGTCTGCAACCTCAACACAGACCTTTAGCCAAAAGCACCCAGTTAAGCCTCATCCCACAGAAACTTGTGATAATCAGTTTGTTGTTTTAAGCCACTACATTTTGGAATACCTTGTTATGCAACAATAACTAATACACTACCCCTGTGAAATTTCTATATTGTGCTTATTCTCTTTCATAAAATGTGTTGACTAACCACCTAGATCAATCTGTAATCTCAATTATTCTTAAGAAATAGGAATTATCACACTTTGGGAGGCCGAGGCGGGTGGATCACGAGATCAGGAGATCGAGACCATCCTGGCTAACAGGAGGAAACCCCCATCTCTAATAAAAAATACAAAAAAAAAAATTAGCCGGGAGTGGTGGCGGGCGCCTGTAGTCCCAGGTACTCAGGAGGCTGAGGCAGGAGAATGGCGTGAACCTGGGAGGCGGAGCTTGAAGTGGGTCGAGATCGCGCCACTGCACTCCAGCCTGGGAGACAGAGCAAGACTGCGTCTCAAAAAAACAAAAAAGGAAATAGGAATCATCTGTTTCTTCAGGATTGTACATAAAATCTTGCTAGTTCTAGCTCCTTTTGGTTGTAAAAGGATAGAACATTGACCACTTGTAAGTTTGTTTTGGTCAATATTATTCATTCGTATTTCCCTAAAAGTGTCCATTTCATTCACATATTCAGCATAGAGGGTTTAAAGGATTCTATCATGATATCAAAACACTTCTCTATCTGTAGTTTATGTTCCTTTTCTTCCCTGTATTATTTTTTTTCTCTTTTTCTCATGATCTTTTCCTAAGACTCATCTAATATATGAATCTTCCCATAAACTATCTAGTGGTCTTACTAAATAACTCTACAATGTTTCTTGCTTTGTTTTGTTTCTTATTTATGTGTGATATTATTTTTGTTTATTGCCTCCTATTTTGTTTCAGGTTTTTCTTCTTTTTATTTTGTTATTTATTTCGATTCTTCAGTTGAGCAGTACGCTGCTTTCATACTTTCATGAATTCTAGTAAATATCTTGAAGATCATAAATGACGGTTTTTATACCACTTTGGCTGCATTCCACAGGATTTCATTTATAGTGCTTTCCGTTTTTTCAGATCTAATTATTTTGTATTCATTTTTATGAATGCCTTAGCCCAAGTGTTATGTAGGAATGTGTTGTGTTTTAATATCTCTGTGTATGAATTTGGGAATATACCTTATTGTTATTGATTTCTGATATTAGCAACTTGCTGCAGGGAGCATGGCCTTTTTGATATCAATTTTATTTTAGAATTTATTCAATAATCATGGAAAGCCTCTCTGAGACGGTGACACAGGAACAAAGCCTGAATGAAATAGGGGGACAGAGTTTCCATAGAAATATCTTAGAAAAGAATAATCCTTGCAATGGTAATAGTAAAAACAGAGGCTATGAGGTAGAAATGAGTTTGAAATGTTTATGGAAGAGCAAGAAAACTAATACGTGTGGAACAGAGTGAAAAGAGGGAACAGTAGCAGGAAAAAAAAGATCGGAGAAATATTCAGCAACCAAATCAGGTAGGACATTGTGTGCCATGTAAACAGACTGGATTTATTCTATGTAGTTTTTTTAAAAAAACGTAATTAGATTTTCAATAAGGAAATAATTTGATTTAATTTGCATTTTAGAAACATATCTCTGGTGTCTGAACATAAATTAGAGTATGCAAAGCTCTGGTAAAAACATAAAGACAAGTTAGAGGGCTCTCTCCAGAGACACCAGTGACTTGGACAATGATGCAATGACAGAGGAAGTGTACAAAGGTTGGATTTAAGACACATTTTAGGCCGGGCCCAGTAGCTCACACCCATAATCCCAGCACTTTTGGAGGCCAAGGCAGGCGGATCATCTGAGGACAGGAGTTAGAGAACAGCCTAACCAACATGGCAAAACCCCATCTCTACAAAAACAAATACAAAAATTAGCTGAGAATTTGTAGCTAGCACCTGTAATCCCAGTTACTCGGGAGGCTGAGACACAAGAATCACTTGAACCTGGGAAGCAGAGGTTGCAGTGAGCAGAGATCGCACCATTGCACTCCAGCCTGGGTGACAGAGTGAAACTCTGTCTCAAAAATTTTTAAAAATAAAAAATAAAAGAGATATTTTAAAGATAGAACTGGGCTTGCTAATGGGTTGTAATTATGAAATGAGAGAATCAAAGGTATGCTCAGAGTTTTTGTTCGTTTTTGTTTTTTAACCTAAACAACTAGGTACATGAGCCCATCATGGAGAGAGCAAGACTAAAGGCAGTGTGAGTATTAACAGAGAAAGTGGTATGAATCAAAAATTCATTTTGGAATTCTTGAGTTGCTTATTAGACATCCAAAAGTAGATGTCAAGTAAATAGTTGAATTTTTTTATTCTGAAGCTTATAGGGAACATCCAGGCTAGAGCTAATACTTCATTTACACAGAGAGAGACAGCAACCTTGTGCCAATATGCTTCTCATAGCTATGAAGAGAATCTATCTATAGACTTGATCAACTCAAGTGCAGAAAGAGAAAAAAAAACTGCCTCCTAACAACTGATGGAGTGATTTGACTCATTTCGTTTGACCTTATGTCTATCATTTATTTTTACCTTATTTTCTATCTTTTTCTCTTATTTTGCTAGTTGAACAAAGTTATTATCCATTTTTTACCTCTACTGGAAAATAGTCTATACTAAGATTCTCCTTTCAATTAACAACGTATTGAAGTAAAGGTTTCACTCGCTCCACATAAGTTAAGCACACCTGCAACTCCAGCAGCCACTTGGGTCAGGAGACCTAGCCAGAAATTGATTTGGAAATAGTAGAGAAGCCCCTTGGGACAATCTCATAACATTTACGTAGTGAAAGTAGAAACACAAAACAATGCCCAACAATGAAAAGATGATTACATAAATATATTATGAAATATCCATAAGATGGAATATTATGTAGAAAGTAAAAATTACTGTTTAGGAGTATTTGAAAATAGTATAGGAAAATATTTACATTAAAGTAATACTTATTAAATAAATAAAGCTACAGGTGAATCACAAGAATAAGAGAGAGAAATTTAATGGAAAGTAAATAAACTAAAATAGTAATGATCTTTTTAGTGATCAAGTAATGTGTTATATCTATTATCATGATAATCATTTTTTCCAATTTTACATGAAATAATCTTTAGAAATCAATAAAAATAAAATATACATATAGGATATAGGCATACCTGTGTTTGTCTACTCTTAGAGAAAAACTTGTGAGTGATTTAACAAAAGTGTATTCAATGGAAAGCTGAGGGAAAATGTCAGCCACGTGTGGGGTAAGAAGTGAATGAAAGATAACATGGAAATGAAGCGTAGAGACTATGATTTTCCTGAGGGGGAAAGGGAGAAGCTAGGGCATTCATTAAAAAAACAAACTAAATACAGGAAAGACAATTTTGTGTTTTGTTTTTAACATGGCAGGAACTTGAGGATATTGACAGACTTCAAGTAAGGAAAACAATAGATGTAGAAAGCGGGCAGCGCCGGGCACGCAGCTCACTGCTGTAATCCCAGCACTTTGGGAGGCAGAGGCAGGCAGACCACTTGAGGCCAAGAGTTCAAGACCAGCCTGGCCGACATGGTGAAACTTCATCTCTACCAAAAATACAAAAATTAGCTGGGTGTGGTGGCACACACCTGTAATCCCAGCTACACGGGAGGCTGGCAGGAGATTCACTTGAACCTGGAGGTGGAGGTTGCAGTGAGCTGAGATCACGCCTCTGCCCTCCAGCCTGGGCAACAGAGTGAGACTCTGTCTCAAATAAATAAGTAAATAAGAAAAAGAAAACCGGCATTAACAAGAAGAAAAACAGATAATTAATGCATCAAAGTCCCCAAAGCTGTCAGTACTGCTGAAGGCAGGGTAGGAAAGTAAACAGTGAATACTTGATTATAAATTGTTTATTGAAAATCTGGTGCCTTCCTGGAGAGTTATGTGCAATAAAACGCTATAATTTCTAGGTCAAATTTAATTATCTAATGGTAAATTGCCTTCTTTCTTCTTCTACTGTGACAGCTTATATTTGATAGGTTGATAGCTATCTGATTTTCTTTTTGGTGTTCTTTTAAGGAAAGTCATTGGTCAGAGCACTTGATCTTTCTTTGCTGAAGCCCTCTGCAATCTAAGCCATCTTTCAATGCTCATCTGGTACCTACTGGTCCACCCCCAGCATGCAATGAACCTTCCTCTGACCCTTCTTTGATATCCCTGATTGCTAGCCCATGGATTACACAATGTTCTTGGGCTTCCTGGGCAGGATTCCAAGCCTGCCTCCTGACTCCAAATCTCTTAGGTTGGTGCAAACGTAATTGGGATTTTTGCCATTGAAAGAAATGGCAAAAACCACAATTATGTTTGCACCAACCTACATCAGGCTGGCAAACAAATGTTCATAGAAAATATCAAGCAGTGAAAATTATGCCCTTAGTGTTCCATAAAGGATTTCAGTTATTTGTTCTCATAAATTGTATTGCTTTGCAGTGTAAACTGTACTTCCAAAGCTTTTCCTCGTGATCAAGAAAGAAATAATTCTCAGAGAGGTGAGAAAAATCAGTAAATTCTGGATACTTGATCAGAGATACTAATGATCCTAGGCCATTCTGGCTTCAGTAAATGGAACAGTCAGCAATAACCAGCACAATGACCCTAAGATCCCCCTTTGAGTTATCTAGGGTGCTGGCAGAGGCTTGTGCCCAGGCACCGCTGCCCCAGCAACTCAGGAGGAAGGACCTGAATGGAGGTTTAGGAAAAAACATCCCCAGAGCTTTCATGCCCCTCACTGGCCCTCCTTAGGCTAAGACTTGGGAAGTTTGCCTCTTCCAAGACCTCCCCATCCCTGACTCAAGATTTCACTTTCAAAGTCTCTAAAGGCAGGAAGGACCTGCTGAAATAATATAATCAGGTGTTCCATTCACTAACACTCTGAAGTATTATAGAAGTAGCACCAAGAAGAAGCCATGGCAGAAAGAGAACTTCCTTCTTGGTACTGAGAAAAGTTACTTCACCTGTAGTGAGACCATCTAGAAAGGAATGAAGGTCAAGTAAGACCAGGAACGTGCATGTACTTTACAGTTTCTGAAGCTGATATTCTGGCCAGATGTGGTGGGTCACCCCTGTAATCCCAGCACTTCAGGAGGCCGAGGCGGGTGGATCACATGAGACCAGGAGTTCGAGACCAGCCTGGCCAACATGGCAAGACCCTATTGCTACTAAAGATACAAAACTTAGCCAGGCATGGAGACGTGTGCCTGTAATCCCAGCTACTCGGGAGGCTGAGGCAGGAGAATCACTTGAACCCGGGAGGCAGAGGTTGCAGTGAGTCAAGATCGCACCACTGCGCTCCAGCCTGGGCAACAGTGTGAGACCCTGTCTCTAAATAAAAAATAAATAAATAAATAAAGTTTACTCATACCCTGTTTAAGCATTCCCTACGGCACCCAAAGTATTCTGGTGATTATGTTCATTTCCTTAGTGTCTAAGAAGTAATTTGTACCTCTCTGTCAGAAATATGCTTGTGTTGCATTGCTATTTATTTGTATATATTATTTACTTTCCGAAGTGTATTATAGGTTCCCTAAGGCCCACTCTCCTTTCTTTAATTCCTCTCATATTACATGTAACTGATGTGCAAACAATTTGTGTTAACTTAGATTTCAATATAAAAATTAGTTTATCCCATTCGATCGATTGGACAGAAAGATAATCAAATAAAAGTTTTTCTGTATCTCACTAGTCTGTTTATAATTTCATATTTAATTCCATTGCTTAAGCATGCTAACACACGGTGCCAAAATAGTAATAAATAGGCAGGCTGTTGTATTACGTGCTACTTCCTATTATCAGAAAAATAAAATGAATGCTTTTCCTCTATAACTGCTTCCTTAACTTTTACAGTTCCTCCAGAATGCATAAGACAATGCTGATATTTCAAGTCTCTCTCCTGCCTTTGACATGGCTGTGCTTTCTACTACCTTTGCACACACCCTCTTTACCTTTGATAAATGTACTTTAAATGACCGATAGTCGTGATGATTGCATGCTGTCTCCTGATATAAAATCTCATTGAAACACAGAAATGTTCTTGTTCCTGAAGGGTTCAATAATCACTCAGCAACTCACCTCTTCAGAGGAGTGAATATACACAGAAGTCCTCTTCATCTCAGCTACTGATTATCTCTAACCTGCTTTACCTATTCAAACATGAGGGTCTTGTTTTTCGTCTTTGGAGTCCTTTCCTTGATGTCCACAGTTCCTCCAAGAAAGACAGAAACTTTTTTATTCCAAAGTTCTAAAACTATAAGTAAAAGAAAATGCAAGGTCTTTCAAGAGTCTGAAAATAAATTAGGCATGGGCAGATTTTACTGTACCATGAAGGCTGCTCAGAGGATTGAAGAGTTGATACTAAAGAAATAAATAAGGTGGTTCACTGCAGTGATTTAACCTATGATAAACTCACTCGAGGCCGGGCACAGCGTCTCATGACTATAATCCCAGCATTTGGGGAGTTTGAGGTGGGTGAGCTCAGGAGTTCTAGACCAGCCCGGTGGGGGCAACAGGGTGAAACCCCATCTCTACAAAAAAAAAAAAAAAATCATACAAAATTTAGTCAGGTATAGTGGTGCGTGCGTGTGGTTCTGGCTACTCAGGAAGCTTAGGCAGGAGGATCGCTTGAGCCTGAGATGTCAAGGCTGCATTCAGCTTAGGTCATGCCACTGCACACCAGCCTGGGCAACAGAGTGAGACCCTGTCTCAAAAAATAATAATAATAATAAATAAACTTACTTGAGAGTTGTGTTTGATCAAAAGGTGGTGAGAGGATGCACACAGAACACAGGAAATTTAAAGAATTGGAAAAATGAAAAGCAAATGATGACTAGAAGAAGGGCTAGAGGTGAAGAGGTGGATACTCCACCATAATCCTTGGTTCACAGGATAAATTCACCACTGATCCAGGCAAGGACCTAGCCTCTGTGTTCCTTTAAAGTTGAATAAAACTCATATGATATCATTTAATGTATATGGAAATTACTTTTTCTACGGTGAGAGTTAAGATTCTACCTTAATTTTTAACCACATAACTACTCAATTATATATAAGCATATTTATTAATCAATATGACTTTCCCAAATTAATTTTAAAATTCATCAATACCCCATAATAAAAACATATTAAACTGTGGTTTATACCTGAGATTTAGATTACTGGTTGACTTATTGATCATTTCTGAAGCACATTTTAATACTTCACGATTCAAGATTCCCTCATTTATATAATATTCATGATTCAAGATTCCCTTATTTATATAATTGTAAGTAATTATGCCTTTCCTCCATGAATGTTAGTGGGTTTTTTATATTTTTATTGAGATACAATTTACCATAAAATTCATTGCCTTAAAGTGTTCTATTCAGTGGTTATCAGTGTATTCTTAAAATTGTGCACCCCTCCCCATTATCTAATTCCAGAATATGTTTATAATCGCAAGAAGAAATCTCTCCTCCTCCCAGTCCTTAGCAACCACTGATCTAATTTTTGTGTCTATGTATATTCGTATTCTGGACATTTACTATGGAGAGAATAATAATTATGTGATCCTTCATGTCTGCCTTCTTTCATTTAGCATAATGTTTTCAAGATTCATCCATGTTGTGGCATAGATTCGTACTTCATTCCTTCATTCAGTGGTCATCAGTATATCCCACTTTAAGAATCCACTGATAGTCACTGAATGGAACACTCTAAAGGAATGAATTTTATAGTAAATTCTATCTCAATAAAAATATAAAACACCAACATTCATGGAGGAAAGGTGTAATTCTGTATAATTATATAAATGATGGAATCTTGAAATACATTTTAAAACGTGCTCTGAGGTAATATGCGCCTCAGAAACGATAAATAAGTCAATTGATAATCTAAATCTCAGGTATAAACCACAGTTTAATATGTATTTATTATAAAGTATTGGTGGATTTTAAAATTAATTTGGGAAAGTTAGATTGATCATTGGTGTTGGTAAAAAAAATTTCATCGTATGGATTATTTACCATATGGTTGTTTATAACAGACTCTAATGATCCATTGTGTTTCTTTTATATCAGTTGTAATGTCTCCTGTTTTATTTCTGATTTTATTTATTTGGCATTCTCTCTTTTGTTCTTGGTTAGTCTAGCTAGCAGTTTATAAAGTCTGTTTATCTCTTCCAAAAGTCAACTTTTTGTTTCATTAACTCTTTGCATTTTTTAAATCTCGAATTCACTCAGTACTGCTTTGATTTTTATTATTTCTTTCCTTCTCCTAAGTTTGGATTTCATTTTATCTTATTTTTCTTGTTCCTTGAGGTGCATAGTAGCTTGTTCATAATCTTACTATGTTCTTGCAGTAGGCATTTATTGCTATAAAATTCTCTCTTAGCACTGTCTTTGTTGTATTCCATAGGTTTTGGTATGTTGTCTTTCCATTTGCATTTATTTCAAGAACATTTGTTATTTTCTTCTTAGTTTTTTCATTGACTCAATGGTTGTTCGGAAGCATGTTGTTTAATTTCCATGTTATCTGTATAGTTTCCAAAGTTTTCCTAGTATTCATTTCTAGTTCTATTCTATTTTTGTCTAGAATATACTTGATATAATGTTGATTTTTCAAAATTTGTTGAAACTTTTTTGTGTCTTAACATGTGGTCTAGCCTGGAGAATGTTCTATGTGATGAGGAGAAGAATGTGTACTCCACTGCTATTGGATGAAATGTTCTGTAAATGTCTGTTAAGTCTATTTGGTCTGCGGTACAGATTAAATTCGATGATTATTTGTTAGCTTTCTACCTAGAATGCTGAATGTTCAATGCTGAAAGTGGGGTATTGAAGCCCTCAGTCATCATGATGTTGAGGTGTATCTCTCTCTTTACCTCTAATGACATTTTTAATATATCTAAGTATTCCACTACTGGGTACATATATATACATATTTGGAATTTTTATATCCTCTTGCTGAATTGGCCCTTTTATCATTATATGATGGCCTTCTTTGTCTCTTTTTATGTTTTTTCGCTTAAAGTCAATTTTGTCCAATATAAATATAGATGTATTAGGCCATTCTTGCATTGCTATAGGGTTATCATAAGAAAGTACCACAGAATGGGTGCCTTAAATAACAAAAGTTCATTTTCTCACAGTTGTGGATGTTATAAGTCTAAGATCAAGATGTCAGCACATTTGGTTTCTCCTGAGGCCTGTCTTGGCTTGCAGCTGGTTGCCTTCTTGCTATGTCCTCTTATGGCATTTTTTCTGTGCACATGCATTCCTGGTGTCTCTTCCTCTTCTAATAAGGACATCAGCCATATTGCACGAGGGCCATACCCTGGGAGTCTCATTTTAGCTTTATCACTCCTTAAAAAAAAAAAAAAAACTTATCTTCAAATATGATTACATTCTGAGATACTAAAGATTGGGACTTCAACCTACAGATTTTGGAGGAAAACTTGTTAGACCATAACGATGAATTCATCAATAGACCGATGTGATCAAGGAAAGAATCAGTGAGCCTAAAGAAGTTTAAATAGCAACTTCCAAACTTAAAAGCAAAGAAAAAAGAATTAAAAAGAACAGAATATTTGATAAGTGTAGGCCAATTACAAAAAGGAACAATATATGTGTAATGAAGTATCAGGAGGAGGAGAAAGAAAGGAATAGAAGAAATATTTGAAGAAATTCTGACTGAGATTTTCCCAAAATTGAAAATAAACAAAATATACATATCTAGGAAGCTGAGAGAATACCACGCAAGATAAATACAAAAAAATTTAAACATAGGCATATTATATTGAAGCTGCCAAAAATCAAAGACAAAAAAAAAATCTTAAAAGAAGCCAGGAGGGAAAAAACCTTTATCTATGGACAACCAAGGATAAGAATTACATCAGACTTCTCTTAAACCACATAAGCAAAAAGAGAGGAAAGTGAAATATTTAAAATGTTAAAAAAGAAAAAAAGAACACTATCTTAAAACTGTCTACTTAGCAAAATTATCCTTTTTTTTTTTTGACAGAGAGTCTCACTTTGTCACCCAGGCTGGAGTGCAGTGGCAGTGACCTTGGCTCACTGCAGCCTCTGCCTCCTGGATGCAAGCAATCTCGTGCCTCAGCCAGCCACCACCACGCCTGGCTAATTTTGTATTTTTAGCAGAGACTGGGTTTCGCTAGGTTGGCCAGGCTGGTCTCGAACTCCTGACCTCAGGTGATCCGCCAGCCTTGGCCTCCCAAAGTGCCAGGATTAAAGGTGCAGGCCACCGCACCCAGCCTACCCTTTAAATTAAGATAAAAATACATAATTTTCTTAGGTAAACAAAAATAGAGTTTGTCACCAGTAGTCCTACCTTACAATAAAAGTAAAAAGAAATTATTCACTCATACTCAATGGTAAAAAACTAAAAGCTTTTCTTCTAAGATCAGGAACAAGGCTAAAGTGCCCCTTCTTGCCACATTTATTTAACATGATACTAAGAGTTCTAGCAAGAACAATTAGGCAAGAAAAGGAAATAAATGGCATCCAAACTGTTGAGGGGTGGGAATGAGTAAAGTTGTCTATTTCCAAATGACATAATTTTTTTGTAAAAAGCCCTAAACTTCACTCCCCCCAAATTATTACAACTAATAACAAATTCAGTAAAGTTGCAGGATAGAAAATCAACATACAAATATCAGTTGTGTTTCTATAGCACTAACAACAAACAACTGGAAAGCAAGTAAAGAAAATCCCATTCATAATAGCAAGAAAAAGTTAAGATATTTAAGAATAAACTTAACCAAAAAGATGAAAGACTGGTACATTAAAAATTGCAGACATTCATGAAAGAAATTAAAGAAGACACAAATCAGTGGAAAGATATCCTATGTTCGTGAATTGGAAGACATAATAATATTAAAATATCCATACTATTCAAAGCAATTTATAGATTATATACAATCCCTATCAAAATCCTAATGGCACTCTTGACAGAAATAGAAAAAACAATCTTAAAATTCATATAAAACCACAAAGGACCCAGAATAGTCAAAACAATGAGCAAGAAAAACAATGCTAGGGGCATCACATTTTCTAATTTCAAAATGTATTATAAAGATAGAGTAATCAAAACTGTGTGCTACTGGCATAAAGACAGACATATAGGCCACTGGAAGAGAATAGAGGGCCCAGAAATCAACAGACACTTATACAGTCAACTGGCCTTCAACAAACATGCAAAGAATATATAATGGGGAAAAGACGGTTTCTTCAATACATGGTACTGAGAAAACTGAATATTCACATGCAAAAGAATAAATTGGGCCTGTATCTTACACTACACACAAAAAGCAACTCAAAATGAACTACACATTTAAACATAATTACCTGAGACTATAACACTTATAGAAGAAAACATAAGGAGAAACTTTCATGATGTTGGTCATGGCAATTATTTTAACTTACAAATTGTAACAAAAGGATTTGGGAAGGACTGGTAGGTTTAAAGGGAATATTTATGGGGGATTATGGGTTATAGGCTCCTGTGCATATCTCAGTAACTTCCTCAACAAAGGAGAAATGGCCTTGAGCCCGAATACCCTGGGAAGCTGGAACTAAGACTCAACTCCTTCTGACCCGTTCTCTCAATTAAGGATTCCTTTTTCTCATTTCACCAAGAACAGAGAAGCAACCAAAGATAGCTTTTCCACTTTTCCACCACTATATCTCTTCACATAGTTTTATCTTTATCCGTAATCTACCTTCTCTTCACTGTCTGATTCAAGGCCAACCCCTCCACTTACACTAGATTCCATCCCCAATGACTTTTTCAAAAATTTAACTCCAGAAGTTAAACATTATTTCCTGCATTATGAATCTCTACACTACCCCCAAGCAGGATAATTCATTTTAGGTAGAAATATGTGGTAATAGTTCTCATTTAAAATTCTGTACATTTCCAGCTACTGCCTCATTTACTCCTCTCTTTATAGAAGAAAGCATCGTTTGTCTTTATTCAGCATCTCCACTTTTTCTCTTGCATTCTTTTGCTGTTTTTGTTTTTCTGGGAAAGTTCTTTAATGTTTTTAATTTATTATAAAACATTTCAGACATTTAAGAATAAAAAGTAAGTATATTGTATCGTATAATTTGTCTTCTCCTCTTAAAGCCAGAAGCTTCATTTCTAATGATGAATGTCCTTCAGAATATTATCATTGCAGACTGAAGTGCAATGCTGATGAACATGTAATTAGATACTGTGCTTACTTCAGCATCTGCTGCAAACTGAAGATCATTGAAATTGACGGACAAAAGAAGTGGTGAAAATGCTAACTCCATCTTCTTCAGACTCCAGGAGCAAAAACATGTCTTAAACTCTCTTATCTACGAATAATTAACATGATGGATGAAAATTATTATAATTGCATGTTTAGATGGTCAGGTGAAAATGAATATAAATTTTATAAATGCTTACCCTCTATTTTCATGTGTGCATTTTAACATTAACTCCCTTAATTTACATCCACAGCCACATTGCTGTTTCACCCATAGTACTATATCCGATGCGGGGAGTAAGAGCCAGCCCCTCTTGCCCCCCTGGCTCTTAGGACCCCCATTGCAGCGGGGTGAGGCACTCCCCGCGATGCCGGGAGTAACAGCTAGCCCTTCTTGCCCCGCTGGCCCTTAGGACACCCATCGCAGGGGGGAGAGGGGCCCCCCGCGATGCGGGGAGTAAGAGCCAGCCCCTCTTGCCCCCCTGGTTTTTAGGATCCGCGGTGGACTCACAGCCTGTTTATCATACTGTGAGTAATATCATCTCCCGCTCTGGAGATTATGAACTGTTTCACAAACCGGTGTACACCCTGGGTATACAGAGGTTGTACACCCGTCTCTATTGGGAGTCATATCATCCTCTTCCTCCCTGAATATTAAGAACAGTATCACAGAGTTGTTTCTACTCCCTGGGATATCGTGTGTCATATCCTCCTCTCCCACGTTGCAATTAGAAACAATATCAGTGGGGGGGTGTCCACCTTCTGTGATATTGAAAGTAATATCATACTCTTCCCTCTAGGATCATGGGAACAATATACTTGGTGGTGTCCACTTTCTGCAATATATGTAGTCCTATCACTCCCTCCGCCTTGGAATGTTATTAAGGACCATCTCACACGGGGGTGTACACTTCCTGCGATGTTGGGAGTAATAGCATTGTCTTCTTCCGTGAATATTAGGAGCAAAATCACAGGGTGGATGCACACCCAGTGCTATATTGGGAGTAATATCTTACTCCACACCCTGGAGATTATATTCGGATCAATATCACCGGCTGGGTGTACACCTACTGTGATATTGAACGTAATATCATGCTCTCTCTCTCTCTGGACATTAGGAGCAATATCGCAGGTGGGTGTACACCCACTGAGGTATTAGGGTGTAATATTAGTATGAATTATACCTCATTTATTATTAACATAAATATGAATGACTGATATTAATATTAATATTAATAAATAATTGCTAATAAAAAGTTTACAGATTATTAATATTAATATGAAATATTAGGAGCTAATATTACTGTTTTCTAATGAATAAGATCAATAGTTATTAATATCAGGCGTCATTAATCATTAATATTAATCATGTATTGTTATTGTTAGTATAACTATTTAATATTAATTATCATTATTATCGGTATTGATTTTAAAAATTATATTATGGGTTATTAATATTGATAATTATTAGTGTCAATTAATAATTGAGATTATTAATTGCGGCAAGTCGCATTGCGCCATTCCACCCCTCCCTCGGCAGCTCGTTTACGACCCAAAAAGGGGACACAAATGCCCCTGAGAGAGCAGCGATAGACTGGGATAGATGAGGATGGTCACGTGGTGGAGAGGCGTGTTTTTGGGTACCAGCCCTTCACCTGCCTCGACCTTCTCAACTGGAAAAACAATACACCGCCCTATACCGAAAACCCACAAGCACTAATTGATTTGCTCCAAACTGTTATCCAGACCCACAACCACACCTGGGCTGATTGGCACCAGTTGCTCATGTTCCTCTTTAACAGTGAAGAAAGGCAGAGAGTCCTCCAAGCAGCAACTAAGTGGCTAGAGGAACATGCACCAGCTGATTATCAAAACCCCCAAGAGTATGGAAGGACCCAGTTGCCAGGAACCGACCCCCACTTGGACCCACATGAAAGAGAGGATATGCAAAGGTGAAACCGAGACAGGGAAGCTCTCTTGGAAGGATTAATGAGGGGAGCTCAGAAGGCCACAAACGTTAACAAGCTCTCTGAGGTCATTCAGGGAAAAGAAGAAAGTCCAGCACAACTCTACGAGAGAGAATTGTGGGAGGCCTATCGTATGTATACTCCCTTTGATCCCGATAGCCCTGAAAATCAGTGCATGATTCCCATGGCTTTAGTCCGTCAAAGCGCAGAAGACGTGAGAAGAAAACTGCAGAAACAGGCTGGGCTTGCAGGGATGAATCCATCCCAATTACTAGAAATAGCTAGCCAGGTGTTTGTAAACAGGGATGCAGTAAGCCCTAAGGAAAATGGCAAAGAGAATGGAGGTCAGGCCCGGCAACACGCCGACCTGTTTCTCAGCTGCAACAATCAGAGGGCACCCCCAAAGAGGCAAGGGAAAGGGGGCCCTGGGAAAGAAACTCAGCTTGGCTGTCAGAGTTTGCAGCGTAACCAGTGTGCTGATTGTAAAGAAATAGGACAGTGGAAGAACAAATGCCCTCAGCTCAAAAGAAAACAAGGTGACTCAGAGCAGGAGGCCCCGGACAAGGAGGAAGGGGCCCTGCTCAACCTGGCAGAAGGGTTACTGGACAGAGGGAGACCGGGCTCAAGCCTCCCCAAAGAGCCTCTGGTCAGAATGACTGTCGGGGGTGAAGACATTGACTTTCTTGTAGATAGCGGTGCTGAACATTCGCTAGTAACCGCCCCGGTCACCCCCTTATCCAAAAAGACTATTGACATCATCGAAGTCACGGGGCTTTCAGCAAAGCAAGCTTTCTGCTTGCCTCGGACTTGTACTGTAGGAGGACATAAAGTCATTCATCAGTTTTGGTACATGCCTGACTGTCCCTTGACCTTTTCGGGAAGGGGCATGCTCAGCAAGCTGAGAGCCACTATCTCTTTGAGAGAGCACGGCTCTTCGCTGCTAAAGTTACCCGGAACGGGAGTCATTATGACCATTATAGTCCCCCGAGAGTTGGAATGGAGACTTTTCTGAACTGAGCCGGACCAAGAGAGACCAGCTCTGGCTGAGCGGTGGCCAAGAGTATGGCAGAAGACAACCCTGGGGCACTGCCAGTTAAGACTGGGGCCCAGCCGGTGAGGCAAAAAGAGGAACCAGTCCCCAGAGAAGCCCTTCAAGGTATCCAGGTCCATCTCAAGCACCTAAGAACTTTTGGAATGATTGTTCCTTGTCAGTCTCCATGGAACACTCCCCTCCTGCCTGTTCCCAAACCACGGACCAAGGACTACCGGCCGGTACAGGATTTGCGCTTGCTTCATCAAGCTACACTGACTTTACATCCAACAGTACCTAACCCGTACACATTGTTGGGGTTTCCACCAGCTGAGGACAGCTGGTTCACCTGCTTGGACCTGAAAGACGTTTTCTTTCCTATCAGATTAGCCCCTGAGAGGCAGAAGCTGTTTGCCTTTCAGTGGGAAGATCCGGAGTCAGGTGTCACTACTCAGTACACTTGGACTCGACTTCCCCAAGGGTTCAAGAACTCCCCCACCATCTTCGAGGAGGCATGGGCTCAAGACCTCCAGAAGTTTCCCAGCAGAGACCTAGGCTGCGTGTTGCTCCAGTAGGCTGATGACCTTCTGCTGGGACACCCCACGGCAGTCGGGTGTGCCAAGGGAAAAGATGCCCTACACCGGCACCTGGAGGACTGTGGGTAGAAGGTGTCCAAGAAGAAAGCTCAGATCTGCTGACAGCAGGTACGTTACTTGGGATTTACTATCTGACAGGGGTCGGAACACAGCCCGGGATCAGAAAGAAAGCAGGTCATTTGCCATCTAGCGGAGCCTAAGATCTGAAGGCAGGTGAGAGAATTCTTAGGAGCTGTGGGGTTTTGTAGACTGTGGATCCCAAACTTTGCAGTATTAGCCAAGCCTTTGTACGCGGTCACAAATGGGGCGGGGACCGGGAACCTTTGGAATGCAGATCCCAACAACAGCAAGTCTTTCATGAGTTAAAGGAAAAACTTCTGGCAGCCCCAGCCCTGGGGCTACCCGATTTGACAAAGCCTTTTCCATTATATGCATAAAAGAGAGAAAAGATGGCAGCTGGACTTTGAACCCAAACTGTGGGGCCCCGGCCGAGGCCTGTGGCCTACCTCTCTCAACAACTAGACGGGGTTTCTAAACGATGGCCCCCCTGTTGGAGGGCCTTGGCAGCAAGTGCCCTGCTAGTACAAGACGCAAATAAGCTGACTCTTGGGCAAAGCCTGAACATAAATGCCTCCCGTTCTGTGGTGACTTTAATGAGTAGTAAAGGACATCATTGGCTAATGAATGCCAGACTCACCAAGTACCAAACTTTGCTCTGTGAAAATCCCCATATAACCAGTAAAGTTTGTAACACCCTACACCCCGCCACCTTGCTGCCGGTATCAGAGAGCTCTGCCGAGCCTGATTGTGTAGAAATGTTGTACTCAATTGACTGTAGCAGGCCTGACCTCCGGGACCAGACTTGGGCATCAGTAGACTGGGAGCCATACGTGGATGGGAGCAGCTTCTTCAACTCCCAAGGAGAGAGAGGTTCAGGGTATGCAGTGATAACCCTGGACACTGTTGTTGAAGCCAGATCACTGCCCCAGGCCACATCAGCCCAGAAAGCTGAACTCATTGCTTTCATTGGGGCCTTAGAACTCAGTGAGGGTGAGACTGTCAACATTTACACTGATTCTCCGTATGTCTTTTTAACCCTTCAAGTGCATGGAGCGTGATAGAAAGAAGACGAGTTTTGAACTGTGGGGGAAAAGACAGAAAATATCAACAAGAAGTCTTTCAATGATTAGAAGCAGTATTGAAACCCCACAAAGTGGAAGTTAGGCATTGCAGAGGACACCAGCGAGCTTCCATCTTGCTGGATTTGGGGAATTCCCACGCTGACTCAGAGGCTCGAAAAGCAGCATCTGTCCCCTTCTGGGCATCAGTGCTCCTTCAAGCACCTGATCTTGGACCTGCTTCTTCTAAAGAAGAAAAGGACTTTCTCCAGGTAGAGGGAAGGACAAGTGATGGAGGAAGGATGGATTTGGTTACCAGACGGGAGAGTAGCTGTGCCACAGCTGCTAGGAGCTGCAGTTGTACTGGCTGTGCAAGAAACCACCCATCGAGGTCAGGAGTCACTGGAAAAGTTGTTAGGCTGGTATTTCTACATCTCGCCTTTGTCAGCCCTTGCCAAAACGGTGAGGCAGCGGTGTGTTACCTGCGACAGCATGATGCGAGGCAAGGTCCAGCCGTTCCGCCCGGCATACGAGCTTATGGAGCAGCCCCCTTTGAAGGTCTCCAGGTGGACTTCACAGAGATGTCAAAGTGTGGAGGTAACAAGTATGTACTAGTTCTTGGGCGTACCTACTCTGGGTGGGTGGAGGCCTATCCAACACGAACTGAGAAAGCTCATGAAGTAACCCCTGTGCTTCTTCATGATTGGATTCCTAGATTTCGACGGGCTTTAGGGATTGGCTCAGACAGCGGGCCTGTGTTTTTGGCTGCCTTGGTACAGAAGATGGCAAAGGTATTGGGGATCACACGGAAACTGCATGCTGCCTCCTGGCCTCAGAGTTCCGGAAAGGTGGAGCGGATGAATCGTACTATCAAAAATAGTAGTATTGTCTTCCCTGCTGGATATTTAAAACAACACCACAAGGGGCGTCAAACCACCTGCTAAATTGGAGGGAATGTTATCCTCTCCCCTCCTCCCCCAGCCCCGGATATTAGAGATAATAACACAGGGGTGATGTACACCCACTGCTTTATTGGGAGTAATATCATCCTCTCCTTTCT